>NC_000002.12:46857018-47160049 GCF_000001405.40 Homo sapiens
TATAAAACAGAAAAACAGAATTGTAAAAGCACTAGCCGCAGAGATTTGCAGGATGAGGGTGGCCTCATTAATCCAACACTCTAGTTAACTCTCATATCTATGTCAACAATTTTCAAAGGATTATTATAAAGCAAGGACCATCTTTGATAATCGTGATCAAAGATTTCTAGGATCTTAGGGCAATGTTTCTTAAAGTCTATTCCATGGCTCTTGAGCTTTGTGAGATGTTAATTGGTGTTTTATATACATTAAAACTAATAAGTTTGGGAAATATTGGATTTTAAAAGTGAATATATTTAACTTTGGGAGGCCAAAACAGGCAGATCACTTGAGGCCAGGAGTTCGAGACCAGCTTAGCCAACATGGCAAAACCCCGTCTCCTTTAAAAACACAAAAATTGGCCGGGTACAGTGGCTCACACCTATAATCCCAGCACTTTGGGAGGCTGAAGCAGGTGAATCACATGAGGTCAGGAGTTCAAGACCAGCCTGGGAAACGTAGTGAAACCCTGCCTCTTCTAAAAATACAAAAATTAGCTGGGTGTAGTAGTGCATGCCTGTAATCCCAGCTACTCAGGAGGCTGAGACAGAAGAATCGCTTGAATCCAAGAGGCAGATGTTGCAGTGAGCCAAGATTGCACCACTGTACTCCAGCCTGAGCAACAGAACGAGACTCTGTCTCAAAAACAAAAATTAGCTGAGTGTGGTGGCGCATGCCTGTAATCCCAGCTACTCAGGAGACTGAGGTGGGAGAATTGGTTGAACCGGAGGTAGAGGTTGCAGTAAGCTGAGATCGCACCATTGTACTCCAGCCTGGGTGACAGAGTGAGACTCTGTCTCAAAAAAAAAAAAAAAAAAAAAGAATATGTTTATACATGATTCTGAGACTTCACTAAATGCATTAATGGTGGGTAAAGTGTTTTCCAAACTTCCTTGACCACTCAACACCTTTTTAGGGGAGGATACCACGTGACTGGTGTTTGTGCCAGACTTTGGGGAATTCCGCCTTTGTCAGGCTCAACACAACAAGGGTTTTCATTGCTCACTGTCTTGTTACATGAGTTGTAGGATGTTACACAGAAATGCCTGAAAAGCAAGGAGCAGCTATCAGAATGTTTGGTGACACAGCTCCTCCTGTCGTGGTTCCTTCGGCATGGACTTCACATTCAGCAGATCCATGAGGTGTTCCCTTTCGGATGAGCTCCAAGGTCTTAAGAGAGCATCTCTAGTCTGCGTGAGTCCGTCTGAACGACGGTCCTGAGCAAGAACCACCTATAACCATCTGCTCAAAATAACTCAGGGGAAGTCAAAGCTTTCTATGTGGAAGGTGACTGAAACCACATACACAGACCACTGCAGCATTCCTGACATTATGGAACTTGGAAATGATTCCAAACATGGCCATAGCTTGAGTAACATGTTTTGCTATGACAAGAACTTGGACTGTAGTCCTTCCCCCTCTCAAGAATGTGACATCACACCTTATCAGATCCTACGAGTGAGCTACTGACCTCAACCACTGAACTTCAAACTATGTAAAAACCTAAGGGTTCGACAGACACTTTGAGAGCTTGGGCTGTGGCAAGCTACACTCTGTCAGCCTCTCTTCGACAGGGCCCCACCCTGCTAGCCTTTGAACTTGGAAGCATCGCCCACAAACACCAGTGCCACCCTCTAGCCTTGAGGGACCATATATGTCTCTGTGAATCTCCGTTGCATTGGACAGCTTCTCTCCCAAGAGCTGCTCTTATAAAAGAGACACACCACATTTTAATGAGGCTTCGCTCTCCACAGAGGCCTGCTTCCATCCTAATTGAGCAAGTAGACTTTAGTAACTTTGGAACTCACTCACCCCGTGACTAATACACCCTGTCTACCCAGCGCATTCCCTGTGAGATTTGTTCATGTTGTTCTCCCCCTCCTTAAGCATTGTGAACCTAGGAAAAATATCATCTCTGTAGGGCAATAAACCATGTGATTTGTGAAATCATACTTTGAGCATCTCCTAATTTTAACCATACACAATGCCTGAGAACTGGGAAATGAAGAAAGGAGGAATTGGATCTAAAAATGTGTTTAACAAAGTATAAACGCCATAGATATCCAACAACAGGGTGCCTGGACAGATAAACAGAGGCAGGCTACCTCTTCCAAATGTCATAGACTACACAATACATAGAAAGAGGGTCATGGGATTATATGAGGTAAAAAGAGGCCATAATGCGGAAGGAGGAGAATCGCTGGTTTACAAGACGGTGCAGAGTCTCCCACAGAGAGCATCTGTTTGGCCCAGTACTAGGAGGCCTCTTTGGTGTGAAATGTGAAGCCCCCAGGGAATGGCCCTGATGGGCTAAAATGTGAAGAAGGGGGATGGCTACTGAATTAAAAGAAGTAGCAGGAATTTGAGAGACTGGGGGCTGGCAGCTGGAGGAGGCAGGAGCTGCCCAGTAGGACATCCAGGCATCGAGCAAGTGTCTGTGAAGGAGCATTCATGGAGGATTCCTCACGCCAGAGTCTTGGAGGTGCGGGACGTTGTGTTTTAGTCATTTGCTCTATTATCACATAAAGTCATGCCCCTCTTGACCTTCATGCCTTTAGTAAGTGACCAGGGCAGAATCTCCTGGCGAGGGAGAGCTGAACTGGGGGTGGCCCCCAGCCCCACCTCATGGAAATCCTCAGAGCAGCCTGGACGGCTAACATACCTGGGTGTCAGGCAGGGCCAGCAGGAAACAGCACCACTCAGAGTGGATGAGTGAGCAGAGTTACGGAGGGACCATTTTACAAAGGTATGGGTGGGCTTGGGGGAAACCAGACGCAGTGCAGTCCTCAGAGGTGGGAAAGCTCAGCACCGTTAATTCCACCTGGCTGGGGGCAGGTGGGGAAAGAGAGAAAGTGGTAGGGGCAAGGGAGCTGGGATGCTGCCTGACAAAGCTGTGACCTTCTGTCATAGGACACAGCCGGTCCTCAGTGACCCCAGAAGGAGGAAGGAGGGAGGTGATGTTATGGGGCTGAATTGTTCCCCCAAAACCCATATGTGGAAGCCATAACCCCCAGTACTTCACAATGTGACTGTGTTTGAAAATGGAGCTTAGACAGAAATGAATAAGTTAAAAATTGAGGCCCTCATCCAATCTGACTGGTGTCATTGGAAGAAGAGGTAATCCAGACATACTAAGAGACACCAGGGTCACACACACAGAGAGGAGAGACTGTGTGAGGACACAGGGAGAAGGCGGAACTGAAAGGAATCCATTTCTGTTGTTTAAGGCCCTGAGCCTGCGGTCCACTGTTATGGCAGCCCTAGCAAGCAGATACAATGAATCCCCAAACCTCCTTCCTTCCTCCTTATTGCCTCTGGCTGGGGCTCCCTACTGGCCAAACCCCACCAAGGCCAGAGGGCAGGGGTGTGAGTGGGTACAGTCAAGACAGGCCAGCCTCCCAGGTCCAGAGCAGGGTGACGAAGGTGGAGAGTAGGCCCAGAGCAGCAGACAGGGGTGTCTGCACACCTGGGAGGGGTGTGGAGTCGAGGTAATGTATCTTCAGATGGATGACCCAGGCTCCTGACAACACCAGGTTCACAAATAGGACACAGAACAGCATGGTGAAGGCAGGCCAACATCTGGACCAAGATTGGGAGAAAAGGGAAACAATGACAATGGTTGGTAGGACTGCAGCTGATTTGTTTTCCCCAAGCTTTTATTTTATTTATTTATTTTTTTCCGATATGGTTATGTTGTTTTAGACTAAAAAGAGCCAATCCAGAGGCAGACTTTTCAGACGAAACAGCTTAATCTAGCCTGAGGGCAGGGAGGCTGTTGGGGCAGAAGGGTGGTGGACGGGGGCAGGCAGCACCCTTGAATTGCTTAAGCTCCATCAGAGAAGAGATATGCGTGTCTCCTGTGCCCTTCGCCCCTGGGTTCTCTCATGATAAAGGATAGACCAAGAGCGTGACCTTCTGGGTATGATGGGTGCTTCCCCCAGCCCCGGACTCCGTCTCAACATGGGTCCAGGCACCCAAGGCACAGCTCTGAGAGGAACAAAAGCTTGGGGAGCTGTCCTAAGTATCCCTCACCCCTCGCTTCTTCCCCAGAGTCCTGGGGAGACATCATTTGTGACATCTGTTGCCTGGTGTTCTTGCCTTAGGTTCACAGGCATGTGAGTTTCCTCTCTACTGGATGAGACCGGTGGGGCTGTGGGCTGCCTGCCCCAGCCCTTCTCCCTCTCCATCTCTGTGGCTGGAGCCCTTGCTCCGGTGCCCCAGGACTGTCCACCAGCCCATCCTCCCTGTCAGCCCCTGGCCCTCCACACCTTGGTTTTGCAGACTAGGAGGTGCTGCCTGTTCTCCTCTGTTCTCATGGGGACCGCAGGCAGGACCACATGGCGGGGGGTTCTAAAGACATACCCATCCCCCTTTCACAGGGTTGCTATGGGGACACATGCTCAGCTGCCCCCAAACCTTCTTAACCTCTGGAAATTGCTCAAATGGAAACATTAACACAGGACCACCCTCCGCACAAAGCCCATATGAGGGCGGAATGAGAGTCAGGACGGGGCTCTGAGCACAAGACATGCAGGTGTGTCTGACAGACGGGGTGGGGGCAGATAAACCTCAAAGCAACCAGGTCACCAAGTCCTGGGAGAGAGCCCAGCTTTGTGATACCCACATAGTAGCTCACAACTATGCGCCAGATCCAAATGGGCTCCTGTGCCACTTTCTTTAACACTCCTGGCCACTCCATGAGGGACGCTGTGATCTCCACATTGTACAGACAAGAAGCCGAGTTGCAGAGTGATCGCATAAAGCCCAGGGACACGCAGATAGTCATGGTGCAGCCAGGATTTGAACCTAGGCAGATTCCAGAGGCTGCTGTCTGAGTTGCTGGTCTGAGTTTCCTTCTAGCTAAAGGTAGCAGGGAAAGAACTTACCGCCTATAGGAAAACAAGATCTATTTTCATAAGCAACAAGAAGCCCTCATGAGGACGACAGGACTGGTAGTGTGAAGTCCAAAAGAGCTCCCTGCCTTCTCCTGGCTTAGGTCCACCTCTGTCTGCAAGCTGATGAGTCTGGCCCTGAAGCGAGCAGATCTTTCTTACCCCACTGGGGCTTAGCTGGACTCGGAGCTCCTGCAGCCCTGACCTCCCCAGGGCATCTGCGACTCCCAGATTCAGCCTAGGACTTACAGAGCTCCCTAGAAGGAATTAATTGTGGACAGCAGTGGGGACGGTCCATTTTCAGTCTTCCTAATCTTCTCTGGGAGCTGTTTGACTTGAATTCTTTGACCTCCAGGGTTTTTACAGAAGCCTACTTGTTTAGGATGTGTTAATCAAATAAGGGATGCAAGCTGTGAGTCCTCTTGGGCAGAAATGGACTTTTTCTGACCACTGCTGCACTCCTCCCGCTCAGCATCTCAGAAGTGGACATGGGACCAAGCATCTCAGTGGTCTCAGCTGTCTGGCTTGGAGGTGGGGGGGAGAGGGAGAAGGTATAGCCCTTTAATCTTCCTCTTTTTGACACCAGAAAGTATCCCACATTAATCAGTCCCACATTAATCAGCTCCTTCCTCAGGCAAAAGCTGAGCTGGGAAAGTCCCAGATGGGGCAGTGTCCCCATCATTCATTATTACTAAGCCAGAGATATCCAGCAGGGATCAGTGGAGTTTTCAGTCCTCATCTTATATCCAGAGAGCACAAGACATTCCAAGGCAAAACTAGATAGTGGACACTTAATAATTCATCGATTCCAACACAAGCTTGCATGTAACATATCTCATAATACCAAGTAACTCATAAAACAAGCAGTGAGAGACATTTATCGGACAAACACTTCCTCAGATCACTTCATCTGCCTGAGAGAACAGACCTGCCATAATGGGCCTTATCCAGCAAAACAGGCTGCGTGTTGGGAGGGCAAAATGGCTGTTACATGAGCCCACCCATCTTGCCATCAAAGGGATGTATTTGCACCCTGAGTGGTAGCAGGGACAGCTTGCTATGTGAAAGCTATAAGACAATGACACCTCAGAGACCAAGCCACCCAGCTATGGGATCGTCTAGTGTGGGAGAGAGAACATACTTTTCCTACCCCTTTTTCAGTGAGGCAAGAAGCAGTAGGGATGTTTTTAACTGCCATTAACAGAAAACCCAACTCAAAGGGGCTTAACCAATAAGAAATTTATTATCTCCTATAACAAGAAACCGCAAGGTAGGCTAGCTCCAGAAAAGGTTAATTTAGCAGCTCAATGGCATCATCAAGGACCCAGATGCTATCCTCAGTGCTGCTGTCAGCTTCAGGCTGGCAGCTGGATGCCTATAGTGGTTCCATGCACAATATCCAGAGCGTCTCGGGAGAATGAAATGAGAAACCTTCCCAAAGTACCCCTTATAGACTTCTTCTTGAATCTCACTGGCCAGGATTGGGTCACAAGCCCATGCCTAAGCCAATCACAGGTAAGAGAAGTGGAACGGCTCTCATTGGCTTGAACCAATCGGGATCCACCTTCAGGGGCTACAGATGGCCGCAGCTGGGCTAAAGCCCGAGGCTGGCTGGGAGAAGGCGGAAGCCCGAATAAAATCAGTCTCTGTTGGTGAGGAAGAAGGTAAACTCCAGCTGAGAAGACCAACCCCAGGAGCTAACAGATAGCGGGAACTCAATACATAGAGTTATTTTCTTTAAGTGACTTGCCAAAGGGCACAGAGCTATAAGTGGCAGAACCAGAACTCAAATCCAGAAAGAGAACAAGGATGCTAAAGATAAACTGGGCTTAGTTCACAGCTGCTCCCATGACAGTCCCCATGGTGGAGGGGCCTCTTCCTCTGGGAGTCCGGCTGTTTTGTCACCCTGAAAGTGAAGGGCACAGCAATGCTTTCTGAGGTAGGGGACCCCTCCTCCACCATGGCCCCAGGAATCCCTCCTCTGCCAACATCCAGCCAGCCCAGCTATCACATCACAGCTGCATTTTTCTGCTCTTCTCTACAAAATAACTCCAAGGAGGTTGACAGTTTTTCCTCTGTCCGCATTTGATCTATAGCTGCAATTACAAGCTTTCCTTCACAATGCCTGCATGCCAACAGATGTCTTTTGCAAGTCAGCAATGCTGCCATCACAGCTGCTGGCTCAAACTCCCAGCATGTGTGCTACTGAAGACCTTTCCCTCCACATTCTGAGGGATGCCAGGCTCTGCCCCCACCCCCTCCCACACTAGCTGGGTCTGAGCTGCCTGGGATATATCAGAGTTGGGTGAGAGGTTAATGATCTATTTCAACAGAGACCCCAAAAGACAGGAGAGACTACTCCCTCCACCCAAAACCCACCTGGGATGGCTCAGAAAGCAAGGTCTGCAAACACGGGGGATAGGGGTGGGCTACCTGCCCAGAGCTTCCTCCCAAATGAGATCTTTACCATATGTTTCAGTGGGGATCCCATCCTTAAGAACAGACAAACTTGTGGGCCATGTTTGATTAGTTCTCCAACTTCATTTCTGCCCCTTCTTGCTACCTCTTCCTAAAATGGCCACTCTGGAGTCAGTATTTCTGGGTTCAAGTCTTCACTCTGCTCTTGAACCAGTTCTTTACCTCTCTGTGTCCCAAATTCCTTTTGTAACATGGAAATCGTATTTCAGGTTGCTATCACAGAGTACCATCGACTGGGTGGTTTACACAACAAGCATTTATTTCTCACAGTTCTGGAGGGTAGAAGTTCAAGATCGGGGTGTTTCATGCATGGGCAGGTTCTGATGAGGGCCTCTTCCAGGTTGCAGACTGCCAACTTCTCTGTGTCCTCACACAGTGGAAAAAGAACTAGCTAGATCTCTGGCCTCCTTTTATAAGGGCACTAACCCCATTCACAAGGGCTCCACCTTCATGACTCAATCACCTCCCAAAGGCCCCACCTCCCAATACCATCACATTGGGGGTTAGGGTTTCAACATGAATTTTCAGGAACAGAAACACTCAGTTCATAATAGATAGTATCTACCCCATAGAGCTATTTTGAGTGTTAAATAAGATTCAATTTAAGTCCTTAGTTTAGTGTCTGGCATAAAATGCGTACTCTCCCTATGTTGGTTTTTATTACTACTATCTGAGTTCCTTTTTAAATCTGGAGTAACTGCTCATTACCACTTATGGAGCATCTCACAGAGCAACCTGGACACTCTACAGGTTGTCTCCACAGTGATCCTCACAATCACCAGGAAGATAACATCCCCATCCCCTGGGATGAGCAAACGCAGGCTGCGGGAGCTAGGAACCTGTCCAGGGTCTCACTGCTAGGTATCAGGAAAGTGGAAATTGCAACCCAGATCTGAGTCAAGAGCCCACCCTTTTTCACTATGCCAACTGCTTGCAAATTCATTTTATGTGAGTCATTTTTTTTGAGGAATTTGTGGGAATCAGGAATACTCTGAGGTGTGGGAAGGGGGCATCACCAAGTAGGACACAATGCCAGGATTCCAGAGGTCACCAGGCATCCTGGGCCTTCTCTAAGGAAACAAGCTGGGGTCTGCAGAACCCTCCCAACCTCCTGCATCTGTGACGTATGTTGTCTGCTACCTGATTCTCCATCAAGATTTGGGGGAACCTGTTAAAGGAGAATAGCCTTCAAAGTCACCACGTGGAAGCAAGCCAGGCCCATTAGGGCAGGGAGTGCTGCTGTGGCCTTCTGCAGGAAAAAATGTCTCTCTGTACCTTCTCACTGTCTTCCTGGGCCAATTCAGATATCCACTGGGTCACTGCACTAGTGGGTGGGGTCACCGTGCCTGTTTAAAAACCCCAGTGCACATGGGCGTGGCCCCTTTCCTGCTCTGCCAGGGCAGTGCTGAGCCTGGGGCTGGCTCCCCAGCCCTCATCCACTTTGCAGAGTGCAGGGAGGAAAAGCCCAGGGGCTGCTCTCCCTTACAGCAGGTGCTTCTCTGTTGATGTTCCTCCCCCACCTGTTTCCAAGTAGCCCGAGACATGTCTTTCTCGCACCTTCTTCTTCCCCTGCTGCAAGCCCACTCCCGTTCAGACAGCGTGAACCTGAGTCTTTTTCCTGGCAGGCCACCTGGGCCACGAAGGCCCACACATCGAGGCACCTGCTGCTTCTTAGTGCTGGCCTTTGCTCACCTAAGACTCAGGTGTGGCCATAGGAGAAAGAGGTTCTTTGGCGCAAGGCTATGGGGCCTGACAAGCTGAGGAGAAAGGTGGCCACAGCATTGCTTCCTAGGTTGGCGCAGGGGGTCAAAGCCCCAGCTGGCAACAAGGTATCCTATTACTTTGCTTTACGTTTTTTGTAATGGATTGAGGGGTTAGGAAAGATTTGAGTACTTCTGGGTCGTCTGATGGAATATGCATCTAAAGCCATCTCCATATCACCATGACACCTGGAGTGGACAGTGGCAGCTACTGAAAAAAGAAAAGAAATTTTAAAAGAAAAGAAAGAAAGAAAGAAACAGGAGGGTGAGTGGTGTCCTTGAGCCTTTGGAGATGAAAAGGTTGTGTCTTTGGCCCTTGGGAGTGTGCAGTTGAAAGACCCACTTCCCTGGCATGTGGCCACTGACCCTAAAAGCATTTAATTTTGTAAGGGTGACAAGTCCAAGAAAGATAAGAAGCTGGAGGTTGGAGGGCAGATTATGGGGAGGAGGAGCACAGAGCAGGAGAGACAGCTATGTCTTGTGCCCCATGGAGCTAGCAAAGCACCTAGACTCAGATCCAATCCTTTCATGTTCTGTAGACAAGTCTAGTGATCCCAGGGTGGCAGGGAAGGGCTAGAAGCAGCTCCTGACAAACCACCCATGTGTCCCATAGCAGACCAGAGCCTGGTTTCAGGCCTTCGGTCTTTAGGGTGAGGATGTGATAGCCAAGGCCAAAGTCCAGCTGGCCGGGGGGAATGTGGGCCGGGTCCTCGGGAGGGAGGTTGTGGCTGGGGCTGCAAATTTGAGAGCACACATTGAACATACAGTAATGGGTGACTCTGTGTGGGGATGGAGTG
The DNA here is from genome assembly GCF_000001405.40 of Homo sapiens. Lineage (NCBI taxonomy): Eukaryota > Metazoa > Chordata > Mammalia > Primates > Hominidae > Homo > Homo sapiens. The sequence goes on from NC_000002.12 coordinate 46,866,985, forward strand.
GGGCTGAATGGGATCTGAGGAGAGAGAGGTGGGGAGGGCTGACCTCTGGGAACACCGCGTTCTCAGGAAACAGCAGTTCCTGTTGTAAAACCTGGCTCCTCGCCTGTGACAAACTTCCTGATTCTGAACTGTACAATGGCTCTCAGTGCTGGCACCTTCTTGGGAGGAGCAGGAAGTGGGGGTGGCGGGGGGACCTCACCTTAGTGAAGACCTACTGTGTGCTGTCGTTGTGCCTCATGACATTTACCGACTCCTTCGGAAGCAGGTGCTGCTGTTCCCACTGTGCAGATGTGTGAGGCTGATTCCTACCTCGTAGCTCCTCAGACTCAGGGCTACACCTTGGAGGGGTCAGCTTTTTTTTTTTTTTTTGAGACGGAGTTTGGCTCTTGTCGCCCAGGCTGGAGTGCAATGGAGCGATCTTGGCTTACTGCAACCTCCGCCTCCTGGGTTCCAGAGATTCTCCTGCCTCAGCCTCCCAAGTAGCTGGAATTACAGGTGTCCGCCACCATGCCCAGCTAATTTTTGTATTTTTAGTAGAGATGGAGTTTCGCCATGTTGGCCAGGCTGGTCTCGAATTCCTGACCTCAGGTGATCCACCTGCGCTGGCCTCCCGAAGTGCTGGGATTACACGTGTGAGCCACTGCTCCTGGCCCAGCTTGCTTTCTGAGGCAGCCTAAGCCCCAAGCTGGGATTGCAGGGACCTACATTCTTGTTCCGGTTGAGTCACTAACTACCTAGGTGTGCTAGGGCAGGGCCTGTCACTTCTTTGGGACTCAGATTCCTTGCCTGTAAAGAAGGTTGGCCCTCAGAGCCCCCTTGCAATTTTAAGGTTCTAGAATTCCACTTTTGGGACCAGCTGGTGCCCCATGAACAGCTTGTTGTGGTTCCTACATTAGTTTAGATTGGGGTGTCCTACAAGTCCCTGTGGTGAGAAAGGGCAGTCTTCCTCCCGCAGCGAGTCAGAGCCTACCTTGGCAGAGGCGTCGGCCTTCCTAATGGGCTGAATCTCCCTCTGCCTCTGAATTATGTTCAACTCGACAAATACTGACTGGGCCGATCAGCATGCCTGGCTCTGTGCTGAGTGTCACTGAACTCGAGGAACTTCCCTCCAGGAATTCTGAGTCTAGTAGAATAGACAGGCAATGAAACCTTACTGAGAGAAGCGCAGGGCTGGGCATGATGGCTCATGCCTGTAATCCCAGCACTTTGAGATGCTGAGGCGGGAGGATTGCTCGAGGCCAGGAGTTCGAGAGAGAAGGGCAAGAGACAAGGTCCATGAAGGGAAAAATTCACTCCATCAGGGAGGTCAGGGATGGTTTCATAGAGGAGATGGTTCCTAGGTTGGATTTTGAAGAATGAATAAGAGTTCGACAGATTGACAAGGCACGTAAACTTCTCTAGGCAGAGGAAATAGAATGTGCAAAGGCACGTCGTTACGAAACAGCATAGTACAGAGGAAAACTGCAAGGGTCTGAACTGAAATGAAGACAAGAGGAGCACCAGGAATGAGGCGGAGCGGCACGTGGGAGCAAAGCACACAGGTGTCCCTGACCACACGCCTCCTTCCTAGCGCTCTCCTGATGGGATAGTTAGTGGTCCCTCAGCCCACCCAACCCGACCTAAAACAGCTTCCAGGTTCCAAACAGCATCTCTCCTTCTGTCTTGGAGGCCCAGAGTTCTGTTTCCCATAATAAGAAGCAGGAAACTGAGGACCTGGGAGAGATGAAGGGACCCACCCCAGGATCTGCCAGTGCAGCCCCTTGGCTCATCTGTCCTGTGGCTCATCTTCACCTATCTTCCCTTTAGACCCATGGCTCTCAACAGGGGGCACCTTTGACAAAGTCTTGAGAGGATTTTGGTTTTCATGATGGGGTGCTACTGGCATCTAATGGGTAGAAGCTGGGGATTCTGCTTCCTGAAATGCACAGGACAGCCCTCAAAACAAAGAAGCCTCCAGCCCAAAATGTCACCAGTGCCAAGGTTGAGAAGCCCTGCTGTAGACAGGGGTGTCAGGGGTGTCAGGGGTGGTCCTGCCCACAGAGGCCAGAAGGAGCCCAGATGCCTGAGCAGGGCTCCCCGGAAGGCTCTCTACTGATGAGAGTAATTCTGATAATAGCAATAGTTATAGTCCATGTGCCCATGTCACCAATGAGGCTTAGAGAGGCTGTGAACTACCCAAGGTCCCTCACAGGCAGGAGCAGGGCCAGACCTGAACCCCCCGTTTCTGGCCTCCTAGGCCAAGCTCCCTGTGTGCCTCCTGGACAGTGTCCCTGCAGACTCCTGAGTCCTCACTGAAGGTCAGAGCCTGCCCGAGTTTGAGGAGGTCCTTCTCTCCCCCTTCCAGCGTCCCCAACTCCAGGCAGCCCATGGGCTAGGGGATTTTCTTCTTCTTTGGAACTTAGCACATGTTCTGAGTCTCTGACACTGTGGCCCAGCAAGGCGTCTGCCAGGAGCAGCTCCGAAGCCCACCCTCTTCCAGCCTCACTCAGGGCATGTGGCGACTTGTTCTGTCTCCAGGACATTGTTTGTGCCCCACTGTGGCTCCAATTTTATTTGTTTATAGACCAGATGAGGCCTGCATTTGCTGTCGTTTTAACCCTCACCCTCAGCTCTCCCAATTCACTCATCTGCTGTCTGGAGAGTCCCCCTCCCTTCTTCCCTCCTACTCTTTCCTTGCCCCTACTCCATGCCTGTGCCCATATCTTGCCCCTCCCTCTGCACCCTGAAGCCCTGCTCAGCTGACCTGCCTGCCTCAGACCCCCAGGGCCCCTTTGCCTGGCTGGCCTCCCCCAACTCCTAAGCCCAGGACTCCAGGGCACTGATCCCAGAGCCCCAGCAGCGCCCAGCCCCGAGTTTGGCAGTATCTTCTGAGTGAAGGACTTGCTGGCTGTAACGGAAACCCTCCAGCAGATCAGTCCATGTCCAGTTGGAGCACAGGCCCACAAGCTGGGCTGTCTGGGTTGGAATCCAGCTGCTCCCCTTCCTGCCCTGGGACCTGGGGCAAATTCCTTCACCTCTCTGTGCCCAGTTCCCCATCTATAAAACATAGGTGGCAATAGCAGGGTTGTGGTGGGATTCCAGCTGCAAAGTCCTTTGAGCAGTGCCAAGCACAAGATAAGAATGTGTTGCTATTATTATTATTATCATTATTATTATATGCCTTTGTGCTCACTTTTGAAGTCTGAGCACTAGAGTCCTGATCTTTGGCCACCTAGGGGTCCATGCAGGGGTGAAGACCACGCCCTCTCCTGGCTGGATCCCAGGTGAGCATCACTGAACTCCTCCGCCCAAGGTGCATCCAGTGCTGACTGGATGAGAGAAGGAAGGGGGACAGTTTTGATGGCAGAAGCCATTCTATTCCTCCTCTTAGCACATGCACCGCTCCGAGGAAGATCCAAGCAGCTCTTTGCTCCTGGACACGTAGCTCTAGGAAGGGTGAAAACCTGGCCCTGATATTGGTCCACAGAGAGACCATGGAGCTCACTGCCCAGTCCCTGGAGCCCATCTCTGTTCCTGCTCTAAGCCCCTGCCTGCTTCCCAGCCCCACCTTCCCCTCCTCAGCAGTACCCAGCCCCTCTGGTGCCTCAGAAGCATCCACAGCTTCCCACGGGGCTTGTGAGCCTGACTCAGAGGCAGAGGGGTGGGGGCATCAGAATCTGAGCCTGGGGAAGGCCAGCCTTCTGCTCCAGGCTGTGACCGTCTTCACTCTTGCCTTTGGCTGTCCCTGTGTATCTGAAACTCACACAGCTCACCGCAATTTCCATCTCCTGCCACAAGTCCTCCCCCTGGTCAATATACCAGACTTCTACCCCCTCATCCCAGAACTGTGATTCATCTCCTACCCACCCTAGAACCAACTGTTGGGCCCTCTCCCATTCTCAACCCCAGGAGGCGCTTTGCCCTATTCTCTTCCAGTTCCTGCGCTTCCTACCCATCCTCATCCTGCCCACCTCAGCCATCCCACTCCATTCTTTTATTCCTCCCCTCTGCCCTGTGGCTCCTCTTTTATCCCCCAGGAGCTGGCCCCACGGAAGACTACCCATCACCAGGGCAGTACTGGGCGGCCACTTGTAGGGAAAGTGGGGAGTCTAGTCCTTAACCATCCTCAGGGCCTTGACATCAAGCCGTCCAACCTGCAGGCCCTGGCTTTTGAATGATCTATTACTAATGTTGTTTTTGTTGTTTAGCACTCTCTTATCAAAGAGCTCATTTATTCCTTGCAATAACCCGGCAGTTAGATAGACCAAGTCTAAGGCTTCTCTTGTGAGTGGCCCCAGTTGGGAGGAGTGTGAAGTCCTCCTAACACCTGCTCCCAGACCATCTTGGGTTCCTGTTGCCAATTTCAATTAATTGCTATGAAGGATGAGAAACAGGATGCAGAGAAGTTCTATCTTCCCTTTAAGACCGAGAATACCCTGAAGGCATTGCCTGAGGATATCTCAAAGGGAAGGACCACATCTCCTCCACACCAGGACATCCCCAAGCAAGGCCTTGTCTTTCCTTCTATCTTCAGTACTCAGTCCATAGGACTATATTAAGACCCCCAGTTGGTGCTTTTTCTGGGTGAGTGACTAGCAGAGAAACCTAGCACTCATTTCCCCCTCTGTCTCTTTCTCTCATAAAAATGCTTTTATTTCGTTCTGGGGATGGCCTGACAGTGGGGCCCTGGGGCCCATCTGCTGGAGGAAAAAGTCAGTGAGGGACAGAACAGCACAGCTGCCAGTCTGGCTAGACCTCCTCTCTGAACTGGAACTCCTCCGGAGATGAGTATGGGTGTGATGGGCCTGCGGCCGAGGATGTTGAGGGGTCTCCACCAACTCTCCTTTCCTGATCAGGTTAATACTCGAAAACAACTTTCATCTCTGCTTGGCCTCAGCCCAGTCTTTTCCTTCTGCCCTCCCAGCATGAGTCCTGGAGCCTGAAAGAGACCACGGTTGGGAGAAGATGTAAGTAAGGAACTACTATGGCCTCCAGACCTGGTCTCCTTCCAAATCTACTGTCTCAGGCTGTTCCCTCTGGCCCATCTTCCTTATCTAATAGGTCTAAAGCTGCACTGTCCTTCAAAGTTAACCTCAGACTTCACCTCCTCCAGGAAGATTTCCCTGAATCTAGCCATGATGCTGTCTCCCTTCTCGGAATTCCTGAGGTCAATAGAGTCTGTACCAGGAATCTGCTGCACGCCATGTGCTCTGGTTAAGCACGCAAGTTATTAGGGCTGTTCACAAATACTCCAGCCCTCCCTCCTCTGGGCTCTTGAAAGGGGTTACTCCCTGCCCACTTGAAGTTAGGCCGCGCCATGTGACTTGCCACATGAGCGGAAAGGATGAGTGTTGCTTCCAGGTGGAAACTTTTAAAGTCAGCATACTCTTTTCCATGACAATTGTCCAAGTGCCACATAATAGCTGCTTGGCCCTCTGGCTGACTAGGACAGGCTGAGCACCTGAAGATCTGTGATGAACATGTCATTGTGAGCAAAAAAGAAACCTTTGTTGTTTTGAATCAGTAAGATTTTCTAAAGCTGTTTGTGACTTAGCATAACCTGGCCTGTCCTATGTGATGCATTACGTGAGCAACCAGGATCTCCCTTGACAAGCTTGAAGTTCAGAAGAAGTTCATATTTTCTCCTAATTTTCATTCAAATTAGAAAAGCTTTTGATCCTAACCTGCTAAGACTGGTAGGAAGTAGTCTTTCTCCTGGAGTTCTCACTCCTAAGCATTCACAGGCTGTTTAGTGTTACTATAAAGGAATACCTGAAGCTGGATAATTTACAAGGAAAAGAGGTTTATTTGGCTCTTGGTTCTGCAGGCTGGGAAGTTCAATAAGCATGGGGCTAGCATCTAGCATTTGCTCAGCTCCTTGTAAGGGATTTTGTGCTGCATCACAACATGGTGGAAGGTCAAAGGGGAGGTGGACATATCTGAAAAGGCAAAGCCTGAGGGGGATCCTGGTTTTGTAATAGCCCACTCTTCCAGGAACTAATCTGCTCTCATCAGAGTGAGAACTCACTTATTGCCTTGGGAACAGCACCAAGCCATTCTTGAGAGCTCTATCCTCAAGACCCAAACATCTCCCACTAGGCCCTACCTCCCAACACCACATGGGGGATCAAATTTCAACATAAGATTTGGTGAGCACAAATCACATCCCAACTATAGCAGGCCTCTAGGATGGCTTTCATGGATCATTTGAATCTGTCTCCCATTCCTCCTTCTCATCCTCAGTTACATTGGTCTTCCTGTTCGTCCTTTGTTGAATAAATAGTTGCTTTCCCAGCTCCACAACTGGGACCCTGGACAGGCCCATCTCCTGGTGGACATGCTCACCAAAACCACTGGCAGGGCAATGGTTTTGGGACTACAAAGTGCTGGGATTACAGGCGTGAGCTACCGCATCCAGCTGATGATCGCTTTTAAACTGGCAGTTTCTGCTCCCCCTGAGACATTCCTCCCCCTCAACACTCCAATCTTACTTTGCACCATCCATGGATTTCTGAAAAGATGCCAGGAAATAGATTGTGGGGAAATTATCCCCTGTTCTGAATTTCCAGTGAAGAGTGCTGTGTTGCAGCACATGTTCAGTAAATCATCTCATAAAGTAACACCCCCACCACCACCCCATTGCACAGATCTGGTGAATTCCTCTAAGCTCTCCCCTCCCCTCCTAACTGAATGAGCTCTCTCCCTCCAGGCTCCTCTGGGTTGGAGGTGGAGGCCAGGTTAGGGAGACCCCCATCATTGAAGGTTTAAAAGGACAATGATGAGACATTTGCCATGAGGACCTGAGGAGCCGCAGGCCTGTTAGTCACAGGCGATGAGTCACCCTGCATTGTTTGTGCTGGTGATCCTTCGCAGATGCAGGCAGACTGCAGGAGGAGTTGAGTTCCTCCTCTTGCTCTGGGTGTGTGGACTGGTGCGTGCACATGTGTATGCACGTATGTGTGTGTATATGTGTGTGTACATACACACATGTGCTTGGGCCTGCAGCCCAAAGTGCACATGGGACAGCCTATATCTGGGAGATTACTATTTCCTAACACATTTGGGGTAATAATTACTGTCCTTCAATCAGAAGCTTGTGTGTCAAAGATAACAGGGCACATGGGCTGTATAGGCATCAGTTTCTGGTTGGAATCATCCCTTTGAGGTTGCATGGAGATTTAGGGGCTGTCCACTCAGCACCCCACTCCACTCTTTTTCCCTGGGAAATGCCCTCCACCCACCAGCCCTCTTGGTTAGAGCCACAGAGACTTCTGGATCTTGTCCATACAGTGTCTACCTCACCTGGCCACAATTTACAAGGCCAGGAGTGGGCATTAGACATGGAAAATTGGAATTGGGACTACAATTCCAGCCTTGGACCAACTGCGCTGGCTGGAAGCCATGTAAATGGAGGGCTCTGGGTGGCTGTTTTCCCCACTCTGCGAGCTGGAAGCAGAAAAGTGCTGCTGTGAGACAGAATGAATGTCTAGATGCCCAGACACCCAGAGAAACTGAGCGGGCAGCCTCTTCCTCTGTCCATGCCATTTGTCCCGTTTTAACATCCATCCCCCGTCCTGTCTGCATCCTTCAAGATCAGCTCAGGGGTTACCTCCTCAGTGAGGCCTTCCTCTATTTCCCCACGGAGGGCACCTCTTCCCCCTCTGGGTCACCTCCCTCTTTTCTTACCAGTCACGTCAAGGTTATTTTTGTTTCCCCCTAGAATGAGCTCCCTAAGGACAAGAACTCTGGCTCTGTGACCTTTCTACACTTAGCAAAATGCATCGCACATAATGGTGCTCATAAATGCCTGGGGACTGATGAATCCAAACAGCTGTGTCCTACGGCCAGTTTTGACCTTGTCTCTTTCTCTTCTTTTTAGGAGGAAAGAGCCAGGCTTAATCTTGGTCTCTCCTGTCTCTGTGGAAGCCTGAATTCCCCTCGGTTTATGAGGTAAAGAATAGCTGGTCTCCTTCACATGCTTTCCCGACCCTATCCTGGATAAACTGAGGCAGGAAGGCATCTGCTTTCTACTCCAGTGATGTTGCGGCCGGGATGCCTTCTGGGGAACTCGAATGCTGCAGGCAGAGGGGCTAGTTTCTGAATTGCTTGTGACATGTTTGGCTACCAGTGACCAAAGTCCTCTATGGCTGGCATTCTTTAGTTTAAAGAATCGAGGGTGTCTCTTAAACCAGGGATGAGGGCCTTGGAAACCTTCCAAAAATTTTTATACAACGCGGGTACATACAACTTTTTACAAATATGAAATCATACTGTACATCCTTTCTTTTGTGACCTATTTTCATTCAATAACATTTTACAGTTTTCATGTTAATAAACCTAGCTGTACATTACTGGTACATACTAGTTACTGGTACATTGACATTTATGACCAGTTGTGTTTCCATGGTAAGGTTGTGTCAGAGCTGGATGCATGTGCCCTGTTGTTGGATATTTATCTTATTTGTCATTTTTGCGTTGAAACAACGCTATGAATGAATAGTGTTGTAAATGCGTCTGGACTGATCGTCTCTACTGGATAAGTTATTTACAGTGGCATTGCTGGACTAAAGGGTAGACATTTTTTTAAAAAGTTTTCTGATGCATAACACTGTCAAAAGACAAAATTAGGCCAGGTGCAGAGGCTCATGCCTGTAATCCCAGCCCTTTGTGAGGCCAAGGCGAGCAGAGTGCTTGAGGCCAGGAGTTTGAGACAAGCTTGGACAACATGGTGAAAACCCATCTCCACTAAAAATTAGCCAGTCATCGTGGTGTGAGCCTGTAATCGTAGCTACTCAGGAGGCTGAAGCACAAGAATCACTTGAACCGGGGAGGCAGAGGTTGCAGTGAGCCTAGAACATGCTACTGCACTCCAGCCTGGGTGACAGTGTGAGACTGTCTCAAAAAAAAAAAAAAAAAAAAAAAAAAGATAAAATTACATCAAATCTAGTTTAAAGATCTTCATTGTTTTTTATTTGCAATTCATGAATCTGGCAACACCTCTTCTGGAATGAGTGTTCAAAACAGCTGAACAGAGGAGACTGGCTTTATAGACAGAAAAGGGCTGAGGAAAGGAGACACAGTGAACAAAAAGTGGATCTCGGTCATTTTAAAGTTACTCTCCTTATAGGGTTAAAACAGAGGCTTGTTTGGCAATCTGGCTACTATCTTTCACTCTCCTGATTTCTGGGAAGGTCAGATAAACAACTTATTTTTGGCTTTCTGGGGTGGAGCTTCAGCACGAGTGACTCCATTTTGGTTTGGTCTGTCCCATCCTAGCACAGGGGCTCAGTCCTAACCAATGGGCTCTTCTAAATGTATTTGACAATACCTAACCACCAAGAAAAGACTGTACCAGTGAAACTCTTGGGCTCTTCTAAATGTATTTGGCAATACCTAACCACCAAGAAAAGACTGTACCAGTGAAACTCTCGGGCTCTTCTAAATGTATTTGACAATACCTAACCACCAAGAAAAGACTGTACCAGTGAAACTCTCGGGCTCTTCTAAATGTATTTGACAATACCTAACCACCAAGAAAAGACTGTACCAGTGAAACTCTTGGGCTCTTCTAAATGTATTTGGCAATACCTAACCACCAAGAAAAGACTGTACCAGTGAAACTCTCGGGCTCTTCTAAATGTATTTGACAATACCTAACCACCAAGAAAAGACTGTACCAGTGAAATTCTTGGGCTCTTCTAAATGTATTTGACAATACCTAACCACCAAGAAAAGACTGTACCAGTGAAACTCTTGGGCTCTTCTAAATGTATTTGACAATACCTAACCACCAAGAAAAGACTGTACCAGTGAAACTCTCGGGCTCTTGTAAATGTATTTGACAATACCTAACCACCAAGAAAAGATTGTACCAGTGAAACGCCTCCCTCTCCAGGAGCCTATAAGAGTGCACATTCCCTCACACCTGCACCAGCACTGGCCTCTATGATCCTGCAAATGCTTTTAAAGGAGTCAATTCATCCGTCATAAGAAATAAACATTGCCCTCTGCTGCTTAAAATATAGCTTCGCAGGAGAAAATCCAAACTTCCTGGGGAGGGACTGACATCTATTGAACAGATTCTACCACATGTCAGGCACAAGATAGGTCTGCTCTCATTCAGTCCTGCAAGGTAGACATGATTGTTCTCATTCAGATGAGCGAGTGAACGCTTAGAGAAGTTGAGTAATTTGTCCAAGGTCACAGAGCTAAGGAGTGGCCAGAGTTAGGCTCTGACCTCGTCTGAGGACAAGGTTCATGCTCTTTCTCCATGTGGCTTCTGTCTCTCCATCTATGACACAGAACCATCTGGCCCCAACTCCCGTCTTCCAGCCTCACTCCTTCCTCCACCCAGCCAGGTCCCCGCGCGGTAGCCACACTAGTGCCTTAGAGGAGAGTGTGCCCTGTGTTAGCCCAGGCACTGCTAGATGGTGGAATCAGAGAGATTTTAAGATTCCTTATCAGTATTTTCTACCTTGGCGATATTTTACCTATTTAATAAACAAATGGAGGGTTTTTTAAATTTTAAAAAAACCCATTGCCAAGATTCTCTTGGAGAAAAGATTCTCTTGGAGAGTTTCCTGATGTCCCCCAGACACGCGCGTGCACAAACTCTCACACACACACACACCACACACACCCACTCACACACATACACACCACACACACACCCACTCACACACATACACACCACACACCCACCACACACACCCACTCACACACACCACACCCACGCCCACACACCCACACCACACACACCCACACACACCCACTCCACACACACGCACTCACACACACCCACTCCACACACACCCACTCACACACATACACACCACACACACCACATACCCATACACACACACCACACACACACATGCACACACCACACACACACCACATACATTACGCACACACCACACACACACCACACATACACCACACGCATACACGCATACACACCACACACATACCAGACACACCACACACATACACATACACCACACACACCACACACATACCACATATACACCACACACATACACACATAGATGCACACACACATACACAGACACACCACATACACACACATACACATCACACACATATACACACACCACACACATACACACATACACACCACACACACAGTCCACGCACACCACACACCACACACATACACACATCACACATACACACCACAAACACATACACACACACACATACACACCACACATACACACCACACACATACACATGCCACACACACACACACATACACAGACACACCACACATACATTCACATGCCTCTGCCAACACCACACACACACATACACGCCATACACACCACACACTATACACCGTACATACACACCACATACATACACACCACATACACATACACACACTCACACACACACATACACAGACACACCACACATACATTCACATGCCAGTGCCAACACCACACCCACACACACATACACACACCATACATACATACCACACACATACCACACACCATATACACCACACACACCACACACCATACATACACACCACACACATACACACCACACATACACCACACACCATACACATATACACCACACATACAGACATACACACACTCACACATACACGCACACCACACACACATGCACACACATCACACACATACACAATACACACACCACACACATACACATATACTCACCACTCACACACACCACAACACATACACACCACACACATACACATACCACACACACCACACAGATACACACACACCACACATACACACATTCACATACATACACACACATATACATACACACCACACACATACAAACACGCATACACACACACCACACCACACACACACACACACACACACACACACAGTGTCCGCCTGGGCTGGGTGGGCTACAGGCTGTAGGCAGAAGAAAGCAGAGTGCCTCAGAAATATCTTGTGACCCTCAAAGGCCACAAGGGGTAGCTGGAGCCAAGCCCGCCCCAGTCAATTCTCCCACAATAGGCTACTGTCCTTTAAGCATGTCCAAGAGCTACTGCTGGTCTCTGTCCCGCAGGGCCCTGACTTCCCCCGACTCAGGCCAGCTGTCTCCAGCACAGACCATCCACCAGCCAGGCCCGAGGGAAACAGCTGGAACCAAATGACTGCAGTGCCTGCCGCTAAATGACCAGGCCTTCCAAAATAAACAAAGGAAAGTCAAGGGAACCAGGACTGCCAGCATCAACGAGGGAGTCGGCTGAGAGCAGTGAGGTGGGGGCAGAGCCTGGGAACATGTTGCTGGCGGGGGTGGCCAGGGCAGTGACAGGGACTACTCTAAGAAAAGTCCCTCAGCCAAAGGGTAGACATTGGGGAATAGGATGGAGGGCAGGGAACTCCCCCGCTATTCCCACATCCACACACATATACCAGAATGTACACTTTTTTGGAACTTCTGCAATATATTTAAGGCTTAGAGGAAATTAGGCATATATTGGGTGGATATGTAGATGGATGGATAGATGGGTGAGTAGGTAGGTGGGTGGGTGGGTGGATGGGTGGATGGATAGATGGATGAATAGATGGGTGGGTGGATGGATGGATGGATATATGAATGCATGGGTAGGTAGATGGATGGATGGATGGATGGATGGATGGATGGATGGATGGATGGATATATGGATGGGTGGGTAGGTGGGTAGGTGGATGAATGGATATATGGGTGGATATATGGATGGGTAAGTAGGTAGGTGGATGGATGGATGAATGGATGGATGGATGGATGGGTGGATGGATGGTTGGATGGATGGATAGATGGATGGGTAAGTAGGTGAATGGATGGATGGTGAGTGGATGGGTGGATGGATGGATGGATGGATGAGTAGGTGAGTGGGTGGATGGATATATGTCTGGGTAGGTAGATGGATGCATGGACAGATGGCTAAACGAAGCAATGAATGCATGCATTTATGGGTAATGAGTAAATAGGCCCAGGGTTTTTATTTAGGTCAGTAACACCAAGGTGAATCAAGAGGCATAAATTCATACTTGTTGAATCCTTAATGTCATTTTTTAATTATTCAGAAGAAGAAAATTGTTCTGGCCCCAAAAGTTTGCAGTAGCACTGCTTCTAATACAGCAAAATCAGAGTGGCCTGAGCCATGACCTGAGCTGCTGAGTAAATTAAGTTAAAATTTAAATTGTGCAGCTATTCAGATGATGTCTAGATTAGTAGTATAGAAAAGGGAACCACATTTCTGAAAATAATATTAGGTAAGAAAAGAGTTTAAAATGTATAAGTGTGTAGAGCTATGCAGAAAACCAGGGGACAGGTATTTTGGTGGACCAGGGGACACTACAGGCTTGGATATTAGAAGATCTGTATTAAGGCCACTTACATCTCAGACACGTCATTGTAATGTCTCAGCCTTACTTTCCACATCTCTGTGAAATGGGGACAATAAGAAAACCTCCATCTCCTGGTTGTGAGGACTGGGTTAGCTCTTATGTATGAGGGTGCTTTGTAAACTGTAAAGCTCAAGTCACATGCTATGCAAAATTACATATGTTTCTGGGTTGAAATTAGAAGGCAACCCAATAAATAAACTGGTGGGGTGGGGGAAGGGTAGAACTGGTATTCAGGAAAATGCAAATTACAACAAAAATAACACAACATTTCACCCAGACAACAGAAAACAAACAAACAAAAAGTGCACAGAGAATATCCTCTATGCTTGAAACCTGAAACCAGGTTGGGCTGCCTGAACCTTGCTGCCCACCTTGACCAGGCAGAACTGGGTTGTGGACATGGACCATGGAGCCGTGGGATGGGGCATCTGGAGACAGAGGGCTTTGCTGTCTCCTGCTCCCTGGAAAAGAGCCAGTGAATTCAGATTCACTGAGCAACAAGTACCTTCCATGTGCCAGCACCTTCATGGATGTTAGAATGATAGCAAACACTTACAGAGGTTTGCTCTGGGCCAGGGACTTTGCAAGTGCTTTTTATGTATTGACTCACTTAATCCTTATAACAACTCATTGACAGACATAATCAATTTCCAGATGGAAATTTGTCACTTTCCAGAGATAGTCACTTTCCAGATGGGAACACTGAGGCACAGCGAGTTAGCTAACTCTGCCCAAGATCGCTCAGCTGGTAACTGGTAGAGCCAGGCTTAGGAACCCTTCCCACCTCTGCCTAGTCCAACCTCTCACCCCTGCCATGCCCGTCCCATGCTCTCTCCCAAACATGACTGTTTCAGTGTCCTGAGATCACAAGGAGCAGCCCTGAAATCACAATGCAGGTGTCTCTGGTTCCACTCCAGGGCTCTTTCCAGGGAACAAAACTCACTCGTTTGTCAGCAATTGGCCGTTTTTTTCTGGGTCAGTAGGTGTCTGTACTGCATTGGAGCAGTAGACCTGGCCTGGACCAACTCCAGATGCTCGTAGGTGCACGATGCTGTCTCGGGAGGTGCCCTGCTGCCCCATCTCCAGCTGCTACCCTGACCCCAGCACCAGCTGTCTCCTTCCCAGGCTCCATTCCCCCAGGGAAAGGGAGGAGGATCCTCCAGGGGACACCCTGCTCCTGAATGCAGATGGCCCTGGAAAAACACTTGGAAAAGAGAAACTGACTCTGTGACCTGGCCAAATAGCTTACTTCCTCTGATGCATGTTTCCTTATCTGTCAGTACGAAGAATAATAAACATTTTATTCCCAGGTCCAATCCCACACAGGGTTGCAGATGAGGAGGAGGCAGGCTGGGAGTCGTGGGCCATTCAGCCTCAGGTGGGAGGAGGGGCAGGCCTTGTCTGGACTGTGTGCTGATGCTGATGGGTGGACAGGGAGCCTTGGCAGGTCCAGGGCACGGGCTGGAAATCCTGCAACACCAACCCTAACTCACAGCTATTTGGAATTCGGTTCCTAAGCATTTACTCTGCCGTTGCTGCAAATGAACTGTGTGCTGGTGCATGTGTTTGGGCCCCGTGGAGTATGGGGGAGGCAAGGGAATGGAAAGCAGCGGTCAGGTGGCTGAAATGAGCCATCTCTCACTATGCACCAGACTTACCCATTTATTAGTTCACTTAACCCTCATCACAACCTCAAAAAGTGAACATGCTCACCCCCTTTTACAGACAAGGATGCAAAGGCCCATTCTAAACTTCAACCAAGGGATTGGGTCTGGGAAGAGATGCTCACCAGGGCCTCTGGGATCCCGGCTGAGTCACCTGGCCTGGATGTCCATTTCATATCCTCTCTGTTACTCATTGACCGAGAATATGACTTAAATCCCTGTGGGCAATAGCCACTAGGCTCATGAGGAAATGGATAATGACTGTGACGCAGAAGCTAAAAGCCTCAATTACCCTTCATGACCGAAGCGTGGAACTTTTCTAGAGAGAGAAATTTTTGCCTCATAAATTGCACTTGTGAGAAATCAGTGCACGCAGGCTGGTGACCATGGTTACCTCTTCTACAGCCAGAGGCAGCCTGCCCTGGACAGCCGGCGGGGGTCACCTCAGCTCCCACCTGCCGGGAAAGCCTTTGGAAGGAGCACCCGGGGTTGGCCAGAGCAGGATTAGGCCAGGGCAGGCAGCATAAAGAGCCAAGTTTAGGTAAACCCCTGGCTCTCAACCTCAGCTGCTCATTGGCAGCAACTCTAGAGGAAAGGACGGCAGAGGGGCTTTCAAACATCCTGTTGCTTGGGCTCCAATCCCAGAGAATCTGATGTCATTGTTCTGGGTGGAGCATGAGCCCTGGACTTTAAAAGCTGCCCAGGTGATTCTCATGTACAGCTGAGGTTGAAAGCTAAATGGACCTTCCCCTGCCTGGCCAATCAGCCAAGCAGCAAGCTATTAGCAAGAGCAAACTGGGGAGGGAATCAGAAATAGGACAGAGTTCCTGCCCAGGAGAAGCTGACCATGTGGCTTGTGTACATGAAGCCAGATTGCTGACTCCCAGCTCCCATGGGCAACAGAGACCCTGGGAGGAGGCCAGGGTGCAAGGTGTAGCATCTTAGGGAGCAGAAGCTATATCTGATCCAAGCCCAGAGACCCAGAGGGCACTTGGGAGCCACGTGGGGATCTCACTAGTTTTCTGCTCACCACTGTCAGCTTTGGAAGTTGAGGCAATACCTGTTGGCCCAGCAAACCAGCATCTGTCCTTGCCCCTTTCACATGCATTCATTTCTCATTCGCTTAGTTCCTTGCTGGGCCTCATTCGCCAATTCTATTTTTCTTCATAGAACTTGGATCTGTTTGGGGGCTCCCACCATTGCACACAACTGTTGCCCCTCAATGCCATCATCACATGTGCACACGTCCTCTTGGTCCTGCTCTCTTTTTCCTCTGTCATTCATCAAATATCCAAAAGCAGCAGACCTACCTGCCTGAGAATCCCCATTCATTCCATTTACAAACATTTGCAGACCACCTCAGGCATGTGAGGAGCACCAGGATGGTGCTGGGCAGTGTGCTGCCCATATGAGCTAGTGACACAGAGGTAAAGGTGGCTGTGCCTGTGCCCTCAAGGCCACAGTGACTCTCATCACATAATGAGGCGAATCCATTCATTTGATGAGGAGGAGGATGCAGGAAGAGGCAGGGTCTCCCTTTGTCATCCAGGGCAGAGTGCAGTGGCATCCTCACAGCTCACTGCAGCCTGGACCTCCTGAGCTCAAGCAATCCTCTCAACTCAGCTTCCCTAGTAGCTGGGACTACAGGCGTGCCACCATGCCCAGCTATATGTATTTCATATATACGTATATAAACACATATATATATTTACATATGTATATACTAAAATTTATATATACATATGTAAATATATATGTTGCTTTTGTAGAGACAGAGTCTCGCTGTGTTGCTCAGGCTGGTCTTAAACCCTGGCCTCAAGGGATTCTCCTGCCTCAGCCTCCCATAGTGCTGAGATTACAGGCGTGTGTCACTGCACCCAGCCTCCATTTTCTATAATAAAAAAGTCTAGTTCATTTGCATATCAAAGGTCCAAACTCTCACCCAATTTAAACATCGCCCCTGCCGACTCCCAGCCCAATCAGGCTAAACTGCATGTGCTCTGGATTCTCAGGTGTGTTCAGCACTGACTCTCTTGGGAAGATTCGGTGTGTTCTTGGGAGACTCCCCATGGCTGGAGATACCAGCCTACAGTTTCCTGGACTTGACATCTTCTCCTAGAAACTGACGTGACAGGATAAGCCCTGTTTAACATTTCGTTAATTACACAATATTCAAACTTCTGTGGGTTTTTGTTTCTGATGTTGTTTTCTAACAAAAGCATTTAAGGGTATGAATTTTCATCAGAACACTTTTTAAAATTAATATTTGCATCTACTGCTTCCCTTGCCCTTCAACAGTTATGTATGCTCATTGTGCAGTGATTTTTTGAATTCACGAAGGCTTTCATTCGGTCATTCATCTGACAAATATGTATCAAGTGCCTTCTGGTTCTTAGGGATGTGGATACATCAAGAAATACAGTAGTCAAACACCCTGTACTCAGAGAGCTTACAGTTCCCCCCGAGTGTCGAGTGTCGGAGAGAAACTAATAATTATAATGACATGCAATGCAGAAAGTGAAAACAACACAAGTCACTGGTGATCTCAAAGCCCAGAGATGACCATGGTTCACATTTTAGTACATGACTTCCCAGTACCAGCAGTGTGTAGAGCATTATATTGTGAGCATTTTCCCACAGCAGCAAGCATTTTTGAACAAAATGATTTTTTTGTATTTCAAAATGTGGATGAATCATAAATATCTTAATCATGGAATCTCTAAGGCTGAAAGAGTTTTTAATGGGTGTCTATTCTACAGGTGAGTGGAGTGGCAGTAATAATTGGGAAATGGTGGGAACTCTGAATTGCAGTGGCATACTCCTTTAAGAAAGGGAAGGAGCCAGGCACGGTGGCTCACACCTGTAACCCCAGCACTTTGGGAGGCTGAGGCGGGTGGATTGCCTGAGCTCAGGAGTTTGAGACCAGCCTGGGCAACACAGTGAAACCCTGTCTCTACTAAACTACAAAAATTAGCCGGGTGTGGTGGTGGGCACCTGTAGTCCCAGCTACTTGGGAGGCTGAGGCAGGAGAATTGCTTGAACCCAGAAGGCGGAGGTTACAGTGAGCCAAGATTGTGCCACTGTACTCCAGCCTGGGCAACAGAGCAAGACTCCGACTCTAAAACAAAAAAAGAAGAAGAAGAAGAAGAAAGAAAGGGAAGGTAGCTGCTTCTACATTTCCACAAAGCCCAAGGTTGAGAGAATCCACTTTGAAAGCTAACTTTTTCTCTTTTAAAGGGAAGATACTGTCTTTCCTGGAGCTACAAGGCTGGACCCTTTACCACCTTCTTACTATGAAGGCTGGATCTGGCTCAAAGCCCCTTTTCTCAACTGCAGCCCAACTGCTGCTGAATTTCAACTTCACTTAAACTTTGGAAAGGTCCGGGGCATATTTTCAGCTGGGAGAGGTTTTCTTTTCCTTTATTTTAATCAGCTCGTAAGTCTATAAGCAGCTTGGGCAGTAAAGTTCAGACTTTGAGAAACCAAAAACTAAACCACCATTTGCATTCACACCAGGGTGGACAGTCTCAGCTCTCAAGAATTTTATGTTTGTCTTGGAAAAAACTGAGAGGCTAAGTGCAGCCAAGGGAGTGAGAAGGAAATGATGCTTCAGCCTGAGTGCTGCTTTTCTCTACAAAGATGGGGGTGACGATCAGAGAACCATAATGCAGGCAAGGAATCCAGTCAAGGAAGACGGTAGCTGTGCAGGTGGTTAGTGTGAAGGATGTGAGACTATCCTGCATGGCCCTCGATGTGTCTGGGCAAGGGAATTCACTAGCCCATCTGCCAATGGCGACCTCCAGGGCTTGACTTGGTCATCATCCTCAGGAGATTCCCATGTGGGTATTTAAGCTTTCCAACTAAACTTTAAGCTTTGGTTAGGAATTTTGTCGGTTTGGGTATTAGGTTTGTTTTAACACCACCTGCCCACCCAGGTCTCTGTACACAGGCTTTACTGTCATGGGATGGGATGGGGGGAAGCGCAGTTGGCCCTCTGTATCTGTGTTTTCTACATCCGTGGATTTCAGCTAACCACAGATCAAAAATATTCAGGGGAAAAGTGGATCGTGTCTGTGCTGAACATGCACAGACTTTTTTTCTCAACATTGTTCTGTAAACAATACAACTTAGCAACTATTTACATAGTATTTACATTGTATTGGGTATTATAAGTAATCTAGACATGATTTAAAGTACACAGGAGGATGTGTATTGATTATATGCAAATAATACAACATTTTTTATCAGGGACTTGAGCATCCATGGATTTTGGTATCCACAGTGTCCTTGGGGGGTGGGTCCTGGAACCAATCTGCTATGGACACTGAGGGACAGCAGTACATCGAAAGTTTTTGTTTCTGCCTCGTTTAAACACCACATGACTCTGAGCAAGTCAACTTCTATGAGCCTTGGTTTCCTCATCTGGAAAATGTTTGTGGTGTAAGCTTATGCCACATGAAATACAGCTTGTTAAACTGTAAAAGATTACATAAAGTTACCATTATCCTTCCTGCTAAATGCTAATCATCCACACTGAGATTTGAATTTCATCATGAAGTATGTTCATTTCATTTCATTCTCACCCTGGTAAGTTCCTAAGGAGAAAACATTATAGGAAACTTCTAGAGCGAAAGAATAAACTACTAATCACTAGAGCCTAGCACTGGGCTAGATGCTTTCTCATACTTGAAGACTCATTTATTCCACAGCTCTGTGAGGTTAGAAATATAATAATCCCCTTTCAGATGGAAAGAAACAGGCTTGAAGTGAGTTTCAGTGATATCTTCGAGGTTACCCAACTGAAGAAAAGTCACAGTTCTGTGCTGGTAAAGTGACTCTGAAGAAAGAGAGAAAAAAAAGCTTGCCCATTACTGTGGTGTAAATGCTCCCACTGTGGCTGATTTCATGCCCACCGGTATGAGCTAGCCTCTGCACACTACTGGAGGAGCTGCATTTGAATGCAAGCTCAGGTTTCCTAATTTCGGGTAAAGATCATTTCCTGAGCCCAGGGCAGTGACACTCCTCCCCAAGCAAAGAATCCCCTCACACCAGGAAGGACCCAGAGCTGGTTGGATCACTTAGGCCTCCACCCTCAGACCAACCTAACCAGATCCTCTGAGGCAGGGGCTGAGGATCTGCATTCTAGACAAAGACCTATACGTGCACTGTAATTTAGGTACCACCCAGCCCTCAGCACCAAGATCAAAGGCCTCTCCCACTCCTGTCTCCCAAAAGCACTGCAGGGAGGAGCAGACATGTCTCAGGAGACAGAAGACAGCATTCTGTAGCTGTCCCCTGTACTGGAATTCTGATTGGGTTCCTATGGGCTGAATCATGGTGGTAAGCTGATCGCTCTGTCTCTGTCATTAAACTCTCTTTATGCTTATGCTGCTTTTCACCAAATCTAAGATTCTACTGATTGTAAGTCACATCATTACTTTTTTTTTACCATCAAGAAATAAAAACTGTTGTCAAAGATGTTAAACTATGAAAAAGTACATCTAAGAATCATGAAATATGTTATCAGTGGGTGTATATACACTCCTTTATCTCCCAGTTTTACAATAGCACAGTAAATATTCTATTCTTTGAAGCCTGAGGTTGGGTCTTACTCATCTTAATTTATGTCCTCAGAGATCCAGCAGGCTTGGTTGAATGAATACATGCCTAGCAACATATCAAAATAGACAACTTATTAATTAGTCATCAATAAATGCCCCAGGTTTTGCACCAAGCACTTTCTATTTAATTTCCATAACAACCCAATGAAGTAGGTGCCAGACTTTCTCCACTTTACAGAAAAGGTAACTGGGGCTTGGAGAGGCCATGTAACTGGTAAGAACCCTGCCTGGGACTTGAATCCCAAGTCTGAAGCTCCTGATACCATTCACAATATGGAGAGATCCTTGAGGATATTGAAATGTTTTCACCAGGCCGGGTGCAGTGGCTCCTGCCTGTAATTTTGGCACTTTGGGAAGCCAAGACAGGTGGATCGCTTGAGCCTAGGAGTTCTGGGCAACACAGTGAAACCCCGTCTCTAGAAAAAATACAAAATTTAGCCAGGCATGGAAGCATGTGCCTGTAGTCCCAGCTACTTGAGAGGCTGAGGTGGAAGGATCACCTGAGCCCAGGAGGTCGAGGCTGCAGTGATCTGAGACCACTGCACTCCAGCTTGGGTGTCAGAGTGAGACCCTGTCTCAAAAAAAAAAAAAGTTCACAACATAGAATGGTACAGCACTACTATCTTAGTCTGTTTCTCAAGGCTTGACAATAAATAAACCTGTTTGATTTCTCTTTGGTGCTTGTGTTGCAAGAGGATGGATAACATTTTACAAAGCAAAGTTACCTTATTTTCTCACCTCCTTTGGACTTTTAGCTTTCTCAGACTTTTTGAAGAGGAATGGTAGCAGGAGAGTTTTCTCAGCTTTGGTAACTTCTGGAGGACTTGCTGAAATTAAAACTTAAGGATTCATGTTCCCATGGAAGCCCCAGGGAGCAAAGCAGTCAGCGCCCTCCCTCTCTCTCCCTCGGGGTCTGGCCCTTTCAATCTACCCGGTTGTCCAAATTCAGATTGTGTGCCATTGAATCCCACGTCGCTCATCTGCTCATCCCCACACTCACTGCCGCCCCTGGGGTGGCCGTCTCCGCTGGTTAGCCATCCTCATGAAAGGGTGGGGAAAATGCCTTTTCCCGTCTGCTCAGCTGCTACCAGTTTGGAATTTTTCAGGAGGTATTTGTATTGGTGCAAGAAAGCACAGTGGCAAGGGAGCTGACAGGGCGTGGATTCCCTCTCCGAGGTCTAGGTGCAAACTGCTTTGGACACTTCAGGGTTTACAGGGTCCACAGCACCACCATCACCTCTCCCTTGTCTGACCATCACTTATGTTTGGGGAAAGGCTAATAATTCCTTTCCCCAAAGCAGGTAAGTCTGAGCGTTTTGATTCTTTTCACATTCTTATTCATTTTCGAGTGATTTTGGGGTGTGTGTGTGTGTGTGTGTGTGTGTGTGTGTGTGTTGTGGAGTTTTTCTGGTGGCCATTTTATACAGGGAGAGGTGAAGAGGAGTCATTCCTGGCATTTGCAGGAATGAAAGAGAAGTGACACGTAAAAACCCTGGATGGGATACTAAGGCCTGGAAAAGGACATTCTGTGGGACACTGCCGCCATCTAGAGGTTCATCTGTAAATGACAAATGTATTAAGAGAACTAAGGGGTTCAATGATTGTCAGGATTGACAATAAAAATTTCGGCACAGTGAAACCCCGTCTCTACCAAAAATGCAAAAAAATTAGCCGGGCGTGGTGGCAGGCGCCTGTAGTCCCAGCTACTCGGGAGGCTGAGGCAGGAGAATGGTGTGAACCCGGAAGGCGGAGCTTGCAGTGAGCCGAGATTGCGCCACTGCACTCCAGCCTGGGCGACAGAGCCATCACTATTTTGAAATTACAGAGATTGAGCCCAACACAGTGGCTCACTCCTGTAATCCCAGCACTTTGGGAGGCTGAAACAAGCGGATCACTTGAGGCCAGGAGTTTGAGACCAGCGTGGCCAACATGGTGAAACCCCATCTCTACTAAAAATACAAAAATTAGCCAGGTGTGGTGGCACACAACTGTAATCCCAGCTATTTGGGAAGCTGAGGCATGAGAATAGCTTGAACCCAGGAGGCACAGGTTGCTATGAGCCGAGATCCCTCACTGCACTCCAGCCTGGGGGACAGAGTAAGACTCTGTCTCGAAAAAAAAAAAAAAGAAAAAAAGAAATGACAAGAGATTGGTAGACCTGCTACTAGATCTTACTATGCTAATTAGGAAGCACATATATTCTGACAAAGGCTTATAAAAAGAAAAATAATAAGCACATATGTTACTAAATCACTCATTTTTAAATATTTTGATGCTTACATTTCAATATGATTAATTTCTTCGAAATCCTTTGTTTTTTATTTTATGCATTTGAAAACATTGTTCTGTAAGGGGGTCCACACACACAAAAGGTAAAGGATCGCTGCTCTGGAGTCTCAGAGAAGGGACAGGTGACCATGGCTGGACAAGGCAGAGAGGGCTTCCCAGATGAGAAAAGACACAGGACTTTGCACTTTATTAAAAGAGAGCCCCAGGAGCTCTCTTTTAATAAAGAGAGCGGTGGCTCATGCCTATAATCCTGGCACTTTGGCAGGCCGAGGCAGGTGGATCACCTGAGGTTAGGAGTTCAAGACCAGCGTGGCCAAACATGGGAAACTCCGTCTCTACTAAAAATACAAAAAAAAAAAAAAAAAATAGCCGGGCATGGTGGCAGGCGCCTGTAATCCCAGCGACTCAGGAGGCTGAGGCATGAGAATCACTTGAACCTGGGAGGCAGAGGTTGCATTGAGCCGAGATTGCCCCACTGCACTTCAGCCTGGGCGACAGGATAAGCCTCCGTCTCAAGGGAAAAAAAAATTAGCTGGGTGTGTTGGTGGGCATCTGTAATCCCAGCTACCCTGGAGGCTGAGGCAGGAGAACTGCCTTGAACTTAGGAGGCGGAGGTTGCAAGCTTGTAGTAAGCGGAGACTGCGCCACTGCACTCCAGCCTGGGCGACAGAGCAAGGCCCTGTCTCAAAAAATAAAAAATAAAAAAAGACAGCCCCAGGGCAATTTCAATACAGGCCTTCTCTGAGGAAGCAGAGCCAGGCCTTTAATCAAAGTGTAAAAATAGAAAGGTTTCTGTGACTTCTCCTATGTCCAACCTAGAAAGTGGTCTCTTTGGCAAGAATCTGAGAAGGTACTTCATACTAAAGGATAAATGACTAGAAACTTTCATTTCAGGAGGATTTTCATTTAACAAGACTCAGAGCATTTATTTATTTATTTATTATTTTATTTTATTTGTTATTCAGACTAGGTCTTGCTCTGTCCTCCAGGCTGGAGTGCAGTGGTGTGATCACAGTTCAAGGCATCCTCAACTTCCCAGGCTCAAGTGATCCTTCTGCCTCAGCCTCCCAAATAGCTGGGACCACAGGCATATACCACCATGCCTGGCTAATTTTTTATTTTTTGTAGAGACAAGATCTCACTATGTTGCTCAGACTGGTCTCAAACTCTTGAGCTCAAGCAATCCATCTGCCTTGGCCTCCCAAAGTGCTGGAATTACAAGCATGAGCCACCACACCTGGCCTATTTATTTTTTCCCCTGACTCAAAACATTCATGAACACAAAGGACTGGCCCTCTGTGGGGGGCGTTTGGTTGTATGGCAAACTGCCTGATGCTCTGGGCAAGGTCAGCCTCCCCTTGAATCATACTGTCCCCGCCAGACCTGCCCGTGTGCATTGATTAGGTTTTCTTCGTTAAAAGAAATACAGAGGCCGGGTGCGGTGGCTCACGCCTGTAATCCCAGCACTTTGGGAGGCCGAGACGGGTGGATCATGAGGTCAGGAGATTGAGACCATCCTGGCTAACACGGTGAAACCCCGTCTCTACTAAAAATACAAAAAATTAGCCGGACGTTTTGGCGGGTGCCTGTAGTCCCAGCTACTTGGGAGGCTGAGGCAGGAGAATGGCGTGAACCTGGGAGGCGGAGCTTGCAGTGAGCTGAGATTGCGCCACTGCACTCCAGCCTGGGGGACAGAGTGAGACTCCGTCTCAAAAAGAAAAAAAAAAGAAATACAGAAACCAAGCTGGCCAGAGTTAGAAAAAGGCAAGTCAACAGGAGCCTTTGAATCCAAGGGAGCATGGAACCCCACTTCTCAGAGCAGTAGGAACTGGGCAGCTCAGGCCTCTTGGGGATAAGTGTTGTGGGACCTCTCCAGAGCAGAGCTTCTCAAATTTAAATGAGCATGCAAATCACTGGGGATCTGTTGAAAAGTAGATTCTTCAGTCCTGTGGGATCTGGAGGAAAAAAAAGTAGATTCTGACTCAACTGACCTGGGTGGATCCTGATGTTCCACATTCATAAACCCCTGGGTGACACTGCTGGTGTGTGGCCCACACATTGAGTAGCAAGGGCACGGAGCTCTACCACTCCTGTGCCTTCCCATGCCTCCTGCCTGCCGCTGTGCTTCTCAGGCCCTGTCAAATCCCAGGGGAGAGTATGTGTTGGCCCAGCTTGGGTAGGCATCCAGGCCTAGCTCTGAAGCTGTGGTCAGTGAGGCTGGGCAGGTCTGATTTCTTGGAGGGGATGAACTGTGAGAAGAGCAGAGAGGGAGGCACACAGGTGCCCGAGCTGTAGCCTGGAGGCCCCACCTTGAGGCAGGGGAGGTGGTCAGCTGTGGCCTTAGACTTCCCCAGCTGGACTCCATGCAGTTACCATCAGCCTCTGCTCCACCTGCGCCACCTTCTTCCCGTCCCGTGACCTGCTCCAGGACCCCAAGGCTGGGCTGTTGACGAGGTTGTCATGGATGGGTTCCTGGGTTCCCATTAACCCACAGGCTACAAGAATAGGCACTTCCAAAACCCTTTAAGAAAAGACCAGGGGCACCTGGCTTAGCATCCACCACATCTTTGTCCCTTTAGAGACGGTTACCTTGTTCCCTTCTCATACCGGCCAGAGCCCAGGAATTTAACTACAGACACCTGAGACCCCCTCATGGCTAAGCCCTTACTACTTCCTGCACTCTGATTCCCTGGCATGCGAGAGACACAGGATCTCTCCCCAAGATCTCCTTGATTTGCATGCCTGTTGGATCTCTGGTTTCAGGCTTGTTCAGTCCTGTGGGACTTGAGCCACTGAGGCCAACCCTACACCACCCCCTCAAACTCTCCCTCCCCTCCCTGGGCAGCAGGGCTCATCACTCTGGACAGGCATGACCTGCAGTCCTTCCCTAGCCACCCAGGGGGGAATTGGAAATCCATGGACAGAAAATGCCCAGCGATGAGGTTTCCTTTTGATTCTGTCAGAGCAAAGCGAATTCTCTGAAAGCCTCTGAAACAGGCTTTTATCGAGAGCACTACCAATACAGTCCCTGGGGCTAAACACCCAGTAATGGGCCTAGTGAGATACTGTCCCAGAGGGCTGAAGTTTCAAACTGCCATTGTGGTGTTGAAAAGATTATGTTGCCTTCAACACTTCTTTTTAATTTTTTTTAATTTTTAAAAATATAAATAGAAACAGAGTCTCACTATGTTGCCCAGGATGGTCTTGAACTCCTGGGCTCAAACAATCCTTCCGCCTTGGCCTCCCAAAGTGTTGGGATTATAGAGCCACGGCACCCGGCCTTAACACTTTTTTTTAAATTACACTTTTTATTTTGATTATTGTAGATTCTCATGAGGTTGTAAAAAATAATGGAGAGAGATGCTGCATACCCTTGACCTTGTTTTCCCCTAATGATAGCATCTTCCAAAACTATAATACAATATCCCAACCAGGATGTTGACCCTGGTGCAGTCAAGGAACAGAACATCCCCATCACTACAGGATCTCTCCTGTTGGTCTTTGATAGCTACACCCACACCCTCCTGTTCCCACCCCTTCCTTAATTCTTGGCAACCACAAATATGTTCTCCATTTCTATAATTTTGTCATTTGAGGAATCCAGTATGAATGGAATCATACAGTATATAACCTTTTGGGATTGGCTTTTTGTGCTCAGTACAATTTTCTGGAGATTCATCCAGGCTGTAGCGTGTTTGTTTCCTTTCTGCTGAGTTTGCTCCTTTTTATTGCTGAGTAGTGTTCCATGGAACAGATGTGCCACAGTTTGTTTAACCATTCACTGTTTCCAGGTTTGACTATCACAAATAAAACTGCTATAAACACTCATGTGCAGGCTTTTGTGTGAACATAAATGCAATTGCTGAGTCATACGGTAGTTATGTGTTTAGTTTTTTAAGAAACTGCCAATTGCTTTCCAGGGTGGCTCTACCATTTTACATGTGTCGTTTTACTACTTAAAGTGACATATAGAAAACTTACTTTTCTTTACATTCTTTTACCCTCCCCCCATTTAAATATCTCCTCTACATACATTTAGAACATTGGACTATGTTACAATTTTTGCTTCAATCACTAACCATAATTTAGAAAATTCAAGCGGAGAAAGTCTATTGTGTTTATCTGTATTGTTGCTTACCATGTTCCTGATATTCTAAGTCTCTCTTATGTATTGTTTTTCTGCTTAAAGAATTTCCTTCAGTTTGCGCCTTTAATGTAGATGCTAAGAAAACAACAACAACAACAAAACCAAAACAGAACAACAACAAAAATACAATTTCTGGCTGGGCGCAGTGGCTCACACCTGTAATCCTAGTACTTTGGGAGGCAGAGGTGGGTGGATCACGAGGTCAGGAGTTCAAGACCAGCCTGGCCAAGATGGTGAAACCCCATCTGTACTAAAAACACAAAAATTAGCTGGGCGTGGTGGCGGGCACCTATAATCCCAGCTACTGGGGAGGCTGAGGCAGAGAGTTGCTTGAACCTGGGAGGCAGAGGTTGCAGTGAGCCGAGTTTGTCCCACTGCACTCCAGCCTGGGCAACAGAGTGAGACTCTGTCTCAAAAAATAAAAAAATAAAAATAAATAAAAGAATTTCCTTCTGCCATTCTTTTAGGGTACATCTGCTAGGGACAGATTCTCTTAGTTTTCCTTTAATTGAGAATATCTTGATTTCCCCTTCATTCCTAAAGGATATTTGGAATGGACATAGGATTCTGGATTGACAGTTCTTTCAGGCCTTGAAAAATGTTGTGCCACTTACTTCTGGCCTCCATGGTTTCTGTTGAGATAGCTGCCGTCATTCCATTGTTTTTCCTTTATATACGAGCTGTTGTTTCTCTTGCACTGCTTTTAAGATTTTTTTCCTTTGTCCTTAGTCCTCAGAAGTTTGACTATGATGTGTCTTGGAATAGCTTTTCTTAAGTTTACTCTCTTGAGGGTTTGCTCAGCTTCTTAAGTCTATAGCTTCATGTCTTTTGTCAAATCTATGAAGTTTTCATCCATTTCTTTGAGTATTTTTTTTTTCAGTCACTCTCTTTTTCCCTTTCTGGAACTCTGATGACAGGAATGTTAGGTTTCTTGTTATAGGTCACAGGTCCCTAAGGCTCTGAGCATGCATTTTTCAGTCTATTTTCTCTCCGTTGGTCAGACTGGGTAACACCTATTGTTCTGTCACCCAGGTCATTAATTCTGTCCTCTGTCCCCTCCATTCTGCCATTGAGCCTATCCACTGTTTTTCGTTTGTTTGTTTTTGTTTTTGTTTTTGTTTTTTGAGATGGAGTCTCGCACTGTTGCCCAGGCAGGAGTGCAGTGGCATGATCTCGGCTCACTGCAACCTCCACCTTCCAGGTTCAAGCAATTCTCCTGCCTCAGCCTCCCAGGTAGCTGGGATTACAGGCACCTGCCACCACACCCGGCTCATTTTTTGTATTTTTAGTAGAGATGGGATTTCACTATGTTGGCCAGGCTGATCTCGAATGCCTGACCTCCTGATCCACCCACCTCGGCCTCCCAGAGTGCCCGGATTACAGGCATGAGCCACCGCACCCGGCCCCACTGAGTTTTTTATTTCAATTATTGTATGTCTCAGTTCTAAAATTTTTATTTGACTTTTCTTTATATCTTCTTTATATTTATTTGCTGAGATGTGTTGTTTTCATTTGTTTTATATATGTTCATAATTGTTCATTGAAGCACTTTTAACTATGGATGCTTTAAAATCTTCATCGGATCATTCTGATATCTGTTTTCTCAGTGTTGACATCTTTTTTCCTTTATTCATGATCTTCCTGGTTTTTGGTATGAAGACCGATTTTTATTTATTTATTTATTTTTTTTTTAACTGAAACCTGAATATTTTTGTAATATGTTATAAGACTGGATCTTATGTAAACCTTCTGCTTTAGCTGGTATTCTAGGACACCCCTCTGGCAGGGTAAAGGAGGTGTGCCACTGTATCACTGACAGGTGTCCAGGCTCCCTGCTCTGCTTCCAGTGACACTCAAGGAAAGGACTTCTCATTACTGCTAGGCAGGGGTGGGAGTTTGGGCTCCCAAGTGGTCTCTCCTGACACTGTGGTGAACATCACCTTGTTATCACTGGGCAGTGCTGAAAGTCCTGACTCTCCAGTAGGCCTCTTCTGACACCATCCAGCAGGAAGGGGAGGGGAGCCTCCCTATTGACAGTTAGGGGTCCAGGCTTCTTGTATGTTCTCCACTAACCCCGTGGGCAGAAGGGGGGCTCATTACCACCCAGGGATAATCCCAGCTCCTTCCTTGGCCTCCTCTGATGCTACCATAGCAGAAAGAAGGAGGGGTGCCTTGGCGAGGCCTGGTGAGGGTGGAAGTCTAGGCTCCCCACTCTGCTGCCATGGATGCAGGTGGGGCTGCAGCCTTCCTGTGGTGTTTGGTTGGAGCAGAGCGGTTATTATCTAGAAGCTTTCTGTCTTGCTTGTCCTTTTCTTCATCCTTTGGGTAGAGACAGCAAGTTTTTACTGGGGCCTTTCTACATCCTTTGGTGTTTCTGAGCTCCTGCTTCCTTAGCTCCAAGTCTACATATATGAGGCAAAAGGAAAAACCAGGGAACTCACTGCCATGTTGTTGCTCAGGTCGCAAGGTCCCTGGACAGTCTGCTTTATTTTCTCCACTTTTCAGAATCTTCTTGTTGTTGTTTTTATAATGTCCAGGGTTTTTGTTGTAATTTGCAAGAAAAATTAGGGGGAAGTGCCTCTACTCCATCTTCCTAGAAGCAGAAGTCCTGCTTGGTTTTTAAAGATCCAAAAAGTTCAGATATAATGTTCATGGTTTCTGCTATTAATTCCGTGGTTGAAATGATAGATAGATAGATAGATAGATAGATAGATAGATAGATAGACAGATAGATGATAGCTAGATAGATAGATAGATGACAGATAGCTAGATAGAGTTCTTAATAGAATGAATTCTCTCTTGAGGTGGAAATGTGACTTAGCTCTTTTTATTGAGGATGCTATGCAAAAATACATCTGTGTCCTCTGATGAAAATACTCTCAGGGGAAGCCTTTAAGCTGGGCATGGTGGCTCACACGTGTAATTCCAGCACTTTGGGAGGCTGAGGTGGAAGGGTTGCTTGAGCCTAGAAGTTTGAGACCAGCCTGGGCAACACAATGAGACCCAGTCTCTACAAAAAAAAAAAAAAAAAAATTAGAAACAAAAAGTCTTCTTGCTTTTTCTCTTCTTCAGAAGCTATTTAACTCCAGAGCCTAGACGAAAGAAGTTACATGGCAAACACACAATAAATATCCAATGAATGAATCAACAAATAAACAAACACACAACTGAATAAAATGGTAGATATATATAGTGCTGGTGTATACAGCACTAATGTGACCAGAAATTTAAAAGCACTAATATCTCGTTGCTCTATGTTTAGGGAAACACTTGTTGGTATATGCTATGAGTCTAGCTAAAGGAAATAGCCTCTTTATATACAATGTGAATGAAGTTTTAATTAGAGTAACTCTTTGGGACAGCAATTTAGCAATATTGACCAAGGTTTAAAATTGCTCAAACCTCAGTAACTCAATTTCCTCAAAAAATAATGGTAAAAATAGAAAAGGTTTTATGCATGAGCATGCCTTTGATAAAACAAACAAACATACAATTGTATAAATATCACGATTACAAGTATGTAAGAAACAAACAAAATAGAAACAGGAAAAAAACATCAAAAGGAGATAGACCGTAATACAATGGCTATATTGGACAATTGGATTGTATTTTCATCCCTCCTCTATTCCGTATTTTCAAATGATCTTTAATGAAAGTTTTTTTTATAATAAAACACCAGCATTTTATTCCTGTAGCACCAAGAGTGACAGAGTGAATTACAGTTGTGTAGTCAAGCACAGAGTGGGAAAAGATGTCACATTTATACATTTTAAAGAGCATTACTGTAAAAATCAATTACATTTGACATAGAAACTCCCCTCCCTTGAGTTCCCCTGCTAAATGTTCATCCTCACACAATATCCTGTAGACTTTCCCAGTCCTGTTCCCATCTGCAATTCAGCACTCTGGTGCCATCGAATCCTGGGCACAGACCAGAACATGGCTGACCTTCCCGTTTGCCTCCCATCTCATCTCTCATGCGCCTTCTTGGCATATTTCTATTCTCTCTTCCTGGCTATAGGACTTGGGTGGGTGACTTAATTTTTGTAGGCAGACCTTCCCACTTGCTCAGGAAGCATCCCCCTGAAGGGATCTGGCAGTCTCCTGGCTGCAAAGCAGGCACTCCTCCCTACTAAGGAATGCCTGGGGTGAGGGGAAGCAACCCCAGTGCAGATGCTTTGGGTTAAGAAGTAGAGAGGTGTAGATCGGCTCAAATGGCCCTTGCATAGCTGAATAATTTTTGTTTTCCTAAAATGGTTTTAGATGGGATCGTGTCTGAAAACCAGTCTTTGTTCCTGGGAGGTAAGTTTGAGTGATTCCCGGCAGTCAGGGGGCAAAACTGGATGATGATGTGCTGTCAGAAAGAATAGGGAACACAGCTTCCCCACTTGTTGATGGTGGGGGCACAGGCGAGAATACGGTGCCCACGGCCCTCTGGACTGTTCTGCTGAAGGCCCGAGCCTTCCAATACAGTATAATAATGGCCTCAGCAGAGCCATGGAGCCAGAATACCAGATAGCGGCGAGGAAGGAGATTTCTCTGAAAGAAGCAAATAGTCCATTGCCAATCATGCTATGGCATCCCGTGCAGCAGCTCCCCACCCGCCTCTTCCGGTAATTGTACCTGGATTTCCTTCTCTGAAATGCCTCCTCCCCACTGTCAATCATTTTATTACCAGTGGGGCTCCAGCCCCTCACCCAGGATGCAGCACATAACCAAGGCCTGAGCCAACTGGCCCATGTGGCATGGCCCTGGCCTCAGTGATTTGTCCAGGGGTGGACTGGGAATAATAATGCTGGCTGTCACTGAAAAAGTGCTTCCTCTATCCCGGCTTCGTTGTTAGGATTTTACCATGTTAACTCAATTAACCCTCACAGTGACCAGATGAGGTGATACCATCATTATTATCCCTATTGTCATATGAGGAAACTGAGGCACAAAGGCACTAAGTAGCATGCCCAAGCGACAGAGCTCATAAGTGGCAAAACCAGGACTGATACCAAGACAGTCTGACGCCAGAGTTCATTCTCTTAGCACTATGCCATAGAGCCTTCTAGGTCAGCCGTGGCACAGGTGTGTGGCATAGGTGTGCCGTGATAGGCTTTTTCCTGAAGCTGAGGCGCATGCTCTGGAGCGGGCGCCGCCATCTTGCCCCTACGCGGAGCCGGAGAATGCAGATCTGAAGATGGGGAGGAGAGCAGAGCGTGGTGGCACGGTGAGCTCTAGACTTGGTCTGGTCTGAAGCCAGTTCATTATTTGGCAAAAAAATTATTACGTTCCCACCTTCTGGACCCGTTTGTTTCTCATTCCAGGTTGAGTTGGTTTTGGTTACTCTCCTCCCCGTATCGCATTTTGTCTTTTCTTCCTAATAACTCCTATTGATTGGATATTAAATGTCCACGATAGATCCTCTTATTTTCTCATCCATTCTCTGTTATCACTTATCTATTTGTCTTTCTGTTCTGCTTTCTGGGAGATTTCCCTGAGCTTATGGTTTAACCCTTTTAAGAAAAAGCATGGGGGAGGGGTATCATCATTTTTATTTTTAGATTCTCTTTTCCAGTTGTTCCTTGTTTTATTGGCATCTGAATGTTGTTCATGGATGTGATGAAGTCCTACTTCTCTGAGGATACTGATTATAATTTTTAAAAGTTATCTTCTAGTCCCTGCATTATCTCCTTGATGTTTCCTTTCTGTTTGTTTTGATTTCTGCTTCACCTTAAAGCTTTCCTTCAGGCTGGGTGCGGTGCCTCACGCTTGTAATCCCAGCACTTTGGGAGGCCGAGGTGAGCGGATCATGAGGTCAGGAGTTTGAGACCAGCCTGGCCAACACAGTGAAAACCCGTCTCTACTAAAAATACAAAAATTAGCTGGGCATGGTGGCAGGCGCCTGTAATACCAGCTACTCGGGAGACTGAGGCAGGAGAATCGCTTGAACCCGGGAGACGGAGGTTGCAGTGAGCCGAGATTGTGCCATTGCACTCCAGCCTGAGCGACAGTTAGACTCTAAAAAAAAAAACCAAACAAACAAAAAATGCTTTCCTTCAGCTGTCTTATGATTCTAAAGAATCCATTTAGATTTAAGTGTGAGACACTAGAAAGCTGATCTGATGCTATCGGGGCATGGAAGGGCTCAGTTTGGTGGCTTCTCTGCTGGGGGAGGAGGCCAGCCAGATTTTTCATAGGAACTCCTAAATGTCAGGACTTGAAGATCCTTTCCCTGGGGGCAGTTCAGTTTCTCTAGAAAAAGAACATTTAACCTCATTCCTAGGGCGTGCGAACCTGGCTGCTGTGATCACATGTAGTTCATTGCTGTTCTGTTTTCACCATGGTCTCTCATTCCCGCTCTCTTTTGCTTGGTATTTCCAAGCTGAGAGTTTCTCTGGCTCACTTTCTTCAGAGACAGAGAAGTCACCTGTCAGACGAGGTGAACCACAAACCCCTTTGGTCTGGCTCCTATGTCAATACTTTTGTGTTGTTCATTGTACTTGCCGTGACCCTTAGTTCCTCCTTGAGAGAAGTCACTCATTAATTCATCCATTCATTCACTCAGCATTTATATGGAAGAATGTAAGAAGCTGAGAAGCCCCTTTGAACCTTGCCCCTAAAGAGTCATCAATTTCTTCAAAGCCCCTCCATCCCCTAGTTTGCAATGAGGAAGGGGCTCAGGCTCTTCAGCCAGGCTGGGGAACAGATGACTGTTTATTTAGCACCTACTCTGTGCCAGGCACAGCACTAGGTGCTTTATCTACTTTCTCTCATTTTGCTAATCCTGTTAATCCTCTGCAGGTAACTGTTATTATAGTTATATTTTAGATGAGAAACTGAAGTATAGAAACTTCAATGCTAAGAAACAGGCCTAGGATTTCAACTCAGGCATGCCTGAGTCCAAAGCTTGTGCTCTTTCTTCATATAAGGCTGCTTCTGCTGGATATACTTACCTCCATTTTAGAGAAAAGGAAACTGGGGTGCAGCGATGTTCCTTATACATTCTGAAGAATTCTTGAGGCAGGCTGCAAGAAGCCAAGGCCTCATGTGTGGGAGATAGAGGGCATATGCAGGGAAGGGCCCATCATGCTGTGTCCCTGATGTCCCAGGAAACTCTCCCATCAGGAGAATTTTTTATAAGGAAGGGCAGGCAAGGACCACAAAGGCCAGCATGGAATAGTTACTAACAGCAGCCAGCTGTGGAGAAGGAAGGTGTTCCAGCCTTGTCTGTTTGATGGGGTGATTCCACTATCTGAGGATCTGCTTCTCTCCCTCTCCCAGCTGCCAACAACTGGGAGCCCATTCACTAGATCCATCCAGAGGGGTAGTTCTGGATGAAGAAGGGTCAGTGCAAGGTCCGAGGGTCTCAGAGGGTACGGAGGGAGGCAATGATAATTTCCTTTTAAAAGGCAGAAAAAAGTGTGTCTTCTCAAAATGCCAGGGGAGACTTTTTTTGCTTGGGTCTGGTATGTTTTCAATAATGCTATCAAATTAAAAAACAGTCGCCAGACCAGGGGAAAACGCTATGCAGTCTCCTAGAGAATGGTGTCATAATTTAAATTTGACCAGAGAATGAAGATCCAAAAGTGATTTCATTCAGAAGAAAAAATGCCTAAAAGGGGAAAGTAACTTTGAATTCTGAGAATTGACTCCTGCAAAAGGAGCAGGGTATAGCCGAAGATAGTCACAGGAACTATGATAAGAGCAGGCACATGTGAACATTTGTAGTAAACACACCCTGCATGTGGCAGGAGAAGCTGATGTGAACAAAATCAACTGCTCGAGGTTTTGCTTCATCAGTTTTATTGGTCATATATCCAGAATTCATCATATATAAATCTTTCAAAATAATGAGCTATTACAAGAATAGTTTACAAGTCAGCTCTGACTGCACAAATACTTGACACAGGAAACCATTTTTACAAATACATATGTTTTCTTATAATACTGTAATAAAGAAAATAAGTCTGTATACATCCTACGACAAATTTTGTAGTCTCTTTTTCCCATTCAATCATCGTTTCAGGTTTTCTATTACAGAACGTCCATCACATCCAATAAACCAAATTACAATCTGCTGCTTCTTCTCATTTTCAAATACTATAAAGATTCACACTGTTAAAGGGTTTTTTGGGTTCCTTTTCTAATCTTTCCTGATTTGAAAAGAATCCATGTATCTAGGCTAAAAGAGGTAACTTCAACAATATCCCTCTTGACTAGAACTTCTATCTGATTAATCATTGTTTGGTGAATTATCTTTTCACTTCCTACTTAGGCTAGGCCAGGTGGTAGTTTTACCCCTGCTGATAAAGTCCTGACATTCCTAATAGTTCCTAAACTGCAAATAAAAAACCCTAGAAACGAGTGAAATAGAAAAGAAAGCTAAACCACTATTGATTAGAGAACACACTCAAATTCAGGGTCTCTCCCAGGTTGAAGAAGACAGAAAAGCAATAAAGTATAAGGATGTGGCAGTAGTTGTATAAAATACTGAAAATCTGAAAGAGTCATCACTTAAGCCAGTAGTGTATCATTTCCAAAATGTCAGAGGATACAGAATCTTAGACTCTGTGGCTAGGCTGAACTCAGAATCTCAGACTCTGTGGCTAGGCTGACATTCTTATGCTGTGGCTTTGAAATAGCCTAATAAATATCCACTTGCCCAGAGCAAGTAATCATTTAGGCCAGGGGAACTTTACAGAATACTGACCATGTTTGCCTGAAGAGATAGGAACCACCAGGGCAAACATTTGGTATTCACTCCACTTCACTGTTACTGAAAAGCATCCACTTGGCAAAGCCTGTTGTTTTACTTTTCAGGTGATGTGAATTAAAATTAAGAAACTAGCAGTATTCTACTACAGTCAAGTTCCTGAGTACTCAGCTCCAATTATCTAATATTCTTGAAAGGATGCTGATATGGTTTGGTTGTGTCCCCCCACAAATCTCAACTTGAATTGTATCTCCCAGAATTCCCACGTGTTGTGGGACAGACCCAGGGGGAGGTAATTGAATCATGGGGGCCAGTCTTTCCCGTGCTATTCTCGTGACAGTGAATAAGTCTCATGAGATCTGATCAGTTTATCAGGGGTTTCTGCTTTTGCTTCTTCCTCATTTTTTCTTGCCACAATGTAAGAAGTGTCTTTTGCCTCCCACCATGATTCTGAGGCCTCCCCAGCCATGTGGAACTTTAAGTCCAATTAAACCACTTTTTCTTCCCAGTCTCGGGTATGTCTTTATCAGCAGCGTGAAAACGGACTAATACAGTAAATTGGTACCAGTAGATTGGGACCTGCTGAAGAAATACCCAAAATGTGGAAGTGACTTTGGAACTGGGTAACAGGCAGAGGCTGGAACAGTTTGGAGGGCTCAGAAGAAAACAGGAAAATGTGGGAAAGTTTGGAACTTCCTACAGACTTGTTGAATGGCTTTGCCCCAAATGCTGATAGCAATATGGACAACAAAGTCCAGGCTGAGGTGGCCTCAGATGAAGATGAGGAACTTGTTGGGAACTGGAGTAAAGGTGACTCTTGTTATGTTTTAGCAAAGAGACTGGCAGCATTTTGCCCCTTCCATAGGGATTTGTGGAACTTTGAACTTGAGAGAGATGATTTAGGTTAACTAGCGGAAGAAATTTCTAAGCAGCAAAGTGTTCAACAGGTGACTTGGGTGCTTTTAAAGGCATTCCCTTATAAATAAGGGAAGCAAAGCATAAAAGTTTGGAAATTTGCAGCCTGACTATGCAATAGAAAAGAAAAACCCATTTTCTGGGGAGAAATTCAAGCCAGCTGCAGAAATTTGCATAAGTAGCAAGGAGCCTAATGTTAATCCCCAACACCATGGGGAAAATGTCTCCAGGCCATGTCAGGGCAGCCCCTGACATGTGTGTGCAGCCTAGGGACTTGGTGTCTTGTGTCCCAGCCACTCCAGCCATGGCTGAAAGGGGCCAACATACAGCTCGGGCTGTGGCTTCAGAGTGGAAGCCCCAAGCCTTGGCAGCTTCTATGTGCTGTTAAGCCTGCAGGTGCACAGAAGTCAAGAATTGAGATTTGGAAACCTCCGCCTAGTTTTCAGAAGATGTATGGAAATGCCTCAATGCCCAGGCAAACGTTTGCTGCAGGGGAGAGGCCCTCTCAGCGGCAGGGGAGAGAACCTCTGCTAGGGCAGTGCAGAAGGGAAATGTGGTGTGGGAGCCCCCACACAGAGTCCCTACTGGGGCACTGCCTAGTGGAGCTGTGAGAAGAGGGCCACCGTCCTCCAGACCCCAGAATGGTAGATCCACCAACAGCTTGCACCGTGCACCTGGAAAAGCCGCAGGCACTGAACAACAGCCGTGAAAGCAGCCAGGAGGGAGGCTGTACCCTACAAAGCCACAGGGGCAGAGCTGCCCAAGACCATGGGAACCCACTTCTTGCATCAGTATGACCTGGATGTGAGACCTGGAGTCAAAGGAGATTATTCTGGAACTTTAAAATTTGACAGCCCTGCTGGATTTCGGACTTGCATGGGCCCTGTAACCCCTTTATTTTGGCCAATTTCTCCCATTTGGAACAGCCGTCTTTAATCAATACCTGTACCCCTGTTGGTATCTAGGAAGTAACTAGCTTGCTTTTGATTTTACAGGCTCATAGGTGGAAGGGACTTGCCTTGTCTCAGATGAGACTTTGGACTGTGGATTTTTGCGTTAATGCTGAAAAGAGTTAAGACTTTGGGGGACTGTTAGGAAGGCATGATTGGTTTTGAATAGTGAGGACATGAGATTTGGAGGGGCCAGGGGTAGAATGATATGGTTTGGCTATGTCCCCACCCAAATCTCAACTTGAAATTGTATCTACCAGAATTCCCACGTGTTGTGGGAGAGACCCAAGGGGAGGTAATTGAATCATGGGGGCCAGTCTTTCCCATGCTATTCTTGTGATAGTGAATAAGTTTCACAAGATCTGATGGCTTATCAGGGGTTTCCACTTTTGCTTCTTCCTCATTTTCTCTTGCTGCCATGTAAGAAGTGCCTTTCACCTCCCGCCATGATTCTGAGGCCTCCCCAGCCATGTGGAACTGTAAGTCCAAGTAAACCTCTTTTTCTTCCCAGTCTCGGGTACGTCTTTATCAGCAGCATTAATACAGACTAATACAGATGCTTGAAGCAAGCCCTTGTCCAATAAGGTATTTAATAGCACTTAGGGACTATTAGATGTCCCATTTCTCTTCTCTTTCATTTCTCTTATCTCTTCTCACCCCAGTGTAACGAATCGCTACAGGTTTTTACCAAAATGCTGCAGCAGTAGTTGGAAATGAGTTATTTTGCATTACTAAAGTGTTCAATCACATTATCACGGGTCACATTTGTATATAACCAGGAGATGGCCAAATAACATCTACTGCAGTGATTTTGCAAATTCAGCATAGTCAATGTATCCATCATTGTTCTTGTCATCATCTCTCAAAACACCATCTATTATGTTAATCAGTTCATCTTCACTCATTAGTGGTGCCTGTTCACTCCCTTCCTACAAAATACAAATTAGACAATGATGAGTTGCGCATTTTACCGGAAGAAGTGCTTAACTAACGTCCAAAATATCCATGTTCTTTCATGGCACTGTTTATTAAAAAAAAAAAAAAAAAAAAGGAAAAACAAAACAACAAAATATCCACGCTCATATGTGTCCAAAAACTTTCAATGGAGTATGGGGCTACTTCTAGGAATCTAGATATATAGAGAGAGAATATGTATTATTGAGTCAATTTATCATAATCCAGTTTAGAAATTACATTTGCCAGTTAAAAGAAGGCCCTTCAAAATAGGCTTTTGCTTATTTGTTTCATTATGGCTCATTCTTCTTTAATTGGAAAAGTGCCAGTCCTCCTGAGGGTCAGCTCTGTGCACAAATTTGCCTGATAAAATAGAAACAGTGACGAATTGGACAACAAGTTGGCATCAAAACAAGAGGAAGAAGGCACTGCCGATGAGCAGAACCTGTTATGATCTTTGAGGAGAAAGTATTTCCCATGCTCCAAGAGCAGGGTTAGTGGGCTGAGGCTGTTCACATCCTTGGCTGGTTCTTCCTTTGCCACATCTCCCACATTCACCATTCCCTCTCCTGTCACCACCACTATCCTCATCTGCCAGGACTGCTGACCCCTAATTCCTCCGCCTAACACTAGTCTCTCCTCATGTCCTTCAGTCTGTCTCCCACAACCAAGGATCTTCCCTAAACAATGCCATTCTCCTGTGCAAAATCATTCATGCTCCCTGCTGCCTTCAAACCTCACCTGCACTCCTAGCAGCGAATGTAATCCCACTCACCTGGCTAACTTTGCCTTGCTTCCTCTCTATAGAGGGCAGTGTGGCAGAAGGGGAATGACATTAAATGTGGAGGCACGAGGATTTTTTTTTTTTTTTTTTTTTTTTTTTTGAGACAGGGTCTGACTCTGTCACCCAGGCTGGAGTCCAGTAGCACGATCACAGCTCACTGCAGCCTCGACCTCCCAGGCTCAGGTGTTCCTCCCCACTACCCTCCCACCCCGTCACCCCAGCAGCTGGGATTACAGGCAAGCATCACTATGTCCAGCTAATTTTTGTAGAGACGGGATATCACCATGCTGCCCAGGTTGGTCTTGAACTCCTGGGCTCAAGCGATCCTCCTGCCTCAACCTCCCAAAGTGCTGGGATAATAGGCATGAGCCACTGTGCTTAGCCTGGCACAAGATCTTGATTTCAGTGTCTTCACCTAGAAAATGGGAGGGTTTTGTTTGTTTTTTGTTTTCTGAGACAGGATCTCGCTCTATTGCCCAGGCTGGAATTCAGTGGCAACATCGCAGCTTGCCACAGCCTCAACCTCTCAGGTTCAAGTGATCCTCCTACTTCAGCATCATGAGTAGCTGGGACTACAGGCATGCACCACTGAAAATGGAAGTATTAACAATGCCTGCCACTGCCTACTCAAGATGTTGCAAAGATCCAACGAGATCTCTAACCTACTTGAAAGGGCTTCAGAAACTTTGGAGCACCATACAGTATCACACAAGCCCTCAATTACTGCCACGTCCCTGAATCCCTTGGTGTCAATTCACCATTAAACAACTTCTCCCTTGCTCTGCAGTTTGAATACGGTCTGTCTTTTAGGCACTGATTCTCATACTCTGGTGTGTAACAGAAATGCCTGTAGCACTTAAAGATACAAATGCCCAGCCCTGGGACTTCTGCCTCAGCAAGTTATCCTTTGCGGGAAGGATCGTTGGACAGAAAGAGGCAGAACACAGAAGAGAAAGAAGCAGCAGCACCTTTTTTTTTCTTTTCTTTTTTTCTCTTTTTGAGACAAGGCCTCACTCTGTTGCCCAGGCTGAAGTGCGGTGGCATGATTATGGCTCACTATAGCCTCGACATCCTGGACTCAAGCAATCCTCCCACCTTAGCCTCCTGAGTACGTAGAACTACGGGCATGCACTACCAGGCCTGGCTAATTTTTTAATTTTTGTTTTGTTTGTTTTGTAGAGACAGGGTCTCACTATATTGCCAAGGCTGGTCTTGAACTCCTGGCTCAAGTGATCCTTCCACTTTGGCCTCCCAAAGTGCTGGGATTACAGATGCGAGCCATCATGCCCAGTGGAGAAGCAGCACTCTTGGCACATAAGGACAACACAAGTCAACAAGACTGGGGACCAAATTAACAAAGGGAAGCCTTTCTGTGATACAGTCCCCCAAGCCACTGCCAGACCTACCTCCTTATGGACATGAGTGATGGCTGTGGAGAGTTCTAAGCCATCAAGCAAATTATTGCCATCATAATCATGCATTTTGAAGTAATGGAGCTGCAATTCTTGTGGCGACATCTCCGCCTCTGGTTTGTTGATGACACCTTCTAGATGCTCCATGATATGCCTAAAAATCAACAGTCAGGTTCAGGCCAATTGACAGATACTGGGATCATGCTGAAATCTTAAGGACTCTGAAAAGTTCAAGATCTTAAACTTCCTCCAGCTCAGAAAAACAAACACCAGCAGTGGCAGACCACACTCAAGGATTACACAGAGATAGACAAGGCCTTGAGAGGAGCAGGAAAAGTCAAATAGACCATCTGTTATGCTGGCAGGATTAGGGTATTCTTTCCTCTTTATTATTAGAATTTTGTTATAACATTTTCAGGCCATCAATTTAAAAATATGTCCTTTAAAACTTTTTTTTTTTTTTGAGACAGGGTCTCACTCTGCCACCCAGGCTGGAGTGCAGGAGCGTGATCTTGGCTCATTGTAGCCTCAACTTCCCAAGCTCAGTTGATTCTCCCACTTCAGCCCCCCAAGTAGCTGGGACCATAGGCATGTACTGCCACATCCAGCTAATTTTTTGCAATTTTTTAGTAGAGACAGGTTTTCCCTATATTGCCTAGGCTGGTCTCGAATTCCTGGGCTCAAGTAATCCACCTGCCTCAGCCTCCCAAAGCACTGGGATTACAGGTGTGAGCCACTGCACCCAGCCTTAAAAACAAAGGATAACCGAGTATAATGCGTGAGGCTAACTGGCCCAAGACAAAAGCTGCAACAAATGATTCAATGTTTGAATGTGTTGATTTAAAAAAGGTCTTGTTATAGTCAAGAAACCTTAGCTATTTTCTGGATTCTGCTACTATGACTGTGTATGTGTACCTGTGTGTCTATTTGTATGTGTGTGTGTCTGTCTGTGGTGAAAAAAAGGAGAGACCGGATTCAGACAAGTAATGTGCCCCATTTGGGCCTAAAGATCTTCCACCTGTGATACAATGATGAAAAAAGAATACCTGACTTATAGGTGGCAATAAGGAATAAGAATCATCCTTGAAGAATGTCAAGGAGCCATAGAAACAGGAAGAAGGAAAGGAGGACTGAGCATGCCCTTGCCGCTGGCTCAGCTGCAGATGATGGGGAGGCCACTGGACCACAGCCCGGGCTGAATACGTACTCTTGGTCGTGCACTGTGTTCTTATCCAGGCCCATGCTGCCGGGTTGGGAGAAGCTGGCTGCAGGCTCCTCAGCCCTGGCGCCTGGGGCACAAAAGGCCCAGAGCAGGCCACACAGGAAGGGGGTTCTGAGCAGGGATCTCATGGTCATCAATATCTGTGAGATGGGAAACACAGAAGAGGAAGGCAGAGCATCAGAGCAAAGGTTTCGTTCAGGGCTTGACATGGTATGATCCTGGGAAACCTGATGAAGCAGTAAGGTTAGGAAGAGAGCTTGTCAAACACGGCCCAATGCCAGCTCTGCTTTGAGACTGTGGGATGACCCTGGGCACTCCAAGTCACTCAAATGGCAGGGGAAGGCTCACGAGGTTTCCTGAAGTGCCTGCAGAGTGCCAAGCAACACGTGAAAGCTTGAAGGGACTGGAAGATTATTCTTGCCTCCCAGAAGTTATGGTCCCCTGAAAGAAATATTTTCTATCAAGAGCACCAGGAAAGGCAGCCAGCAAGTTATATCAGATTATCAGAGAAAGCGAAAACCCTCTAGGAGTTCAGGGGAAGAAATCTCCTCCGAGTGGAGGAAAATCAGAGAAGGCTGATAGAGCTGGTGACACTTCAGCTGGGCCTGGACAGATATGCAGGGACTGAAGGACCACAGGAATGGTGGGAGCAGAGTGGCAGGTGCCCACAAGCGGGAAAGAAACTACAAGTAGTTCAGCTGGGCTGCAGCCTAGAGGGTAGGAAGCAGACAGGACAGAGGTGGCTCCAAGGCCTAGACAGGCTGTACTGGACAGGGCTTTGCACACTAGGCCAGGGCTTGACATCTCCTGCAGAGAAAGACAGGAGAGTCACTTACAATTCATGAATGGGAGGTGAGATCAGAGCTTGGTTTCAGAATGACTCATCTGGCAGCACAGTGGGGAAGGCATGAAGTGGCAAAAGCAAGACTAGAGGCAGGAGCATGGTAGCCAAGGGAGTGGTAAGGCGGGTCAGATCAAGGTCTGCGGCAGCGGACAAGGTTCTGTACCTCCTGGGTGGTAACAGTGGCAAGTAACTACAGTGAGCGGGCACTGGAAAGAAAAGTTACAGAGAAATCAGGATGCCATCAGGAACTCCCAGGGTTTGGCCACACTTGGAATTGTGGTCAATAAGATGACAGTCAGCTACAGAGCAAGCTCTTGGAGGGCAGGGAGAACTTTAACCCCACCAGTATTACCCGCCAAGGGTCAGGCAGGCCTTTAATAATTGTTGATTCAATGGAAAGTCTTGGTCTGTCCTAGGGCTGACAGACTGACCTCAAAAAGGAAGGTGAAGGACAGCCAGGTGACCTACATACAAAAACAAAAGACCTGACCGAACACTCACTTCCCAACAGGCAAAACAGATTCTGCTAGATAACAAGGCCAGGGATTTCTAACAGGTCAATTGTAGTCCACAGCCCCAAACCAGCAGTGGTAAAGACAAACCATAAGGCACTGGTCATCCCCTTTACATGCTACACACAGGGCTCAGCTCAGAAGCTGTAGCTGTCTTTGTGCCTGGGGCTGAGAGGTAGAGGTGTTATAGTCCCTCTTACCCATCCTAAAAGGCTCTCAGGGCAGAACCCTGAAAGTGTGAGTATGCCACCCTACAACAC
Organism: Homo sapiens; assembly: GCF_000001405.40. Taxonomy (NCBI): domain Eukaryota; kingdom Metazoa; phylum Chordata; class Mammalia; order Primates; family Hominidae; genus Homo; species Homo sapiens. The sequence continues at coordinate 46,910,654 of NC_000002.12, forward strand.
TTAGAAAAATTTCCCAAATCCGTTTTTCCCATTACCAGTATTGCTTCCCATGGCCCCCTCCTTAAAGGGGACAATAGTCACTGGGATGTCTAACTTCCAGGATAGGCCAGGCATGGTGGTTCATACCTGTAATCCCAGCACTTTGGGAGGCTGAGGCAGGAGGATCACTTGAGGCCAGGAGTTTGAGATCAGCCTAGACAACACAGTCAGACCCCCATCTCTACAAAAAATAAAAAATTAGCTGAGCGTAGCAGTGCACCCCTATAGTCCCAGCCACTCAGGAGGCTGAGATAGGAAGATTGCTTGAGCCCAGGAGTTCAAGGCTGAAGTACACTCCAGCCTGGGTAACAGAGTGAGACCCTGTCCTCCACCACCAAAAAAAGGAAGAAACTTCCAGGGTGCTAAAAAGCACCTAGAATCTAGTCTACTTCTAAACAGTGACATCAAAATGCAATCTGTCTCAGACCTTTTATTTTTTAATTTTTATTTTTTTGAGACAGAGTCTTGTTCTTTCGCCAGGCTGGAGTGCAGTGGCGCAATCTTGGCTCACTGCAACCTCCGCTTCCCAGGTTCAAGCAATTCTCCTGCCTCAGCCTCCCGAGTAGCTGGGATTACAGGTGCATGTCACCACGTCCAGCTAATTTTTGTGTTTTTAGTAGAGACAGGGTTTCACCATCTTGGCCAGGCTGATCTCGAACTCCAGACCTCAGGTGATCCACCCGCCTCGGCCTCCCAAAGTGCTGGGGTTACAGGCATGAGCCACCGTGCCCGGCCACCTCAGACCTTTTATATCTGTAGTTTAAAAAAAAAAAAAAGCAATATGTCATACTTAATAGGAAAGAATGCTCAATATATATTGAATGAAAAAGAACAGGCTGCAAAAAAGCAATAAAGAATAATACACTTTTGTAAAATAAAAATGTGTATTTCCTACACAAACTAATAACAAAGATTATCTTGAGACATGAGATTAGAATTGTGATTTTCAGCCGGCATGGTGGCTCGTGCCTGTAATCCCAGCACTTTGGGAGGCCGAGGCGGGCAGATCACGAGGTCAGGAGATCGAGACCACCCTGGCTAACACGGTGAAATCCCGTTTCTACTAAAAATACAAAAATAAAAATTAGCCAGGCGTGGTGGCGGGCACCTGTAGTCCCAGCTACTTGGGAGGCTGCGGCAGGAGAATGGCATGAACCCGGAGGTGGAGCCTGCAGTGAGCCGAGATCTGCTACCATTTTTTATGAATATGTATTCAATGTAATCTATCCCATAATTTTGTCCCAATACTATATGGATCGGATACAAAAGGAGTTTCCGGTTAATTCTTATCTCCACAAAATAATTCAGAAACAGTCAGAAACTACACTTCCAATTTTACCAAATAAAAGTGCCCAGACCTTGGCCAGGGACAGTGGCTCACATCTATGATCCCAACACTTCGGGAGGCCGAGGCAAGTGGATCACTTGAGGTCAGGAGTTTGAGACCAGCCTGGCCAATGTGGCAAAATGCGTCTCTACTAAAAATACAAAAAAAAATTTGCTGGGCATGGTGGCGTGCACCTGTAATCCCAGCTATTTGGGAGGCTGAGGCACAAGAATTGCTTGAACCCGGGAGGCAGAGATTGCAGTGAGCCAAGATCACACCACTGCACTCCAGCCTGGGCAAGAGAGTGAGACTGTCTCAAAAAAATTTTTTAAACGTGTCCAGACCCTGACAAGGCCACTGCCACTGTACCTGGTACCACAAAACAAGGTTTCAGGTTACTCCTAGCAGTGACTGCCTAGGCCATAGCAGAACAACTTGTTCTGACCACACATCTTAGAGTTCTGGGACAGGAAGGATCAGAGAAGGGAATCAAGCTCCTCCCAAGCCTTTCAGACTCATTTACATCAAATGTCTCTTTCTCCAGTGAGGTCTTTTCAATTCCAAGTCTGGTGTAGGTATTCGTCCTGCAGGCTCCCAAGTGCTTCCCTTCAGAAGGCTCCCGTCCACAGCTGATGACAGCTGCAAATTAATTCTTTTTTTTCTTTTGTTTTCTTGTGTGTGAATGAATTCTTGAAAAACTGCCTGATTACTTGTCAGTGCCCCTTGCTGGATGGGCTTTAAGAGGACTTGGACTGAATCCACATTCCCAGTATCAGGCACAGTGCCTGGAACAGAAGCTGCTGGTTCTTAGCCTGTGTGCCATGGTCCTTGGGGAGCTGGGGGGATTACCACCTTTGCAGATATGCTGCCAATTTTTAATGTCACTGTAACTGAAGATGAAACTTTTCTTTTGGAGATATCTATCATGGAACTCATGGCACCATTTCCTCCAACTATGTGATTGGATGCTTAGTATATCAATTTGGTGTGTGTGTGTTGGGGGTGGGGGAAATTCTATTTAGATAACACCAAAAAGCAACCAAGTGATTAATCATGTAGTAACTATGAGTCCAAAATATCCCTTCTTTAAGGGAGGTGGGATAAAGGCCAAGAATCACTGATTTTGAACTTGTCTCATTTTGGTTTGCTGTTGCAGGTTTCTAATCATTGGAATGCAACAAAAGCCAAATCGATAAACATAAAGAAAAAAAATTCCTCCAAGTGGTACACTGAAAACAGGGAATCGGGCTGGGCATGGTGGCTTATGCCTGTAATCTCAATACTTTGAGAGGCTGAGGCAAGTGAATCACTTGAGCCCAGGAGTTCAAGACCAGCCTGGACAACATGGTGAGACTCCCTCTCTAATTAGAAAAAGAGAGAGAGAGAGAGGAAGAAAGGAAAGAAGGCAGGCGAGGGAGGGAAAGATAGAAAACAGGGAATCTAACTGCCACCTAACAAATTAAACTGCTGACAGTCAAGAGAAAGCATAAGCAACTCCCTCTACCCAAATAACAGGTTGCATCATCCATGCTCTAACTACTTAGCTCAAGGCCATGGGCTAACAGCCTGAAGATAAGCCCCAGCTCACTGGCCTTCTTTAGGAAATTATAAAGGCCAGGCTGAAGAAAAACCCAACGGAGGAGAAATTTCTGCAAAGGGACTTCAGGGCACAACCCATACCTTGAGACAGCCCTCACAAGGCGCAGCCTCAGTCCTGGGAGGGCAGTGCTGGACCATCAGGAGCAGTGCGCCTCCCAGTGCCTTGGCTGTCACAGTGCTCCCCTCCTGCTCTGCCAGCCTCTTCCTGTACCACAGCCTCCGCTCCTACTGGTTCCATCTGTCCATCTCCAACTTCCTTCCAGGACAGGTTCAAATGTCACCTCAGGATTCTTCCAGCCAAGACCAATTGCTCTCTCATCCGACCTCAGTCTGTAGCCTCTCACACTCATTTGACCTGAACATACGATCACAGGTTGTTCTCCTTTTCCATTTTTCTCTTTTCCTCCCTCTCTGAGAGTCAGGACCCTCTCTCCTCTGGCTCTCATTTACCTTACTGATCTCTGCTGAGCTGACCTGGCTCATCGCTGAATCAGGGAAGTGAGTCTTGGCACCTAGGTGTATTGTTCCCTATCCCACAGCGGATCTAGCCTAAGCTGGAACTTCCTTTGGAGGCTTCCAGTGGTTTGACCTGGCCCAACCCTTTCTTCCTGGTGTGTCATCAGTCCTATCAGCACTAAGTTTGGGGCCAGCCTTCCTGCCAGCAGCTAGTAGCAGCTTCTCCCTCAAGGGGCCCTTGGTTAAGAATTCAAACCCAAAGCAGCCAAACTCACCAACATCCAGACATCCTGTACCCACAGCCAATGCCAAAGAAAAACTGACCAGTACTTTGTCACTTACCCCTGTCATGGTCCTGGAATGAAGGCAAGAAAATAACCAACTTCCTAAGCTAAAGAAACCTCTACACGGACTGAGGGTTGAGAATTGGTTCTGAAAAAGCAGGCATTTAATATTAATAACTTGATCTATTTGTTCATCTAGGGAGCCCAAGGAGCACCCATGCTGCATTTATACATTTAATGACCGTACTAACAGCACAAGGTACTGAAGATAGTACTATGACCTCGACAAACTCCTCTCACACAGATTACAACCTGGTAGAAAAGAGAGACCGGCAGGCAGACACCCATGGGGTACCACGAAATCCCCAACTGACACCTGAAATAACACATAAAGGATAAGAAGGATTATTTCAACCAAAGGACAGTGCCTCAGACATAGCGAACATACTGAAGGAACATGTAAGCCCAGAAGGAACTTGTTCTGATCTAAGAACCAAAAAAGATTCAGTATGGTTGAAGACACAGTACAGTCGAGACAAATGAATCTAAAGTTAAAGGAAGACAGGTCATGAAGGGCTTTGCAAGCCCCGTTCAAGAGCTTGGAAGAGCAATGAGAATCCACCAAAGGGTGATAAGGGAATGGGGGGACGCTTCTGGTCACATGATCAGATTTCTGTTTTAAGACCATGGCTGTAGCCTCTCTGTATAGAACAAACTACAGAGGATGAAGAAGAGATGCAGGGATCATCAGGAAGACACCGAGGTAGTCCAGAGAAGAAAAGGTGGCCTGAACTAGGTAGGGCAGGGGGATGGGACTGGAGAATGAACGTATCCAAGACAACTTTGCAAGGGATTCGATGTGGGTGGGTAAAGGAGTGAAGCAAGTGAGAATGATGCCCAATTCTGGCTTGGGCACCCGGGTGGATGGCCATGCCCAGAGAGGGAATACAACAGGAGATCAGCTTCCCCCGCCGGGCCCGACAGGACCTGTGGTCTCCCCGAGAGAGGGAACAAGGAGCAGAGGGAGAGTAAGGCTTCCGGCCCGCTGCTTTTGGGCCGGGCCAGGAGCAGTGTCCACCCGACACAGCTGGTCCCACAGGCCGATCCTCGGGCCCCTAGGGACCAGGGAAGGGGGCGGAGATCTGCCCAGTCGGCCCCGTCTGGCTCCAGAGCCCCCGGTGGGGCACAGGCTTCCGCCCCGGGAGACAGGCCGTGCTCCTAGCCGGTTAAGCGTCCCGAGACGGCCTGGGGGCCCAGCCCGCGCCCCCAGACTACTCCTGCCTCTCATCTTGAGCCCAAGCCTCCAGCCCACAGGAGAGGCGCCGGGATCCCGCCCGCTGCGGAGAGTGCGCTAGTTCACTCACCCTTACGGTCTCCGAAGCAGACGCGAAGCCCTCCAACGTGAGCCTCACCAGCCCCCGTCCCCAAAACGCTCTTCCTCGGCTTCGCCCCGCCCCCCCCCCCCCCCCGACCTGCCCTGCGCACGCGCGCTCCCTGCCGCCCGCCCATTGGCGCCGCCGGGCCCCTCCCGCTGGCGGCGGCGGGCTGTGAGGACGGCTCGCGTGAGTCCACGTGTAATCGGCCCGGGCCCAGCACTGGCGGGACTGACGCAGTTCTTCTACCTGCTTTCCCAAGGGCGACACTCGGCTCCACTCCAGTTGGGCCGCTGGACGCCCTAGGGGCCCGGCAGTTGCTAGGCAACGCCGGAAGCCCTCAGGAACGTAGTTCCACGGGCGACGTAGGATGGCGGATCCGGATGGGGCGGACCCCAAAGCTGGCTCCCAACTCCGCTCACCCCCTCCTATACAGGGCTCTTGGTTCAGGTCTCTTGGTTCGTCCTGCTGCAAGTTGGGAAGAAAGATAATAGGAATGCTAATTCCTTCTTGATGAAACGACCACAACACGCTGGAGCCGGCCTTGGACCCTACGTTTCAAGATTGGCCTGCTTCCAGCGTCTGCCAGCTCCACTGCACAAGCTGCGGCAGCCGCTGTCCCCGTTCGCTTCCACGGGAGTCCCAGCAAGACTATGCGACCCAGTTCAAATACCATCTTCCATGTACCGTTCGTGAAATCAGCAGCTTTTGACATTCAAGAGAGGACAGATTACTTAAAAACAGACTCATGAACAAATAGGGAAACGAATACATCATCCCTGTATCGAATTCATCCCTGTATAATCCTGCCCTTACACCTGTGCTCCTATACAAGATTAACATTCAGTAAGTATCCATTGACCTGATGGATAAATGAGTGTAGGACGGTCGTTTTGTTTTTTTGTTTTGTTTTGTTTTGTTTTGAGACGGAGTCTCGCTCTGTCCCAGGCTGGAGTGCAGTGGTGGGATCTCGGCTCACTGCAACCTCCGCCTCCCAGGTTCAAGCTCTTCTCCTACCTCAGCCTCCCGAGTAGCTGGGATTACAGGCGCGTGCCACCTTGCCCGGCTAATTTTTGTATTTTTAGTAGAGACGGGGTTTCACCGTGTTGGCCAGGCTGGTCTCTAACTGCTGACCTCTTGATCCTCCCGCCTCAGCCTCCCAAAGTGCTGGGATTACAGGCGTGAGCCACCACTCCCGGCAGGACGGTCGTTTTTTTTAAAGCCCTTCTCCCATTTCTGTCCATAAAGGTACATAATCGTTTTTCAAATGAGCCTGGGTCCGGACAGGAAAGACAAAGAAAGTGGCTAAGTAGTTAGATGCCTTGAAAGTTGCCTAACGCCACTGCCATTGACGGTCTCATTCCTTTTCCCACCTTCATCTGAGATTGAAATCTGCCACCCCATCCCAGAGAAAAATCCCATAATCCCTAATTTTTTTTTCTTTTTTTAAAGAAAAGAGTCTCCATGGTGCCCAGCTCGTCTCGAACTCCTGGGTTCAAGCAATCCTCCCACCACCTCCGCCTCCCAAAGTGCTGGGATTACAGGGGTGAGCCACCGCGCCGGGACAAAGAATCCCTAAGTTTTGAGGAAACCCTATTAATTCAAGACCCATTCTTCTTTCCTTACTCTGAACTTTGGATTAGTTTGATCTAGTTCCTCCTTCTACCCTGCATCTGCCATTCATCCATCTCTTCATCCATTCATCCACCCCTCCCTTTGTTCATTTATTCATTCAATAACATTTCTTGAATATCTTCTATGTACTAGGCGCTCTACTAGGAGCTACTAGAGATACAAATAAGACAAATGAAGTGTCAAGAAGCTGGTGTCTGGTAGATGGATAAAGTGTCCTCATTCTAGCCAGTGCTTTCATTTTTTTCCTATGGATGTTATCCTGTGTTATGTCTCTCTTGAATCTACAGTCACTCCCTCTCTACCAGATAATTCCCATCAACATATAAACTTGCTGTATTTTCTCCCCCACCATACCACTGAAACTGCAATCTCCATGCAAATCTAGTGGTCTCTTTGATCTCTTGTTTTTATTTTACTTGCCCTCTCAACACTGTTTTATCAAAGCCAACCACTCTCACTTAGAAACACTTTCTTCTCTTGTTTTCTGACACCACACACTCTGGGTCCTTCTGCTACCTCACTCATTATCCTTTCTTGGGCTTCTTAATTGGCTTCTCAATCTATAATTATCAAAGTGTCCAGGGTTCTGTTCTGAGTCACCTTCTCTATCCACCCTCCCTATGTGAGTTTACCTAGTCCTGTGCTTTAGATACCATTTATAAATAGATGACTCCAAAATATGTCTCTCTGACAATGACCTCTCTGTGTAATTCCTGGCTCCTGTAAATAACTGCCTACTTGATGTCTCCATATGAATGTCAGACTGGCATCTCAAACTTAATGTGTCCCCCCAAAATCTTGATTTTCACCCCCAAACCTGCACCTCTCTCAGTCTTGTGCATTTTAGTAAATGTCACTGGTACTCATTCTGTTGTTCAAGCTAAAATTCTACGAGCTGTTTTTGATTTATCTCATCCCTTTACCTTTAAATCCTTCAGCAAAGCCTGTTGATGCTATCAAAATGTATCCTGAGTCTTTGACTTCTTTCCACCTCCACTAAACCATCTAGTCCAGTAGTAGATGATGCTGCTGGACTACTTGAGAGAGAGCTTCCTAACTGACCGTCCTGCTTCCATTCTTGCCCTACTGTAGTCCATAAGTGAGAAGCCACCTTTGATTAAGCCATTTTATAGGTGGGTGTTCTGTAACTTGTAGCTGAACCCATTCCTAACAGGCAAATAATTTGGTACCAGAAGCAGGATGCTAAAAACAAGACACTAAAATATGGAATTGGCTAACTGGAGGTTAAGGTAGCCAGTGTTAAAAGACTGTATGTCAAACTGGAAAGTTGGTGACCCTTATAAGCCGTAGTGAAACTGTCACTTGCTGGACCTTGGATATAGGCCACATGCCAACCAATGCTATATTTTTGGAGAAATCTCACGAGCAATATGGAACATTAGTGAGTGTTGCCTTTTTTAGTAGCTTTCAGCAGACTCCTTCAAGAGAAGGGCAACTCTACGTTGGAAATAACTGATTTGAAAGCAGAGATTAAAGAAAGTAACGACTAGGTAAGAGAGGATCTCTTTACCTGCAACCAGGAGTCTCATAACTTGGAACCTTGCTGAAATACCCCATTTACTTTGTGTACTCAGGTTGAAACTAGTACAAGTAGAGACAGAGAGGTGGCTTTATCAGGAGATAGGACGGCCATCCCAAGATACCAGAATGGCCTCTAGGTGGCATCTCTTTCCTCAGCTGTTTTGAATTGTCTCAAGACAATGTTTTACCTATGTAGGGGATTCCAGAGTGGATGAGAATAGGGGTGAAAATAAGATTTCAATTTACACCTTTTAGTATTGCTTTGATGTTGTAAACTACATATTACTTATTTGGAAAAATAAATAGAAAAATATTGAATAAAAACAATTTAAAGACTCTAGATAGGCTGGGTGTGGTGGCTCACGCCTGTAATCCCAGCACTTTGGGAGGCCGAGGCGGCAAATCACCTCAGGTCAGGAGTTCGAGACCAGCCTGGCCAGCATGGTGAAACCCTGTCTCTACTAAAAATACAAAATTAGCTGGGTGTGGTGACGCATGCTTGTAATCCCAGATACTCGGGAGGCTGAAGCAGGAGAATTGCTTGAACCCGGGCAGCAGAGGTTGAGGTGAGCTGAGATCGCACCATTGCTCTTCAGCCTGGGCAGCAAGAGCTAAACTCTGTCTCTAAATAAATAAATAAGACTTTAGGTAAGTTATTTGTGATTACTATACATGAAATTGATCAGAAGTCTAACAAATGATTGAGGTAATCCTGTGTCCCTAAAATCTCAAGCCTGGTTAACAACAGTCTCTTGCTGTTGGGCCCTGTGGTAATCTCTGAACCCTGGAATTCCTTCTAACAGGGAGTAGGATGCAAAAGGTGTGCGTTCTGCACAAGTAGAGGAAAAAACAAGGGTGCGGCTTCCAGATTCTCCAACTGAGAACTTAATACACTGCCACCAAAGAAACTGCAGTTTCTTTTGTTTAGAGAAAAGGTCTTGCTCTATCACCCTTGCATTGGATGAGGGTGACCTCAATGGGTTGCATGTTCTAGGCTCCCCTGTCAGCTGGGATGGGGCTTTGTATTTCTCTCTCCCTTATTCATATTTCTGATAAGGGTGAACTGTGGTGTTAAAAGCTTGGAATTTTGGCATGTGTTGTGTTGTTCTGAATTCAGATATACTATAAACTGGGGTGGTGAATATGATGGCCATCTGCATTTGATGACCTTGTTTCTTCCGTCCCTGACTTTATCAAAGCACACATCACTCCTAATGAAAAGTCTGACTGTTGATTTCTTCAAATTCATGTTGGGGGAAGGTATATATATTAATTATGTATACATTAATACATAATGTATGTATTAAATCACATAAATTAGCATTCTTTAGTATCCCTTTTGTCTCGCTCTCCTTTCTCATCATGTTGTTGTTGTTTGGAGTTTTTGACATTAGTTATTCTAGATAAACATTCTCTTCTTCAGTCTTAGCCTTTTTTTTGAGACAGAGTCTTGCTCAATTGCCCAGGCTGGAGTACAGTGGCACGATCTTAGCTCACTGCAATCTTTGCCTCCTGGGTTCAAGCAGTTCTCCTGCCTCAGCCTCCCAAGTTGCTGGGATTACAGGCAACAACCACCACGCCCAGCTAATTTTTTGTATTTTTAGTAGAGATGGGGTTTCACCATGTTGGCCAGGCTGGTCTTGAACTCCTGAACTCACGTGATCTGCCTGCCTCAGCCTCCCAAAGTGCTGAGATTATAGGCATGAACCACCATGCCTGGCCTTAGTCTTAGGCTTTTTTGAAAAAAAAAAAAAATAGATAAATTTATCAAAAATTTTGATCACCCTGACATCCCATATCTCTTGAAATTTTTCCTGAACTTGCCTATCTACTTGAACACTTCCTTCAAAGGCATTTTCATGATGAATTTTATGTGGCAAACTTCTGAGGTCTCCCCTGCCTGAGGATATTTGTATTACTCTCACATTAAAATGAAAATGTGGCTGTCTACAAAACTTCAGAGTTATTTTCCTTCGGTACTTAAAGAAATAAATATATGATCATAAGAAAAACTATATGATAATTTTAAAAAGGCATCTGACAAAATTTAATCCCTATTCATGATAAAAAAAAAAAAAACTTTCAGCAAACTGAGAATAGAGGGATACTTTCTCAGCCTGACAGGGCATCTGTTAAAAACCCACAGTTAATATTCTTAGAGTGAAAGACTGAATGCTTTTCCCTTAATATCAGGAACAAAGCAAGGATGTCCACCTTCAACACTATTGAAAGTGCTTTAGTATATTCATTATACTAGAGCTTTAAGCCGTTAGAGAACAAGATATAAAAGGCATGCAGACTGGGAAGAAAAAGTAAAAGTATCTTTATTCACAGATAATATGATCATGCACATAGAAAATCCTAAATAACGTAGAAAAAAGCTACTAGAGCTATTGATTTAGCACTGTCACAGGATACATTATACAATTAATGGTATGTCTATATATGAGCAATAAGCAAGTAGAAATGGAAATGCTTAAAATACCATTATAATAGCATCCCAGAACATGAAATACTCAGGGGCAAGTCTAATTCAGTTATTGAAAGCATACTTTGTCTTAATAGTCTAGTCATTCTGTTCTCTGAAGTTCTTGTGCTCTAGTCCTGCAATAGTGTCTACTCTTTTGTCTCTTGTCAAAGCATAACTCAAAGACAATAGTTATCTTCATGCAAATGATATGCTCACTTTAAAGAAAATAGTCATTAAACTCTATCAACAAAAAAAGGATCTGTAAGACAGAAATCCCCAACTTTTTGGCACCAGGGACCAGTTTCATGGAAGACAATTTTTCCATGGAAGTGGTTGGGGGAGGGACAATGGTTTCAAAATGAAACTGTTCTACCTCAGATCATCAGGCATTAGTTAGATTCTCATAAGGAGTGTGCAACCTAGATCCCTTACATGCGCAGTTCACAGTAGGGTTCGCGTTCCTGTGAGAATCTCATGCCGCCACCGCTGATCTGACACTGACAGGAGGCATAGCTCAGGTTGGTAATGCTCACTCGCCCACCCAGTGCTCACTTCCTGCTGTGCAGCTGACCCACACTAGTTGGGGGGTGAGGGCCCCTGTAAGAAATAAGGGAGATAACAATAAAAAACTAAAGACATACTGGGAACGATAAGTTTTTGGATTTTTTTGGTTTTATATTTGAGTGGAGGAAAGCTGATTAGCTGGCATCCAGCAAAGAGTCTAGTCTGTGAAGCGTGCCCTTGAGCAGGCTGGCTAGGGTCATCAAACAACAACTTTAGTTACTTATAGATTCTGATGACCTGGAGATTTTAACCGTGGAGTATTTGTGCCAGGCTGATACTATAATGTTGCATTAGGCCTATACCATTTCCTCCTCAGAATTTCTCAGCACTTACTCATGGTTGATTATTTCCTTGAGCGTTTTTATAATTTTTGATGACGAGTTCATTTTTAGTGGGGCTTTGTCTATGGGAGTCCTATGTGGCCTGGGCTGAGGCTATGTTTCCTCAAAGAGCTTTGATGTTTGCTTCTATCTGCCTGCTATACATTTTTAGTTATTTTTTTAACTTGTGGGTTCCTGGTTTATATAGGTAGTATTAGACTAAACTCCAGACCTGAGTGCGGGCAGAGTGTAATTATAAATGCTCAGGGAAAATTTTTTTTTCCCCAGTCAAGGGGGCAAGGCCAAGATATACAGCTTTACTGTGTTTCTCTGTGCATCTCTGCAAATTTTGTTTCTGGTTCATATGTACTTCAATCCCTGAAGGTGTGAGAGGTAGAAACCACTCAGAGTTTCTCCCATTCTCTCACTCAACAACAAAAAACACGGAAGACATCTCTACCAAAATGTGGGGAGGGGCGGGGGGCTCTTCCCACACTGGAGGAAGCACATCAATTCTGCAGCAGACACCAGCTGGGAGGCCTCCAATTCAATTCAATTCTGATGCCATCTACCTAGAGATAACCTCAGAAACCGCAGGTTGAGGGTTCAGTTTTACAAAACAGCCCTCTCTTTCCCACCAGTCGCAAGTCCAAGGCCCCTAAAACATCTGACTGAATAGCTTTTAGATGGATTTCCCAAGACCCCCTCTTTATTACAGTTTATTACAAAGGCTATTTTAAAGTATACGAATAAACAGCCAGATGAAGAGATACATAGGGTGAGGTCTGGAAGGGTCCTGAGCACAGGTGCTTCTGTCCCCATGGAGTTGGAGTGCACCACCCTCCTGGCCTGTGGATGTCTTCTCATTCATCTTCCTGTCAGCCTCCATGTGTTCAGCTCTCTGGAAGCTCTCCAAGCCCTGTTATTTTGGATTTTTATGGAGGCTTTATTACATAGGCACAGTTGACCAAACCATTAGTCATTGGTGATCAACTTAACCTTCAGCCCCTCTCTCCTCCCTGGAGGTTGGAGGTGGGGCTAAGAGTCCCAACCTTCTAATCACACCTTGGTCTTTCCAGTAAAGAGCTGTCATTCTGAATTACCTGGGGGCTGCCAGCCATCAGTCAACCATTAGCTTACAAGAAGACATCACTGTGGAGTCTTTAAGGATTGTAGGAGTTGTATGCTAGAAAACAGGGTCAAAGACCAAATATATATTTCACAATATCACAGAAGGTATAGGCCTTGGAGAGTCCTAGCCATATGTGAAAGTATCAGACCTGTCTCTTTACTCTTTTTAACACAAAATTTCTTCCCTTGTTGCAGTCTCCATTAAAACTCAGAATTGACCAGGTGTGATGGTTCATGCCTGTAATCCTAACATCTTGGGAGGCCGAGACAGGAGAATCGCTCAAGTCCAGGAGTTTGAGACCAGCCTGCACAACATAGGAAGACCCTGTCTCTATAGAAAAACTTTTTTTTTTTTGGAGACAAAGTCTCACTCTTGTCCACCAGGCTGGAGTGCAATGGCGCCATCTCAGCTCACTGCAACCTCTGCCTCCCAGGTTCAAGCAAATCTCTTGCCTCAGCCTCCAGAGTAGCTGGGATTACAGGCGCCTGCCACCACGCCCAGCTAATTTTCTTTGTATTTTTAGCAGAGACGGAGTTTCACCATGTTGGCCAGGCTGGTCTCGAACTCCTGACCTCAGGTGATCCACCCGCCTCGGCCTCCCAAAGTGCTGGGATTACAGGTGTGAGCCACTGTGCCCGGCCTATAGAAAATTTTTTAAAAAATAGCCAGGCGTGGTGGTGTGGGCCTGTAGTCCAGCTACCCAGGAGGCAGAGGTGAGAGGATCGCCTGGGCCCAGGAAGTCAAGGCTGCAGTGAGCTATGATCCTGCCACTGCACTCCAGTCTGGGTGACAGAATGAGATCCTGTCTCTTTAAAAAAAAAAAAAACCCAACTAAAGGAACCAAAAAAAAAAAATCTCAAAGTCCCTGTAAACCAGTAAAACTGTAAACCCCCCAGGGAAGCCTTGGTATCAGCTCATCAACATTCTTCCCTTCTCTCCACTAAGTTAGCTCCTTCTTAATTTTTTGAATATTGAGAATTTTCCCTACTTTATTGTGAGCTTAGCTCTCCAATTAACTGAAAGCTTGGGTTTTACATTTATGGAATATAATCATATTTGTGAAGAATTTATATTTTGTATTTGAGTATAATAATATTCTAAAGAAAAATTATAAAATATATTGAGTATGAGTGTTTTGAATAGAATATGAGAAGAAAACTTGAAGAAAATCTGGAATAAAAATATACCATGTGATATTCATAAGAGTACCTTACTATTCATTGGATATTTTCTTTTTTTTTTTTCCCCTGGAGATAGGGTCTTGCTCTGTCACCCTGGCTGGAGCGCAGTGGTGCGATCTCAGCACACTGCAGCCTCAACCTCCTGGGCTCAAGCCATCCTCCTGCCTCAGGCCCTGGAATAGCTGGGACTACAGGCACACTGCCAGCACGCCTGGCTAATTTTTGTATTTTTTGTAGAGACAAGGTTTCACCATGTTGGCCAGGCTGGACTCGAGCTCTGGGCTCAAGCAATCTGCCTGCCTTGGCCTTCCAGAGTCCTAGGATTATGAGCGTGAGCCAGCCTGCCACAGCCTTCATTGGATATTTTCAAGAGTACTCTTAGTTTTTGGTAAATCATACATTTGGCAAATGGGGTAGCTTGGATACTGAAGTAACTAATCCTTCAACAAATTGGCCTTTAGGGATATGGGCTGCTGCCATTCAGCTTTCAGTATTTTTCTGTAATACAGATCTGTTTGTTGCACTGCACTTGGTTTTCAATTATTTATTTATTTATTTCAGTGATGGGGGTTGTCTGGCTATGTTCCCCAGGCTAGATTTGAACTTCTGGGTTTAAGCGATCTTCCCACCTCAGCATCCTGAGTAGCTGGGACTACCGGCATGCACCACCACACCCACTTGTTTTTTTAACAATATGTTGAGCTGGGTGCAGTGGCTCATGCCTATAATCCCAGCACTTTGGGAGGCTAAGGTGGGCGGATCACTTGAGGTCAGGAGTTCGAGACTAACCTAGCCAACATGGTGAAACCCCATCTCTACTAAAAATACAAAAATTAGCCGGGCATGGTGGTGGGCGCTTGTAATCCCAGCTACTTGGGAGGCTGAGGCAGGAGAATCTATTGAACCTGGGAGGCGGAGGTTGCAGTGAGCTGAGATTACACCACTGCACTCCAGCCTGGGCAACAAAGTGTCTCAATAAATAAATAAATAAATAATATGTTGACACATGCCTGGTCAGAATAAATTAACCTGACTGTATCAACTGACTCATTTGATGTGAAAAGGCAATTCACAAACCAGTTCCTAAGCTGACTTCTCCCCTGCCACCTCCCCCAAAAAAACCCATGTTTATTTTTCATTTTTCCCTAAGCAACATTAATAATTGATTCTGGCTAGGGAAAGACCATGTTAACCCCCGTTGAAAGGGATTAAAAGTCAATGGAAGATAAAAATAAAGTGGCTTTTGTGGATACAACCCATACTTCCTATGTGTTCAGCATACCAGTTCCACAAGATTCCTTTCTTAAAAACCATTCTGCCTTGAGTTCTTAGATACACTACAACAGTGCCACCCAGGTGTCAGCTAAGATCTTATTTTTTGGAGGTCTGGGTATAATGGGATCAGACTTAACCTGGAAAGTTTGGGTTTGTCCGGTAATATCTGCTCATTCTCAGAGACTTACTCACTTGAGGTGCCCTTAGTCTCTTATTTCTGTGTCTGTTTTGCTTCCCACCCTGCCCCCTCATCAGTGAGGATGCAGAAATCAGCATTTCTTAGCATTCCCTCCACAGAAGAATCTCCTCCCACACAGAGCAGTTGTGAGTCGTGAAGACTTTACTGAAGCCTTACCATCTCCTCAGAGTGGAGCAGTGCTAGATGGTCGGGGAGACATATTTAGTTAATTTTGGTTTAGTTCCACACACTGAGTATATGCCATTGCCCAGGTACTGTGCTAAACAGTGGAGATCGGAGTAAGTGATGCTCCCTATCCTCAAGATACAGTCTAGATGGGGAGAGAATGTAAAATAATATGGTAAATGGTAAATGCTTGTTAGAGCCCAGGTCGCCATGGGAGCACACAGTGGGGGCACTTAAGCCTATGGTGAGGATAGGGAGAGTCAAGGAAGACTTCCCTCTATGATAAAATAGAGGAGTGAATAGATGAGCCTTCTCATGGACCACAGCCGAATGTCAATTGGTCTGAGTTGAGAAACTCTCAAGCCCAGATTTTTTGAATAAGGTGATTTCAGATTGGTAGAGCCCCCCCAGGTGCCTAGAAAAAGCAACTGGACGTCCTTTCAGAAGAATATAAAATTATCCTAAGCATCAGATGATTTCTACAATAATTTTTCAAATGCAATGTCCTACACAATTAAAGACAACTAGACATGAGGAAACAAGACAGTGTGAACACAAACTAGAAGAAAGAGCAATCAACGGACCTCCACAGCTTGAGACACTGGAATTCTCAGACAGAGGTTGTTAAACACTGCTTACTATCTTCAAAGAAATAAAAGCCAAATTTAAAAATTTTCACATGGGAGCTAAAAGCTACAAAAAGTAACAAAACATTAGAAAAAAGAACTAAATAGAAATTTGTGAACAGAAAAATATAACGGATAGATTGAACTACAGTTTAGACACACGAAAAGAGAGAATCAGTAAATTGGAAAATATGCCAGAGGAAACTATTGTATCTAGAATGAAGAGAGACAAAAAGATAGAAAATACAAAAGGATAAGAGTCACAGAGAATTCAGTGAGGTCTTACTTGTATGTAGTTGGAGTCACAGGAGGAGAGGAGAGAATGAGCAAAGACAGTATTTGAAGAGATAATATCTAAAAATTTTCCAGAACCAATGAAAGATTACAAGATCAGGATCAAAAAGAGTGACAAATCCCAAGCAAAGTTAATGAAAAGAAACCTAAGCTAAGCACATTAAAATAAGTCTGTAGAAAACCAAAGAAAAATAATATTAAAGATAGAGGAGAAAAAAAGATTTTTTTTTTTTTTTTTTTGAGATGGAGTCTCGTTCTGTTGCCCAGGCTGGAGTGCAGTGGCGTGATCTCGGCTCACTGCAGGCTCCACCTCCCGGGTTCACACCATTCTCCCACCTCAACCTCCAGAGTAGCTGGGACTACAGGCATCCGCCACCACGCCCGGCTAATTTTGTTTTTGTGTTTTTAGTGGAGACAGGGTTTCACCGTGTTAGCCAGGATGGTCTCAATCTCCTGACCTCGTGATCTGCTCTCCTCGGCCTCCCAAAGTGCTGGGATTACAGGCATGAGCTACCGCGCCCGGCAAAAAAAAGATTATTATTAAAGGAGCAACAGACGGCTGACTTCTCACAACAGGAACAGTGGAAGCCAGAAAACAGTATATCTTCAAAGTGCAAAAGAAAACTGCTCACCTAAAATACTACAGCCAGCTAAAATATCCTTCAAGAGTAAACGTGAGAAGACATTTTTAGAAAAAAACTGAGTGATTTATCCACCAGCAGAAACACTAATATTGGGGTTTTTTTGGTGTTTTTTTTTTTTTTTTTTTTTTTTTTTGAGACAGGGTCTCACTCTGTCACCCAGGCTGGAGTATAGTGGCACGGTCATGGCTCACTGCAGCCTCAACTTCCTGGGCTCAAGTGATCCTCCCACCTCTGCCTCCTAAGTAGCTGACCACTGGCATACACCACCACGCCCAGCTAGTTTTTGCATTTTTTGTAGAGACGGGTTTTTGCCATGTTGCCCAGGCTGGTCTCTAACTCCTCGGCTCAGGTGATCTGCCCACCTTAACCTCCCAAAGTGCCGGGATTACAGGCGTGAGTCATTGCACCCAGCCTTGTATTAGTTTTCTCTTTCTGCATAACAAATTACTACCAGTTTTGCAGCTTAAAATAACACCCATTTATCATCTCACAGTTCTGTAGATCAGAAATCTAGGCAGGTTGTGAAAAAACATTACAAAAAAAAGAAAAAGAACTCCAGGCCAGGATCAACTATGTCCTCCACACAGTATCACAAGACTGAAATCAGGGTGTTAACTGAGGCTAGAATCTCATGTGAGGCTCAAAGCCCTCTTTCAAGCTCAGGTGGTGGAAAGGGAAATTAAAAAAAAAAAAAAAAAAAAAAAAAACTTGGGCCATGTGTGGTGGCTCACACTTATATCCAGCACTGTGGGAAGCCGAGACAGGTGGATTGCTGGAACTCAGGAGTTCGAGACCAACCTAGGCAACATGGCAAAACCCTGTCTCTACGAAAAATATAAAAATTGACCAGATGTGGTGACACACACCTGTGGTCCCAGCTGTTTGGGAGACTGAGGTTGGAGGATGGCTTGAACACAGGAGGTTGAGGCTGCAGTGAGCTGTGATTGCACTACTGCACTCCAGCGTGGGTAATGTGAGACTGTTTCAAAAGAAAAAAAAAAAGTCCCACGTTTGAAATCATATAAAGTTTACTCACTGGTATAATGCAGTTACACCAGAGGGGTAGGGGGGGAAGCTTTAAAAGCCACATTTATTTTGAAATTTAAAAACACTTCTAGTCATGCCTGCAATCCCAGCACTTTGGGAGGCTGAGGTGGGTGGATTACTTGAGGTGAGGATTTTGAGACCAGCCTGGCCAACATGGCAAAACTCTGTCTCTACTAAAAATACAAAAATTAGCTGGGTGTGGTGGTGGGTGCCTGTAATCTCAGCTGTTTGGTAGGTTGAGGTGGGAGAATCGCTTGAACCTGGAAGGTGGAGGTTGGAGTGAGCCAAGATTGCACCACTGCACCCCAGCCTGGGGCAATAGAGTGGGACTCTGTCCCAAAAAAAGAAAACAAAACAAAACAAAAAAACACTTCTAGGCTGGGTACAGTGGCTCATGCATGTAATCCTAGCACTTTGGGAAGCTAAGGTAGGAAGACTGCTTGAGGCCCACAGTTCTGAGACCAGCCTGGTCAACATAGCCAGACCCCATGTCTATAGGAAAAATTTAAAAACTACCTGGCTGTGGTGGTACACACCTGTAGTTCTAGCTACTTGGGAGGCTGAGGCAGGATTGCTTGAGCCCAGAAGTTTGGGGCTGCAGTGAGCTATGATAGCGCAACTACACTCCAGCCTGGGCAACAGAGCACGACCCTGTCTCAAAATACATAAATAAATAAAGAAATAAATAGCTCTTCTAAATAACATGTAGGTCAAATAAGATATCATAAAGGAAATGTAAAAAAATTTTTGAACTGAATGTTAACAAAATTTCTGTGTATCAGTGCTTATAGCTAACACGGGGGTACAGCTAACACAGAAATATATATCCTTAAATGCATGTATCTTAAAAATAAGAAAGATTGAAAATTAATGAGCTGAGATTGAATTGCAAAAAGCCAGAAAAATAAGATATGGGATGCTATATTATTATTCACAAAGATTCACTGCCCATCTCTGGGCATTGGTATTAGGCTGAGTCATATTTCTTCCTCTGGTCAGTGGAATATGTACAGAAGTGTTATGTGTCACACCTAGACAGAAGTTTTAAGAATCAACATATGGTTCACCATATCATCTCTTCTCCTTCTGCCATGATAATTGTCAATGTTTTAGACAGTGGCTGCTTTGCTAGCTTGAGCCCCAGAGTGAAGAAATATGGAGAAAAGCCCAGCCAAGCTGGGTGGAATAGGTGGCAGGAGTGAGAAATAAACTAAGTTGGTGAAAGCCCTGAGATTTTGGGGGGAGTTTTTTACTATGTATCATAACCTAACCTTTCCCTACTGTTATTTAAGTACAGAAGAAACTTGAATACAATAAGATAAATGAAATAATAAAGATAACAAAATTAATGCAGTGGAAAGCAACATGTAATAGAGAGGATCATTATAAACAAAAACTGGTTCTTTTTTCAAAAGTAATAAAATTTATAAATCCCTGGAAAATTATCAAGAAAAATTTTAAAAAGAGATAATGCACAAATAATGAATATGAATACCAGTAATGAAAATTCAAATAGCACTATAAATTCTACGAACACTTAAAAGATAAGCAGATTTTATAATTAACTTCATGCCTAAAATGTAAAAAGCTAGATGAAACGTATTCCTAGGAAAAAAAAAAAAAACTTACCAAAAATTGACCAAAGAAGAAATGGAAATTTGAAGTCCTATAATTTTTTTTTTTTTTTTTTTTAGACAAAGTCTCACTCTTGTACCCCAGGCTGGAATGCAGTGGCGCGATCTTGGCTCACTGCAACCTCTGCCTCCCAGGTTCAAGCGATTCTCCTGCCTCAGCCTCCCAAGTAGCTGGGATTACAGGCGCCTGCAACCACGTGCAGCTAATTTTTGTATTTCTAGTAGAGACAGGGTTTCAGCCTGTTGGCCAAGCTGGTCTCGAACTCCTGACCTCAGGTGATCCACCCGCCTCAGCCTCCCAAAGTGCAGGGATTACAGGCGTGAGCCACCGCACCCAGCCTGAAGTCCTATAATTTTTAAAGAAATCCAATCAGTAATTTTTAAACCTTCCCATAAATAGCTGAATGGAAAAATAATGCTTTATATGAACTCTTTGGAGAAAAGAAAAAAATATATATACCCTCTGATTCATTTACAAAGCTATCATAATTTTGATGACCAAAAGCCAATGAAGACAGTTCCAGATGAGAAAATTTAGCCGTATCTCATGGATACCAGAATTCTAAACAAAACATTTTATTAGCAATTCAAATCAAACAATATATAAAAAGGAAAATACATATTGATCAATGTGATAGACAGAATAATGGCCCCCAAAGATGTTTATGTCCTAATCCTTGAAATCTATGAGTGTTATTTATTTAGGAGTGCAGTGGTGCAATCATGGCTCACTGCAGCTTTCAGCTGTAGCTGGGATTATAGGCATATACCATCATGCCTAGCTAATTAAAAAAAATTTTCTTTTAAATATAGACAGGGTCTGGCTCTATTGCCCAGGCTAGTCTCGAACTCCTGGCCTCAAGCAATCCTCTCGCCTCAGCTTCTGAAAGTGCTGGGCTTACAGCCATAAGCCACCATGCTCAGATTGAATGTTATTTTACATGCAAAAAGGACTTTGCAGAGGTGATTAAATTGAGGACCTTGAGATGGGGAGATTATCTTGGATGATCTCCATGAGCCCAATATAATCACAAGAGTCTTTCTAAGAGGGAAACAGGAGGGTCAGAGTCAGAGTAGAGGTGCCCATGGAAGCAAAGGTTGGAGTGATGAGCTTTGAAGATGTAGAAAGGGGTCACCAGCCAAGGAATGCAGTCGGCCTCTAGAACTGATCTTCCCTTTTCATGTTTCTAGAGGCCAGCTGGTTCTTTGGGGGAAAAAACAAAAACAGACAATAATAAATAAATAAATAAATAAATAAATAAATAAAATTGATAAATCCCTGTCAAATCATGAGTAGTAGATTTGAGAAGAAATGCAGCTCTGCCAACACCTTGATTTAGTTCATAAGACCTACTTTGGACTTCTGACCTCAGGAATTTTAAGATAATGAATACATGTTGTTTAAAGCCATTTAAATGTGTGCTAATTTGTTAAGAAGCAATAGGAAATTAATACAACTAAGTTGATTCCAGAAATGTGAGGACGGTTTAACCTTTGAAAATCAAAGTATTTCACCATATTAATGGATCTAAGGAAGAAAAATCATATGACAATCTCAGTAAGTGCAAAGAAGTATTCGTAAAATTCAATTTCAATCATAATGTTTTTAAAAAACCTTTAACAAACTAGGAATAGAAAAAACTTCCTAAATCTGAGAAAAGATATCAGAAAGCAATGTAGGGCTTCTGGGATTCTTTTTTTTTTTTTTGAGACAGAGTCTTGCTCTGTCACCCAGGCTGGAGTGCAGTGGCGGGGTCTTGGCTCACTGCAACCTCTTCCTCCTCGGTTCAAGCAATTCCTGTGCCTCAGCCTCCCAAGTAGCTGGGATTACAGGTGCCCCCACCATACTTGGCTAATTTTTGTATTTTTAGTAGAGATGGGGTTTCACCATGTTGACCAGGCTGGTCTCAAACTCTTGACCTCATATGATCCTCGCACCTTGGCCTCCCAAAGTGCTGGGATTACAGGCGTAAGCCATTGTGCCCAGCCTGAAACCTTATTTATTGACCCTAGTTGATGGTTAATAAGAGTTTGCTGTATAATGATTACATCTATGCACTTTCTTTTGTGTTATTTTACACAACAAAAAATGTTTTTAAAAGAGAAGAAAAAGAGGAAGAAAAGAAAGAGAAAGAAAGATTAATATAGAAGCAGGTGGAGGCCAGGTGCAGTGGCTCAGGCCTGTAATCCCAGCAATTTGGGAGGCCAAGATGGGTGGATCACCTGAGTTTAGGAGTTCGAGACCAGTTTGGCCAACAAGGTGAAACCCCATCTCTGCTAAAGATACAAAAATTAGCCAAGAGTGGTGGTGCATGCTTGTAGTCCCAGCTACTCAAGCAGCTGAGGCAGGAGGATCGCTTGAACCCAGGAGGCAGAGGTTGCAGCAAGCGCAGATCGCACCACTGCACTCCAGCCTGAGCAACAGAGTGAGACTCCATCTCAAAAAAAAAAAAAAAAACAGATGGAGCAAAGATATATTTTAAGGCTCAAAACTGCTATAATCTCTGAGTGGCCAGACACTCAAGGCTAGCCTTAGGAGTGATGGGACTTAAAACCAGACCAGCTAAGCTGCACTGAAAAGGCTCTGAGCCCTTGTGGGTTGGGATGGCTTCTCTCCCTCAGGATGGCAGTAGCTGGGCAGAGAACCAGCACTGGGCAAGATGGAGAAATCATGGGCTCCTGCTCTGGAGAGGGGCCCATTGTAGCAGTCTTGCAAAATGACATAGAAGCCACTAACAAGAATTAAGAGTCACCTGGGACCCCGAGGAACAGAAGGGACTGGGATGGTGGGAGGGAGGGCAGTGCCTGGAGAGATATTGGTATCTCAATCATGAAGTGAGTGGCTGGGGATAAAAAACACCCCAAAGCTCTCATCTCCAAGTGTGGGAAAATCTTCAACATTCTGAGATTCTAAAATTAATATAACAAATAATTACTGAGTGTCTACTATGTGCAAGCACAAAGAATTCATGATTCTGAAGCTTGCCTTTGTAGGACTTCATCTCTTAGCGTAATGATTACATGTAGTTTTTCTGGCAGCTGACAAAGGAAAAGACCATATAGCCAGCTCCTGGCAGAGTTTTAATGACAACATTCTGGGAGGGCTGGTTCAGTATTGAAATTAAGTAAGACATAAGATACCATGGGCAGGATGTGCTCTGAGCCAATGATCATGGTAATGAGTAAAAGTTGATTTCCGAATGTAGCGATCCTGAGCCATGCACATGACTACATAAAGTTGGGAAGGCAGTTGTCATTGTGCTCTACTTCGCATATACTGATGATCTGAGTGGCTGAAATGACTGTTGATCATGAAGCAAATGTTTAATTTATATTTAAATTTAGGATTTCTAGGGTGACAGCAAGGTGGAGTGTCATAAAAAAGTCAGAGCACTGGTCAGAAATCTAGCATGTGCTGGGAACACAGGGCTCTAAGGGACCCCACATGGTAAGTATGAAAGAAGAGGCCAGAGTGGAAGGTGGGGAGGGCATCTCATTAGGCTTGGTGCTCTACTTCTGATGGCTGGGAGCACTTGGTGACCTCCAGCCCAACTACTCACAGCCATTGTGACAACTAGTATAAGAATGATTTGATGAAGGCGAGGAGAATGTCATAATAATCATCCATAATAAATTTTTGAGTCAGTACACAGGAAGAACAGAAACCATCTACACCTAAGGTACTGTTGACCTTGACATGGCTTTACTATTGCAGGAAACTCTTACCCAGGATGATAAAAGTTGTAAATAACTTCACTGTTTTTTGCAGAAGTTTTCAGAAGAAACCATTTAAATGAACTCGATGACTTTTGTTTTTGAGACAGAGTCTTGCTCTGTTGCTCAGGCTGGAGTGCAGTGGCACAATCTCAGCTCACTGCAACCTCTGCCTTCCGGGTTCAAGCAATGCTTGTGCATCAGCCACCTGAATTGCTGGTATTATAGATGCATGCCACCACGCCCAGCTAATTTTTGTATTTTTAGTAGAGACAGGGTTTTGCCATGTTGGCCAGGCTGGTCTTGAACTGGCTGGTCTCCAACTCCTGACCTCAAGTGATCCACCCACCTCAACCTCCCAAATTGCTGGCATTACAGGTGTGAGCCACCCAACCCGGCCTGTGACTTTTCAATAGATAGACTCAAACTGCTTTTTATTCTCTAAAACACTTTAAAAACCCTCCCCTCATAGGTTGCAGTAAGCCTGGATGACAGAGGGAGACTCTGTCTCAAAAACAAAAACAAACAAACAAAAAAACCCGCACTTCAAAACCATCACTTTTGCCCTATCCCAACAATCCCAATCCTGGAATAAGGTATGAAGACTACTGCTCTTTTTTTTTTTTTTTTTTTTTTTTTTTTTTTTGAGACTGAGTCTCGCTCTGTCGCCAGGCTGGAGTGCAGTGGCATGATCTGGGCTCACTGCAACCTCCGCCTCCCGGGTTCAAGCGATTCTCTTGCCTCAGCCTCCTGAGTAGCTGGAACTACAGGCGCGCACCACCACGTCCAGCTAATTTTTGTATTTTTAGTAGAGACAGGGTTTCATCATGTTGGCCAGGATGGTCTTGATATCTTGACCTCGTGATCCACCCACCTCGGCCTCCCAAAGTGTGGGGATTACAGGTGTGAGCCACCACGCCGAGCCCTAAGACTACTGGTCTTTAAGGCCTTTGATTACTAGACCAACACCCCTGAGAAGCGTTGGTCACTAGATGGCTGAAGGCTTGTCCCTGCTGGAAAAGAGCTGTGAAGGGGTCAGGCGTGTGTGGAGGAACAGCTCATTACAAATGTGAGCCATGACAACTGTTCCTCCCCACACTCTTTCATCCTGAGCCCAGGAGTTCAAGGCTGCAGTGAACTATGATACTGTTGTATCATGATCCTTGCCCAGTCCTAATCAAGTCCCGTCATTGGAAGAGCTGCTTTAAAATAAACTCCTTTCTTGCCACTGAGCTTAAGCAAAAAAAATAAAAAAACAAAACAGACCCCAACACTTCATAACTATTCCAACTTTGCCTTCCCTATTCCAGACACTGCTATGACTCTGTCAGGGTAGTGTTCTCCCTTCCTGCCATGAGAACAAGCTAAGCTTTGCGTTATCACAAAAATTGTCTTGATGGTATTTGCTGTCACCCAAATGTGTACATTTACTTTTCTAGATAGCATTCAATTATTGAGGCCCGCAGTGATCCAACTGAGACCTCCTCAACACTGCAGTCCAAGACCCCTGACTCGGAAACAGGGTGATCCTCTGAGGCTCTTAAGCTTCCTGCTTGGAGTTCTTTCAGACTGAAACAATGAGAGATGCAAGTCTTGTATTGGACCCAAGCTCCAATTTCTTTTTTTAATTTTTCTTTTAGGTGTGATGGCTCACACCTATAATCCTAGAGACTAGGGAGGCTGAGGTGGGAGGATTGCTAGTGGCCAGGAGTTTTGAGACCAGCCTGGGCAACATAGCAAGATTCAGTCTCTTAAAAAATTAGAAAACATAGCTAGGGGTGGTGGCGTGTGCCTGTAGTCCCAGCTACTCGGGAGGCTGAGGCTGGAGGATGGCTTGAGCCCAGGAGTTCAAGGCTGCAGTGAGCTATGATTGCACCATAGCACTCCAGCCCAGGTGACAGAGCAAGACCCTGTCTCTAAAAACATAAAAAATAATAAGAAATAAATATATTTGCTTATTTAGCTTCCCAAATACTGAGCTTATTTTCTCTTCTACCAATAAAGAACTCTTTATCTGACCATATTTGAAAATCTTTTCCCCCTTGTGGATATCTGCCTTATTACTAACAACGCTACTACTTGTCTGTGTTCATCCTTGTCATTTTTTTGTTGTGCATCTGTAAGAGGAAAGTTTTTAGAGAAGAAGATAGGTGTAGGTCTCAGTCTGTCCCTTAGCTGGCCCAGGGACAAATTTTGTCTCTGATCAAAACTTTATGAGAACTTTTCTCAGACGTGTCTTATTTTGTCTTTAAGAGTTTGGTTCAGGACAATCTCTCCGGACCCTCTGTCTGCTGGGAACTGTAAATTCATCAGGATTACAGTTGGAAAAGGTCTAGCTATGAGGCTGGGGGGTCCTGAGCCACAGGATACACAAGCAACTGTCAGCTCACCATTCGCAGACTCTCATGGTTCTGTCTTAATATCAACCTGTCTATGGCTTCCTCGGGCCAGACTTCTGCTTCTTGCATGTATTTATGCTGTCACCCAAATGTGTACACTTACTTTTATAGACAGCATCATCATTTCCCCAAAGATAATTTAGAATTGCGGTAGCCACTATGAGGAATTTCTGATATGCACAAAAGTATTCACTTTAGAATGCAAAGTGAACACAATTCCAAACATCCAGTGGTCTTCTTTTTTTTCATTAGCATGAGCAAGCATACAAAAGAAACAGGATTCCAAATTTTTTTTTTTTTTTTTGAGATAGGCTCTCTGTCACCCAGGCTGGAGTGCAGTGGCACGATCTCAGCTCACTGCAACCTCTGCCTCCTGGGCTCAAGCGATCCTCCCACCTCAGCCCCTCAAGTAGGTGGGACCACAGGCACCTGCCCACCATGCCAGGCTAATTTTTGTATTTTTTGTAGAGATGGGTTTTTGCCATATTGCCCAGGCTCGTCTCGAACTCCTGAGCTCAAGTGATCTGCCCACCTTGGCCTCCCAAAGTGCTAGGATTACAGGAGTGAGCCACCATGCCCAACCCCAAAAATTACTTCCTTAACAGATTTCTTGGCCAAAGCAAAATAAAAAGCTGAACTACTTAAAACTATCTTTTAGACCTCCCCTGCCCCAATATCACAGCTGAAACCTGCTATTTCTTTTCCCCTACCCTATGCTCCTCCATCTCCCTCTGCCCTTTTCTCTCCCTCAGATCCACTCCCCTTTCCTCCTGGCTGGCTAGATACCCCAAAGCTCACTTAACTTCAGAATAGAAAAAAAAAATCTCTATGGTGGATTTTAAGCCCTGTTTTCATTTTTAGCTGAAAGCCATTGTAAAAGACTCTTCAAGGCCTAAATGGGACTTCGAATTGTTTTAGGAACATATCATCCAGAGCAGCCAGATTTATAGCAATTCATTTATATGCCAGTAGGGGCCTCAGAAGCAAAACATTGGATGAAAAAGTCAGAATGGAAAACCCCCCAATGATGATTTTTTATTTATTTTGTAGAGACAGGGTCTCACTAGATTGTCCAGGCTGGTCTTGAATTCCTGGACTCAAGTGATTCTCCCACCTCCTTCTCCCAAAGTGTTAGGATTATAGGCACGAGCTGCCATGCCTGGCCCAACAGTGATTTCAAAGGCCATGGATTGCATAGGAAGCTGAAGGGGTTTGGGGAAGCTGTGAACGTTAGTCAAGGTCTTTTGGAGGCTATCGGCAGTCTTCCCTGTGAAAGCAAAATGTGCTGTAATTAGTTCTTTGTCAAGAGAGAAGTCTGTTCAGCAGGTCATGGACTGAAGAAAACTACTGTGTATATATATGTAAAAGAGAGAAGTCTGATGGAGACTTCAGGGCTAGGTCCTTTACTATCTAGTGGCAGAATTCTGGAGTAGATCTTGAAGCAGAGGTGATGGGACTCTTTTCTCTTTTTGTGAATGGCCTTAAACCAGAAATAGGGGATTTATTATGCAAACAAAAACTAGAATGGGAAACAGCCCCATGGCCAGATCTCCAAAACCTCCTTGAACATTTTGAAAGAGCCCTAGAATTAAGAAACTAAAGAAAAAGAAAAAAGCAAAAATCAAGTCACCAATGAAGGTGTTCAATTTCCCACTCAGCCTTTAAACCCACAAGGAAACATTTCTCTAAAACGTAAAGGACAACCTTACAAACTTGATGGATATAGGAACAAAATATCAATCTTAAACTTGATCACTATTATACCTTTTTTTTTCCTTAATATCAGTAAACTTCTTGGGTCATACGCCTATCTAATAATCCTCAACACAACTTCCCTTTGCCACAGCCTAAACCTGTGCCTCGGACCTTCAACCGAGGGGGTATTCTCTTCTACTTTGTGACACTATACTTTAATAACTTAATAGCAAGGGATTCATTGTGTGAATGGAGTTACCACATGACATGCTCTCCTGAGGATTTTTTTCCTTCTAGTCCCTGAGGCCCTTCCTATCCATAATAAGGTCATAGCTAATTTGGATATTGATTTATCAGTACTTTGGTGTGTAAATCAAGCATTAAGTTGAAGTTCTCTTATAGTCAATAAATTCTATGGGCCCTGTGTGGTGGGTGGTTCATACCTGCAATCAAAGCACTTTGGAGGCTGGGCAGGGTGGCTCATGCCTGTAATCCCAGCACTTTGGGAGGCCAAGGCGGGCAGATCATGAGGTCAGGAGTTTGAGACCAGCCTGGCCAACATAGTGAAACCCGTCTCTACTAAAAATACAAAAATTAGCTGAGCATGGTGGTGCACGCCTGTAGTCCCAGCTACTCGGGAGGCTAAGGCAGGAGAATTGCTTGAACCTGGGAGGCGGAGGTTGTTGTGAGCTGAGATCGTGCCACTGCATTCCAGCCTGGGCAACAGAGCGAGACTCTGTCTCAAAAAAAAAAAAAAAAAGTACTTTGCGGGCCAGGGTGGGAGGACCGCTTGAAGCTGGGAGTTTAAGACCAGCCTGGGCAACACAGCAAGATCCCGTCTCTACAAACAAAATAATAAATTAAAAATAATAGTAAAATAAAGTAAAAATTTTACTGATACTCTACAGGAGCTAAACCCATCAAGGTTCAGACTGACCCATCTAAACCTCTACCCAAAATTGTACAATAGCCTCTAAAACAAGTCACTAAGGAAGGAATAAAATTGGCCAGGCGCAGTGGCTCAAGCCTGTAATCCTAGCACTTTGGGAGGCCAAGGTGGGTTCTTGTTCCTAGTTTTTTTACACCCCTGAGAAATGTTGGTCATCAGAGGGCTGGGGTTTTGTCCCTACTGGAAAATAGCTGTGAAGGGGTCCGGCGTATGTTGAGGAAGAGCTCATTAAAAATGTGAGCCATGAAGACTGTTCCTCCCCACACTCCTTTATGCCCACACATACATGAGTATTGGTGACCCCCTTAAAGCAACAAGCAGTGATTCCCTCTACAGTTAGTTCACTAGGTGCTCTACAACCTGGGGGCAGGGCTGGCAAAGGACTAGGAAAAAAGAGGCAGGAAAGGAGGTCTTATTTCTGCCAAGGTCGCCTCCCTCTTATCAACCCTGCTGTTCACTCCCTGCCCCAGGGCTGACTCCCAGGAATGCCAGGCGTGGGGCAAATCACAG
The DNA here is from genome assembly GCF_000001405.40 of Homo sapiens. Classification (NCBI taxonomy): domain Eukaryota; kingdom Metazoa; phylum Chordata; class Mammalia; order Primates; family Hominidae; genus Homo; species Homo sapiens. Next base: position 46,939,727 of record NC_000002.12, read on the forward strand.
TGTGTTCTCGGGTCACCCTAATCCAACCGCTCTCTCCAAGTGAAATCCGGTTCTGGTGACCATCAAAGGCAGCCAAAGGGTAACAAAAAGCCAGCTTGAGGAGTTGACTGGAGTAAGCCAGGAGTTTACAGACTGCTTGACTAAACTGTCTCTAAATTCCAACTGCCAGAGCAGCTTCAGCTTCCCTTCATCTACCTCCTGGCCTCTGGGGGTTCAGAACAGTCCCCAGGTGCTCAGAGCAGCACCCACCGTTAGGAAATCCTGCCCACCAAACAAGGACTGGAGCTGCATTTAGAACCCGGAGAGGAGGGCCTCCACATGGGAGTCGGGGGTCAGTGGGAACAGGAAGACTGTCTTCAACTAATCACCCTGTGTGGCTTCATGTGAAAGGCCACACGGGACTATGCACTAGGAGCCTGGGTTCTGCTTGACATAAAAACCTTCCCTCGGTTACAGTTGTCCAAAAACACTTAGGGCAGTGGTGAAGACTCCAGAGGGAGGACGTGGAGCACCTTCTAACTCTTAGGAGTCTGCTCAAAAGTTTGCCCTGACCCTGCTGTCTTTTGAGTCTTCAGTCTGGACCATACAATGTGTCACTTAAATGCCGGTGGTTTTTGGTTTCGGGTCTTGCTGTGGCTTCTCCAGCACTGGTCTGTGAGCTGCGGCGGCAGCGGGGCCGGGCCCCTGTAAGAGGTCTCCCCCCAAGGGTGGACCTCGGCTGCCCCCGCTAGGCCCCGCCCCGTAGTCCTGTGAACTTCTGGGCACCCCACAGCCCTGGGCTAAACCCTGCTAAGCACTCCATAGAGCTTTGATCACAGTCTTAGACCAGCATGAAGAAATAAATAAATACCAAGGTGGTGAAACAGCCTAAAGCCTTTAAGAAATCCAGGGCAACAGAGATTCCACAGAGGACAGGTCAACGGGTTAGGGAAGTCAAGTTGGAAAGAGGAACTCCGCTAAAATAAGAAAATACAAATGCTCCCAGCAGAGGGGCGTCCAGAGAGTCGCGGGCCTGGGAACGGGCCTGGGTCCTCGCGAGCATGCCTGGCCCGCATCGCAACAGGGCGGGGCGGACAGCGGCAGGCCAGCTCCCGGGAGGCTCGCCGTCGGGGTTGGGGCCTGTCGGCCGGCCTCTCCCCATTTTTGTGACGTGTCAGGGGCAGCAGCGGTGACGGGGCCACCACACAAAGCCAGGTCGTCGGGCAGTGGTCTCCCAGGCTAAGAGCCCCGATGGGATGGGGAGGGGGCGGGAAGCGAGGCGCCCCCGGGCGCCGGGGCTCCGCGCGGGATTAAAGTGAGCTCCGACTCCGCGGCGGGGGCGGCGGCGGGGGGCGGGTACCCGGGCGGCCGCGAGCGCCCTTCGCGCGCCTGGCTGCTGTGGCCGCGCTGGCAGCCAGCGAGCCCGGCTCGCCGAGGCCTCCCCACGCCCCCGCGGGGGTGGAGCCGCGGCCAGGGGCGGGTCCGCAGCTGGCGGCGCCGGGGCCCGGGGCGGAGGCTGTGGCAGCAGCTGCAGCGGCGGCGGCGGCGGCAGCGCCAGGAGCTGCTACAGCAGAGGCGGAGGTTGCTCCTGTACGCGTACGGGCCGCTCGGCCGGAGCCGCAGCCCGGAGGCGCCGGGCGGTGCGCTGGGAGCTGCTGGTGCTGCTGCTGCTGCTGCTGCCCACCCTCCGCCGCCCGGGCCCCCGCTGCCGCCCGGGCCCCGGCTGCCGTCTGCGCCCCCGTCGACCCCGCCCGCGAGTGCGCCCCAGCCAGGACGCCGCCCCCGGCCGGGTCTCCACTTCTTGGCCGCACCTTCCATGACAGCGCCCGCGAGAAGATGGCTGCGAAGGGCGCGCACGGCTCCTACCTGAAGGTGGAGAGCGAGCTGGAGCGCTGCCGCGCCGAGGGCCACTGGGACCGCATGCCGGAGCTGGTCCGGCAGCTGCAGACGCTGAGCATGCCCGGCGGCGGAGGTAACAGGCGAGGCAGCCCGAGCGCAGCGTTCACCTTTCCGGACACCGGTGAGTAAGGGAAGAGGCTGGCTCGCCGGCAGCGAGCGCGCGAAACGCACCGCCTCCTCCAGGAAGCGCGCCCAGACAGTCCTCGGCCGACAGCGGGCGCCTGCCAGCCCACCGTGCTAGTCTTAAGAGCAGCCAGGGCAGTTAGGAAGGTCCTTCTGCCGCGAGAGAAAAATCACATGTGGTTTGGGGGCTTGGAGGGAAGAGAAACGGCTTTTGCTCTGTGTCCTTTAGGATAATGTGGCTAACTCTGTCTACCGTGAAATGGTGGTATCTGCATATCATGAGATCAGTGCATTGGCTGGACTCTGCCCCCCACCGCGGTCCGAGGGTGGGGTGTCCCTAAACTCCATCAGGTGAAGTGTGTCTGTGTCGTCTTTGTCCATAGTTCTCGCAAGTGACGTTGAAAACGGAGCTCCGTCCGAAGCAGACAGGGGCGAGGGTTTGACGAGCTCCAGGGTGGGGTGGTGGAGAAATGGGGAAGAGGCTTGGCCAGCCTCAGTTTCCTCATCTGTGGCGATCTCGGGACACATCCAGCTCTAGCAGTCGGTGGCTTTAGCAGTAGGGCTGGTTTGGCTGGGCCGGGCTCTTGTGCTGGGGCGGGAAAGCACCCTGATGTGGCAGCGGGGAACACCCCGCCCCAGTCTCTAACCTCAAATCCTGTTCCTGGGGCCTTCAGCTTACCCTCCCTGAGTCCTCTCTGTGGGCACAATCACTTAGGAGGCTTTGTGGAAGGAGGCAGGGAATAAATGAATACAGATATAAATAATTTTTAAAGACTGCTCAGCCTGTTGAAGGCTCTGAGAGGGACAGATCGTGATAGTAATAGTAATAGTCAACGCTTACTTCGTGCTTCCTGTGTGCCAGACACTGTCCTGAGCACTTTAATCAACCCCGTGAAGCAGGTACTCTTGTTTGTCCCACTTTACAGATAAGGAAACTGAGGCACAGAGCAACTAAATAACTTGATCAGCTAGCCAATAAGTTGTGGAACCAGGATTTGTGCCCAGGTTTCTGAGTACATCCTTTAAATCACTTGCACTATTACCTCTCAAAGATGTACAGCACAAAATCCTTGCCCTTGAAGAGCTCCCACAGTGAATGGGGAGGCAAGAAAGTGATCGGAGGGCAATTGTTTGTGGGGTTTTTTTGGTTGTCTTTTTGTTTTTGTTTTTGTTTGTTTGTTTGTTTGTTTGTTTTTGAGACAGGGTCTCTCTCTGTTACCCAGGCTGGAGTGTAATAGTGCGATCTCAGCTCACTGCAGCCTCAACTTCCTGGGCTCAAGCGATCATTCCACCTCAGCCTCCCAAGTAGCTGGGACTACAGGTGCTGGCTACCATGCCCGGCTAATTTTTGCAGTTTTAGTAGAGACGGGGTTTCGCCATGTTGCCCAGGCTGATCTCCAACTAGGCTGAAGCATTCCGCCCACCTGGGCCTCCCAAAGTGCTGGGATTACAGGCATGAACCACTGTGTCTGGCCGCTTTCTCTATTTTTTAAATTCTTGTAAACAACCCTATTAGGAGGGCAGGAGTTATTGTCCCCATTTTAGACATAGGGACACCAAGGCCCAGAGAGGTCATATAATGTGTATGTGGTTAAAGCCTGTACTCAAGCCTGAGTCTCTGCCACCAAGTCTCCTAGTGTCAGAGTTGGGGACACGGAGCCTGGGCTGGCTTCACTGTGGGAACTGGCCAGTATAAGGAAGGAGATGGAGGGTCAGCAGGGTCTCTCCTGCCAGTTTTGGGGTCTGTGAATGATTTTTCTCCCAGTTAAATCCAGATACACTATCACAAAGCATGCACTCACACTGGGACACATAGTCATACATGCATATGCACACACACAAACACGAGGAACAAAAAAAAATGCCTCCCAAAGCCCATGCGTAGAGCATTGTTTGGATTGACTGCTGTTTTGGTCCTTTCTCTACAGGGTTCCTTGATCACTCAAGGGATTGAGAGCTTGTTCTTTTTTGGGGTTTGATGCAGACTCCCCTGCAGCCCTGAAGGGAGATTCTTAACATCCCACCTGGCCTGTTTGACTCTTACAAGTCAGTGATCTGAAGCTTCCACAGTTACAGAATTGGGAGAGGTTCTGAGATGGGGTTGAAACCCATTTTACTGAGGCCTTGAGGTCCAGCGGTGTCTGATATTTCCTACAGAAATGAAAAGTACCTCCTACCCAGAGGTAGATTCAGGGAGGCAGAAAGGGAAGATGAGCTGTGGGGACTCTTTCTGATCTGGAGGGATGAAAGATCAGGAGATACTTAGCAGAGTAGGCCCCTGTACCCTTTTCCTGTCTAAGGTTGCTCCTCACCACCCAACCAGGGGTAAGGTGCTTGCTACTGTCTCCTCACTCACATCCGGTCTAGATTAGGTCAGGATGGAGCAGGGGAACCCCAGAGTCCTGCTTGCTGTGCTGGGGTTTGTTCATATAGAAACAAAGAGCCCATCCAAGTGATTAAAAAACAACTTTATTATGAAGAATTTTCAAAACATTAAAGAACATGAAAGAATGAGTCCCTTGTATCCATCAACCAACAGCAGTGATACGAACTCACGAAGTCTCGTCTGAGCTATGCTCAACCCTTTTCCTTCCACATTTCAGTTTTTCAGTATGTACTTATTAAATAAGAACTCTGGTATTTTGGGTTTTTTTTTTTTTTTTTTTTTTTGAGACAAGAACTTGCTCTTTCACCCAGACTGGAGTTCAGTGGTATAATTATAGCTTACTACACACTCAAACTCGTGGGCTCAAGGGAACCTTCCACCTCAGCCTCCTGACTAGAAGGAAGGGCAGACTGGGCAACAAAGTGAGATCCCATCTCTACCCCCTACTCCCCTAAAAAATATAGCTAGGCATGGTGGCACACACCTGTAGTCCCAGCTGTTTGGGAGGCCAAGACGGGAGGATCACTTGAGGCCAGGAGTTCGAGATCAGCCCAGGCAACATACCTCAGGCACACGTCAGCAAACCCAGCTAATTTTCAAATTTTTTTGTAGAGATGGGGTCTTGCTATGTTGCCCAAGTTGGTCTTGAACTCCTGGGCTTAAGCTATTCTCCTACCTCGGCCTCCCAAAGTGTTGAGATTTCAGGCATGAGCCACCACACCTAGCAATAAGAACTCTTTTTGAAAATATAGCCACTGTACCATTATTACACCTTACAAAAATCTAACAATTACGTTTTACAATTAGTTATTAGAGTCAGGATCCAAATTAGGCGACATAACTGCATTTGATTGTTAGGTTAGGTCTCTGTACCCCACCCAACATTTTGTTATGAAAATTTCAAATATACAGTAAAGGTCAAAAAAATTTGCAGTGAACACCTGTGTACCTATTAACCTTTTGCTGTGCTTGCTTTATTACATATCTGTTCTCTACTCATCTTGAGACTTTCTTTTTAATTTTTTTTTTTATTCTTAGAGACAAGGTCTTACTCTCATAGTTCACTTCACCCTGGGCTCAAGTGATCCTCCTGCCTCAGCCTCCCAAATGGCTGGGATCACAGGTGTGTATGCCACTACACCCAGTTAATTTTTTTTTTAGATGGAGTCTTGCTCTGTTGCCAGGCTGGAGTGCAGTGGTGCGATCTCGGCTCATTGCAACCTCTGCCTCCCGGGTTCAAGCGATTCTTCTGCCTCAGCCTCCCAAGTAGCTGGGACTACAGGTGCGTGGCACCACACCCAGCTAATTTTTGTATTTTTAGAGACGAGGTTTCACCATGTTGGCCAGGATGGTCTCTATCTGTTGACCTCATGTTCCAGCCGCCTCGGCCTCCCGAAGTGCTGGGATTACGGGCGTGAGCCACCGTGCCCAGCTACCTAGTTAATTTTTTTATTTTTTGTAGAGATAGGATTTCACTATGTGGTCCAGTCTGATTTTGAACTCCTAGACTCAAGCAATCTTCCTGCCTTGATCTCCCAAAGTGCTGGAATTATAGGTGTGAGCCACCGTGCCCGGTCTTTGAGTGTCTCTTAATCTGTAGTCACCCTCCCCGCCGCCCCACTTTTTTTTTCTTCTTCTTAAGACTGGAGATTGTTTTGAACATTTCTTCCGTTTCAGTTAGAAGGGGTTTGTTTGAGGCAGATGGTCTCTTGCTAGTTTCAGCCTTTTCCTCTTGGCTGTGGTTGGCAGGTCCCAGCCTTCTATAGTCCTGGGAGGTGAGCAGCTGCAGAAACCACTGTGCCCGTTTGCCCCAGCGGGGAAGGGCCTGGTCTGAATCCTGGCCTGGCTGGCTAGACCAATGTTTCCTGACTGTGAATGGGTGGGTTGTGGAGAGGGGATCACTGTCATCCAAACATGGGGTCTTGAAGGGTATTCCTGTGACCTGGCACTCTTGGAGAGGCCGGGAGGGGATGTGAGCTGCAGGGGCTATAAGGAAGGTGGGCACTGAGGCCTTCCAGACACGATGGGGTTGGGAGACTGGGTGGCCAGTAAATGGGGCTTTGGGGCTTTGGGGCTTTGCTGAGGGCAAGGTGCTGAGCAGGGCTGCAGAATCAGCACCCAGAGTCAGATTCACTATCGGTCTGATGGCAAGGTCTTCTTAAATGCCCCTGGGTAGAGAGAAGCTGCAGCATTTCACCAGAACTGGGATAGGTAGTAGGTTTCGGACAACAGGATGATAAAAAGCAACTTGTTTTCCCTTTGGAAGGACAGGGAAGCCTTTATCCACCTGAATTCTTTTTTTTTAATTTTTTTAATTTTTATTTTCTAGAGATGAGGTATTGCCCTGTTGCCTAGGCTGGAGTGCAGTGGCACAGTCATGGCTCCCTACAGCGTTGAACTCTTGGGCTCAAGCCATCCTTCCACCTCAGCCTTCCAAGTAGCTGGGACTCTAGGCGTGTACCTCTAACATCAGCTAACTTTTTTTGTGTGTAGCGACAGAGTCTCACTATGTTGACCAGGCTGGTCTCTAACTCCTGGTCTCAATCAGTCCTACCACCTCGGCCTCCCAAAGTGCTGGGATTATAGGCATAAGCCACCACAGCAGGCCTGAATTCTTGTTTAACAACTATAAGTCTAGAACTTCTAATTCCGAAACATCCTTCAGTTCCATAGACTGAACAGTTGAGAATAGTTGGATGGAAAGAAAAGAGGAAGGCAAGAGAGAGGTAGGGCAGGGAGAGGAGAGTTGAGCAAAGGAGGAAAAGAAAGTGAATTTTTGCTGCCTGCTGAGTGTCTGGCCATGTTTGTTTACCATGGTAAACAAACAACAAGTAGATTGAGTTGGGGGCTGAAAGGGGCAGGCAGAAAGCCTTCTGTGAAGGACCTGAAGTGTCAATCAACAAAGTAGTCTGAAAGTCACAGGTATATGAAGGTAAGGACAGTTCTTATCCCTGTCCTTGGATTTACAACTAGCTTTTAACGTACTCTTTTAAGTTGTTAAGACTGTTGTTTATTTTGAAATTACCAGCAGCTCCGCTGTGCATGGGTTGCAGGAGAGACAGGGTGTTTTTGGCTCTGTTATGTTTTATTATTGTTACTGGCTGTGACCCTAACAATATTGCATATCTTTATTATCATCTATAAAATGGTGATAATACCTACCTTTCAGGGCTGTAGAGATGAAATGATGCTATATAAAAAAGTGTCTGGCCCATACTAAGCCTTCAACAAATATTAGTGCCTCTTTCGCAGCCAGTCACTCTTATGGTTTAGAGATATGTGGTGAAGGATCAATTTTGTTTTCTTTAAATTCCAAATCTGGCCAGGCATAGTGGTTCACATCTGTAATCCTAGCATTTTGGGAGGCCGAGGCAGGCAGATCACTTGAGCCCAGGAGTTCGAGACCAGCCTGGCCAACATGGTAAAACCCCGTCTCTACCAAAAATACAAAAAATTAGCTGGGTGTGGTGGTGCGTGCCTGTAGTCCCAGCTACTCAGTAGGCTGAGGCAGGAGAATCCTTTAAACCCAGGAGGTGGAGGTTGCAGTGAGCTGAGATTGTGCCATTGCGCTTCAGCCTGGGTGATAGAGACCCTGTCTGAAAATAAATTCCCAATCTGTTATGCTCTGATACTTTCATAAAGTACAATAAAAATGAATTGCTAGAAAAATAAAAGAAAAATACACAAAGTACTACCTCCCAATTTTTTAGTATTAGATTTCAACAGATTTAAAATTACTCTGTCAGATTTCTAAGGTGTACTTTTAAGTTTCTGCACTCATCTCCTTGGTATTGGATCACAAGCATGGAGAGACCCGCAGGCCATGGCCAGCCGCACTTGGAGCAGCCTGGGTCCAAAGGGGCGTGCTCTGGGGAGGAAGCTGGTTTCTCTTGGCATGAAAGTACCCAACCAAACAGCTCAACCAAGCGAGGAGCTCTGGTCCGGGCAGGTGGATGGCAGAGTGCACGGGATGGCCACTGATGGTGCCGTATCTGGTGGCACGGTGGCCCAAGGGCACGGAGTCCTGCCAGTGCACAGAGGAAAGGGGGCAACAAGGCGGGGACCAGCTGGGGGACGGGGCCAGCATCCTGAGGGGTGTGTTTCCCTCTTTAGGCTCTGACTTCAAACCCCACCCCTGGCTTTACAGAGGCAAAGCAGGTTAGAAGCAGGGAGCAACTTTCCCCAAGGCCCACAGCTCTGGAATGTGGCTCTGACTGACTGGATCTATGGGGATGTTCAAAAATAATTTTGATGTACGTTGCCAAATTACCCTAGAGGTTCTACCAACTTATAGTCTGCCAGCAATGAATGATAGTTTGAACCAGGTACTTTTTTGACCATTTCCTTAAAATGTTAATTTTAAAAGTCATGAGGTACATAGCAAAGGATCCCATAACAGGTGCCTTCAGAACGAAACCCCCCTGCGATGGTGTTCTTGGGATTCTGGGCTTTAGAACCGTTCTCTGTGGGGAATCTCCCTTACGGTGAGAGATTCTTCTTCAGAGGCATGAAGTTTTTTGTGTTTTTCTAAAGACGAGGTCTCCCTATGTTGCCCAGGCTGGTCTTGAACTCCTGGGCTTGAGCAATTCTTCCACCTCAGCCTCCCAAGAAGCTGGGACTACAGGCTTGCACTACTGTGCCCAGCTAAGGCATGCAGTTTTGGACTAGTGGCTATGAGATGTTAGCAGACTGTGGTATCCTGAGAGTGAGGAGGCAATGGCAGCCCTGTAGATCTGAGAACACTGTACTGGTAGCAAAAAGAGCACTTTGAAAAAGATGGCACCAAGCAGGCATTCCTAGGGATGTTTTTGGATTGGCACTTAACTCTCGATCCTGATGGCTTCGCTGTGGGGTAGTTGAGAGGATCCAATTCACTCAACAGGTATTTACTCAGTGCTTATATTGAATGGTGGGCCTGCTCCTCACCCCAGTTGCTGGGAGGGGCAATGAGCACAGCCACCCAAGAACCATGGTGAAACCATCTTGACCTCAGACCCTGCACACTGAACACCCGGCTCCCATGCTCGAGCCACCTCTGCTGTAGGTAGCAGGAATCTGGTGGTCACAAGACGAGTTTTCAGTGTGGTAAAGGGAGGCAGCAAATAAACCAAGCAGTATATTATCTTTATTTTTATTTTTTGAGACAGAATCTCACTTTGTTGCCCAGGCTGGAGTGCAGTGGTGTGATCTCGGCTCACTGCAACCTCCGTCTCCCGAATTCAGGCAGTTCTGCCTCAGCTTCCCGAGTAGCTGGGATTACAGGTGCCCATCATCATGCCTGGCTAATTTTTGCATTTTTAGTGGAGACAGAGTTTTGCCATGTTGGCCAGGCTGGTCTCAAACTCCTGACCTCAAGTGATCTGCCTGCCTTGGGCTCCCAAAGTGCTGGGATTACAGGTGTGAGCCACTGCGCTCACTAAACCAAGCAGTATAAAACCACCTACCAGGTGGTGAGGGATGCAAATGAGCTACCCTCATTTGCGGGTATACCCTATATGTGAGAGAACTCCAGAAAATGCAGGTATTCAACATGTTCGAGGATTTGCCTTGGCAACAAGTAGATCTGCTTCCCACCTAACTCTACTGTGGCTGCTAGGTTATCCTGAGTCATGTCAAATTACCTTAAAAACTGGATGGTATGGTGGCTGATGCCTGTAATCCCAGCACTTTGGGAGGCTGAGTCAGGAGGGTCACTTGAGCCTGGGAGTGCCATGATCATGCCAGTGCACTCCAGCTAGGGTGGCAGAGTGAGACTCTGTTTAAAACAAACAAACAAACAAAAACACTTAAAAATGGGGAAAACCAATTATGGTTACATAGAAATTAGGAGCATGTAAAAGTACATTATTAAACCACTTCATGTATTTTTTCTCTTCAATCATTTGGGGAGAATTCTTCTTGGTTTAAGAACTTATTATCCACAGCACAGCATATGTATGACTTTGTCCCTTATTTTAAATTCTGAAATTCTGGGAATTTGTCCCCGAGTCCTGGGAACTCTGTCTTCCCAACCATTAAACTACAGCAGAAAATAAATCCAAGGGGCAATTTGTATTGTGACCATAGTAGAATGCCTGTGTCTTTTCTTTAAAGGCTGTTGAAATTTATGAAAAATGTGCCTTTATTTTCTCAGACCTGAGCCATTCATGTACTGGGTATGGGTGGTTGGGTGGGTCCAGGAGTGTGCAACTCCCTCCATTATCCGCCTTGTTCGGGGTTTGCTGCTCTGACCCCTACTTTGCTTTTCAGATGACTTTGGGAAATTGCTGCTGGCTGAGGCCCTCCTGGAGCAGTGTTTGAAGGAGAACCATGCCAAAATAAAAGACTCCATGCCTTTGCTGGAGAAGAATGAGCCGAAGATGAGCGAAGCCAAAAATTATCTAAGCAGTATCCTTAACCATGGGAGGCTCTCGGTAAGTCGTCAGCCTTCAAGCCTGAGACCTCCTCTCCTCGTCTGTCTTGCCTCGCATCTGTCCAGTCCTCCCTGAGTCATTTGGTCACCTGAGCAACAAGTCTCTCTTACAAGCTGCCCTTGCACTTACAGTAGCCACTGGCTGCACATGGCCCCTTGAGCACTTGGAGTATGGCTAGTCCACATTGAGATGTGCTGTAAGTATAAAGCATACACAAGGTTTCAAAGACTTAGTACAAAACAAAGAATAGAAAAGAGCAGTAACTTTTTATGTTGATTACATGTTCAGATGGTATATTTTGGATATATTGGGTTAAATAAAACATGTTATTAAAATTAATTTCACCTTTTACCTTTTTCAGTGTGACTAAAAAAAATCTTAGTAGAAATTTTTAAATTACACATGTGGTTCACATTTGTGGCTTACATCATATTTTTTTGGACAGTGCTTGGTTGACTTAATATGTGCCTGGCCCTTTGGGCTCCTTGGGTCAGGGGGCTCTCAGGAAAATAAAACCTCAGTGAACCTGTGACCTAGTTAGAAACAGGCAAACATGCAGAGTTGGCTAGGGACAGAAGAGCTCCATAACAGGGCAAGCCCATTTAAGTCCACGTGTATTTATCAAGCACCTACTGAGTACAAGACACTGAGGGAGGTAGAGGACCCACCTCTCCCTCCCAGAAGGAGTATGGTCACAACTTTCTCTGGACTTTGCTGCTCAAAATGTGGTCCACCCACCAGCAGTGTAGGCATCATTGGGGAGCTGGTTAGAAATGCAATTAAGAGAAAAAAAAAAAGAAATGCAATTAAGAATTAGAATCTGTGTTTTAACAAGCTCTCCTGGGTGATTCATATGTGCATCCAAGTTTGAGGCTGTGGCTGTGTTAGATTACAATGTATCCTGAACTATAATAGTGGCATGGGTATGTCATTAGAAACTCAAAAGAGGAGGGGGAGGGGGTAAAAAAAAACTCAAAGAGGAAGTGATCCCTCCCTCCCTCCCTTCCTTCCTTGCTTCCTTCCCCTCTGTCTCTCTCTTTCTTTCTGTCTTTCTGTCTGTCTTTATTTTCTTCAGGGTCTCGCTGTGTTACTCAGGCTGGTCTCCAACTCCTGGGCTCAAGCGATCCTCCTACTTCAGCCTCCCGAAGCGTTGGGATTACAGGAGTGAGGCACTGCGCCCAGCTGATTTTTAAAGAGCTATTCCAAAGTAATATATTCACTTCCTTAAACCTTTTATTCCAACGTACTGTGTGCAAGGCATTGTGTTGTGCACTCTGAAGGCAATCAAGACGAATCCAGCATGGACCCTGCCCTCAAGGAGGTTGCAGGTCTCTTGGGAAGATAAGTCCTATCAGCAAGTAAATAGCCTTCCTCCAAGGTAGACCGTGATAGGAGTGCTATCCACGAGGAAGCAAGTCTGAGGGGGATGCTCTTTGGGGATAAGCAGAGAGCAGACTCTGAGTAATGGCAGTACTAGAATTGGATCCTTCTGGGGCTGGATCTAGACAAGGTTGTAAAGGTACTTTGGGGCTAGTAAGGGCAGACTGGAACACCAGGCCAGGATGTGCAGGGCTTATTTTGTAAGGGAGGGAAAGGCCAGGGGAGAGGGGAGTGTGTACTAGAAGTTTAAGGTTACTGCTTTTAGGCTCCTTGACAGGTATTGTAGCACTGGGAGGTTTGTATTGGGTTAAAATAGCTGCCTGACCCTGAGCATGCTTGACCCCACAGACCTTCCAGTTTCTCATCTGCTGGTCAAAAGGGTTGGACCAGATTGGTGGGGTTCAAGCTTTTCCCACCAAGACCGCTTTTCGTTTTAAAAATATTAAATTAATAATTAAATGTTAAATTAAATATTTAAAAATTGTTTTTAAAATAAACATGATTCAGCCTTATTGTAAAAATTCCAGTCAACAAATAAGTAATTTGAGTGATAAATAAAAGTCCCAGCTGGCCTATGGCTCACGCCTGTAGTCTTAGCACTTTGGGAGGCTAAGGTGGGAGGATTGCTTGAGCCAGAAGTTTGAGATCAGACTGGGCAACATGGTGAGACCCCATCTCTACAGAAAATTTTTTTAATTAGCTAGGCGTGGTGGCTTGCACCTGTGGTCCCAGCTACCCAAGAAGCTGCGGCTGGAGGGTCACTTGAGCCTAGGAGGTTGGGGCTGCAGTGAGTTGTGTTCATGCCACTGCACTCCAGCCTGGGTGACAGAGCAAGATCCTGTCTCACACACACAAAAAAAGTTCTTGTTTTCCAACCTCACCCTCATGCCCACACCCATCCTCAGAGTTGAGCACTGGTCAGTATTTGATGTGCATCTCCTATGCCTTTCTTTGTGCATTTACAAACATATATACACACAGATATTTCTTTTCATAGAGTTGTAAGATATATATTTTTCACCAAGAAGTTTTATTTAGAGCTTTCTCCATGCCAGTATTGTCTCATTCTTTGTATTGGCTGAATAGTAACCACATGTATTGTGACAACGGTTTTATTAAATACAAATTGTACCATATTTTGTTAAACAAAGACATATATAGGCACCAATAATGTGCAGAAATTTACTGTTATCCAGGCCAGAGCCAAAAACTTAATGATGATCTGTAAAATAATATATTAAATGTCGTTTGTGGGATTCTTTTTTGAGACAGGGTCTCACTCTGTCACCCAGGCTGGAGTGCAGTGGCGTGAACATGGCTCACTGCAGACTGGACCTCCTGGGCTCAAGTGATCATCCTGCTTCAGCCTCCTGAGTAGCTGGGACTATAGGCATGCACCACCACACCCAGCTAATTTTTAAATTTTTTTGTAGAGACAAAGTCTTGTCATATTGCTCAGGCTGGTCTTAAACTCCTGGGATCAAGCAGTCCTGTCACCTGTGCCTCCCAAAGTGCTAGGATTACAGGCGTGAGCCACCATGCCCGGCCATCATTTGTAGTATTTTCTATCTCACCCGCAAAGATCAGGTCACAGTTGGCGTGACCTTTCTTGGCAGCTGATGCAGTCTCAGGTGGATTCCTGTGCATCCAAGTAGCTCTGCTGGATGAGAAGGAGAGCTGGGAGAGGTGGGTCCTGAGGCCCCTCCTTGGGAAAGCTTGAAACCCTTTCCTCTTGGTTATCTCTCTAAGACCCCGTCCAGCTCAGTTGTGTGGAGATCAGTGAAAACAAGCCACTTGTCCTAAACTCTGTTCTGCTACTAGGTTGAGGCTTTGCACCATCGCATGCAGGCCTCCAAGGAACCTTCTGCAACGGTATTTACTATTAGCCCCATTTCTTTTTCTTTCTTTCTTTCTTTTTTTTTTTTTTCAATTTTTTGTAGAGACACAGTTCTTACTGTGTTTCTCAGGCTGGTCTCAGATTCTGGGTTTCAAGCGATCCTCTTGCCTTGGTCTCCCAAAGTGCTGGGATTACAGGTGTGAGCCACTGTGCCCTGCCAAGCTCCATCTCTTGAGACCCAAGAAAGGTGATCACAACCCAGGCCTTTAGTGTCTACAGCCCATGCTCTAATGCTGTCTCTCATTTCTTGGTACTGCCTCCCAGAGTACTGGGGTGGAAATAAAATAATGACTGGGAAAGTTGGATTCATGTGAAAGATGGTGATCACACCCCCACTTTTATAGTTCCCACGTTAGTCTGTGAAGTATTTCCTCATCCGTTCTTTCCTCATACCTGGATATCTCCATGAAGTCCTTTTTCCCCTTTTATTGACAGGGACAGTGAGGCACAAAAGGAGTAGGTGATGCGCTGATCCACACAGTAGAGGGGATTGTTCCTCTGGTAAAGCGACCTCCCCCGTGGCACCCTCCCACTGGGCAAGGGGTTCCGTTCCCTGACTGTTGTACTGATAGACCAAGAATATTTCACATTCAAATGCATGGGCCCCACAGAGTGCAGTGGACTCTTAATGTTGCCAAGTAAGGACATTAAGAAGCAAAAAATAGCAGCAAAATGATACCATCTTCTGCTCTTACTGTGCTATAACAGAAAAACAGTTTAGCATTGAAAGGGCAAGGTAGATATCCTTTCAGAACTAAGAGCCTTTTTTTTTTTTTTTTTTTTGAGACAACGGAGTCTCGCTCTGTCACCCAGGCTGGAGTACAGTGGCACGATCTTGGCTCACTGCAACCTCCGCCTCCCGGGTTCAAGCGATTCTTCTGCCTCAGCCTCCCAAGTAGCTAGGATTACAGGCGCCCACCACCACGCCCGGATAATTTTTGTATTTTTAGTAGAGACGGGTTTTACCATGTTGTCCAGGCTGGTCTCAAATTCCTGATCTTAGGTGATCTGCCTGCCTCGACCTCCCAAAGTGCTGGGATTACAGGCGTGAGCCACCGTACCCGGCCGAGCATTTTTTTAAATAGTGTAAATGTGGCTTTATAAAACATGCCCTGCATTGTCTAATTTTTCCCCAGCTTGGTGGAAGCTCTGTTGTAAACTGCCACTGGTCCTCCAGGAACCGCCACTAGCCACACCCCATCAGCATGCCTGAAATGTCCTTCTCTGCCTCACTGCCCTTGTCTCCATGTGCAGGATAATGATAAATACGCATACCCTGTATTTATCTTGCTCTTTTCCAAAGAAAAGTTCAAAGCTCTTTTCTGGACTTTGCCCTATTAATGCCTTCAGCATCGCTGTGATAGGCAGTGAGGAGTAGGTGTTATTATCTCTCCCTCACCCACGAGGAAGACGCAGCCCGAGCAGGGAGGAAATGAGCCCGTGGCTTGAGACCAGTGCAGGGAACGCAGAGTCACTGCCCAGCTTGGAAGGACTGTGGGCCACATACCTCTGGGATGTGTCATCTGTGGCCCTGGCCCAGGGAGTGGATGGCCTATCTGGGAAGACTAGCAAATCCCCTCAAAAGATTCAGCTTTGGAGAGTTAATTAATAGAGAGAGCAGGTCAGGCGTGCAGAGGCTGAATGGGCCCATTGGTAGAGGCATTGGAGGAGTTCAGCTGAAGGGAGCTCCCTGGTAGTCAAGGAGGCTTTCAGGAGAAGGTGGGCCTGAGCAAGGCCCCAAAGGATAGAAGAGGACCTGGTTAGGCCAGGGGGAAGGGGACCTGAGGAAGCACAGGCAAAAGAGGAATGTGGATTTACAAAGGCCAGAAGGACCAGTTGGGAAGGTGAATTTGGCTTCCCCAGAGCCTGTCTGTGCCACGCTTCATTTCTCTTGGCTTCTGAGAGGGCAGTAGATGGTAAGGAGTGCTGGAGGCTTGCCCTGGGGTCACAGGGACCCCAGACTCTTACCTCCCTACAGGGAGACAGGGGTAGCACCTTCCTGCCAGTGACAAATGCCAGGTGTGGGATGAGAGCTGCATCTTCGGGGAGTTTTATGGACAGATTGGTGCCTGTGTGGCGGGAGCAGTGCCCAGGGCCTGGCCCATAGGCATTGTGAGCCAGCTGAGGACAGGATCAGAGGCAGGGGGCCAGAGCAAATGGCCTGCAGAGGCGGGAGGTTACAAGGAGAACTGGGGCCATGTCCAAGGTCAGAACTCACGTGCCAGGGTGGCACAGCCCAGGGCCAGCACAGCCTCCCTCAGGCAACAGCACAGGATCCCAAGCCACAGTAGGGGTGATCATGGCTGACAAGACCACTGCAGGCCCTAAGGGAGGCCCTGAGAGTTCCTCTGTGGGATGGAGATTGAGATGTAAGCAACTTTTGAAAAAGGAGGGGAAAGAAAACACGTTTAAATTCAGCCACTCTTGGCCTCCGTGATTCTGCACTTTGACCCATTTCTGATAGGAAGAGGATGGTGACGCAGCAGGCCCTCTCCTCCTCAATCTGTCCCTCTGCCACTGTAGGGGGAGGCATAAGCTTTAGGGTCCTCACAGGCTGTTTCTAAGGCCTTTCACCTAATTATGATTTGCATATACATGTACACAAGAGGACTCCCAAAATGAGAAGCCTGGGGCTCCACAAAACTTAACTCCATCTCTGACTCCCCACTTGTGTTTAGAATAAATGCCTGAGCTTCTGAGTGCCCCCTGGGGCTGCAGTCTTTGGGGGGATTCAGGAGAGGGAAGACAGGGCCTAGTCTGCAAGGTCTCTGGAGTCTTGCTGGGGGCATAAAACGCACACACATGAAACAATTAGGGACTCATAGGAGAATTTTATTGAGAACCACAATGTAGGCTGCAGACCATGGGTGAGAGCGGGGAGCTGTCGGCATGTGCTTGAGCATCAAAGAAGGCTTTCTGGAGGAGGAGGGGAGTTCTGAGCAAGGTCTGAGGCAAACAAGGTCCAGGTTCAGTGGGGGTGTTCACCCCAAGGTAACTTTGGGGCAGGCGCTGGTAACATGTCCTTGTCATTTCAGCCACAGTACATGTGTGAGGCCATGCTGATCCTGGGCAAACTGCATTACGTGGAGGGCTCATACCGAGATGCCATCAGCATGTACGCACGGGCCGGGATTGATGACATGTCCATGGAGAACAAGCCCCTGTATCAGATGCGGCTGCTGTCGGAGGCTTTTGTCATCAAAGGTAGCTGTGGGCACCAGCCTGGGCTCCCCTCCACTGTGTGCAGCTCGTTGCACTCTGACTCCCAGGGCCCTGCTGGGCTCGTGTCCAGATTCTTCACCCCTGGTAGTGCCCATGCCCTGGCACTGGTGTCTAAGGTGGATGCCGGTGGCAACCGGCCATGTTGACATTGCCTGGTGCCTGGGACGTTAGGAGACTCAGATTCTCGCCCTGGCTCTGTCAACAACAATTACCCTACTTTGTGTACCCTTGGGCAATCACCTCTTCACCTCCTTTGGCCTCAGTTTACTTGTTTGGAAGATACGGTTGTAATACCTGACCTCCCAGGGTTACCATGACCAAGAGTCATCAGCAGAATTGTGTAGCAAGGTTGAGAAAGGTTTACAAAGTATGACCTCTCACTGGCAGGCTGGCTCTGCTGACTGGCGCTGGCCCCAGAGCAGGTGCTGGATGCTGTAGGAGTCTGCCACTCCTCAGTTATTTGTCGGGCACCTGCTGTGAGTGGCCCAGGGAGCAGGGGCTGAGACCCAGTGATGAACAGGTCAGAACCAGTTCCTGGAGGAGCTCTTAGCCTTCCAGGGTCAAGGGGTGCTCTGGAGGGGATTTAGGGACATGGGTCAGTGATGTAGGAATTTTATGAGGGGGCTGTGGACAGCCCAGCTGGGGGAATCGTGCCATTTAACTGGACCCCAAATGTGTTCAATGTTAAAGTCATCCTACCCCAAACTTTGTGCTTCAGGCTCCTTCTTCCCTGGATCCCTGGCTGCGGGAGCCCCTCTGCCCAGCCTGCTGTCCGGAATCTTGGATGTTTGATCGTCTCCCTAGTGCAGCACAAACCAACCTCCAGAGAAAAGTCTAGAAAAGATGCCTGTGGCTCAGTGGGCATTTGGTGCCTGGCATTTGTAGACTATGTGACACACTCTATTATAGATAGGGACATTCTCACTATCTTGTGGGGAAACTGAGGCCCAGAGAGGATAACTTGCCCAAAGTTACCCAGATACATGGTGGAGCCAGGATGAGAACCTCCATGCTCTGACTCTGGCCTTGGAGTGTGAGTCCTCCAAGGCCCTGCAACACACACTCAGTTTCCCCTGTCTCCCCTGGGTCCCAGGAGGAGTGACTGTGACATCTGTGGAGGGCACACCCTCCTTGACTCTGGCTGGTGGGACTTCTGAGGGGGTTCGCCCACCCAAGATCCTTGGATCCCTTTTCTGTTGGGTCCACACCATGCCAGGAAACCTGGCAAGATGGTCACTGTGGGTGGTCTTCGTCCTTTGCTCTCTCATCCCCCGCTCTGCGCCTCTGGCACAGGCCAGTCTTGGGGGTGATCTGCATTTGGCATTTGGGTCTTTCGGGTCTCTTAGAAACCCCTTCAGCCATGGACGCCCTGAGCGGAACCCCCTTCCTCGGGCTTCCTTTCCGGGACTTTCTCCTGAGCCTGGCTCAGGATGGATTGCCCCCTGTCTCCTGCTCTCTCCTCTTTCCAGCATGCCTCCGGCTTCTTGGGGGAACACAGTCCCGGTGGTCAGAGGTCCTGCAGGGGAGGTAAGGAGACGGGCGCTGCCGGCGCGGGCTGCTTGGTCTCAGGCTGTGCTAGCTCCCGTTCCCCAGTGACTGCACATGGCCTCCCCTTTGCCTGCCTCCTCTCTGCCTGTCCTCCTCCCTGTCCTGCTGCAGTGACCACGCCTGCTGCCCGGCATGCTGAGGTTTGCCTGACCCTGTGTGTGCTTGAGACCATGCACGTGGCCACCAGGGTGTGCATGATGTTGATCTGCCTGGGTTTGGGGGATCCGGTGGGTCTTCCCATGCAGAGTAGAGGCCACACCCTTCGGGGGCTGAGGACGCTGGTCATTGGTCCTGACTCCGTCTGTGAGCATGAGGGTGGTGGCAGCAGGGGCCACAGAGTTCACAGAATGCTGATATTTATTCAGCCCCCCTCCATGCCAGGTAGGCCCTCGTTGAGCCCCCTCTGTAACCCTCTGAGCTGGTGTTCCCCTCATTCTATGTCGCGGATGAGGAGTTAAGGTTGGAAGAAGTGAGGTGACTCATGCGCGGATCTCACAGGAAGTGGCAGAGGCAGGATTTGAACCCAGGCAGCTGGAGCTTGTGATACTGTTGCTGAGAATCCTAGGATGAAAGGAATCAAGTGATCCAGGCCAAGCCCTCATGTTACAGTTGAGGAGACTGAGGCTGACAAAAAGGAAGCAGCTTACTCAGGACATCAGTTAGCATGTATTTGAACTGGAGTCCTCCTTCCCAGGCAGCCCCTCGGTCTTGGGCTCCGTTTGATGCTGGGCTGCCTGCAGGAGCCTGACTGACCCACACTCAGCACTCCTTGGCAGACTATTAGGCCATGGCTTGACTCCATTTTTCACAGGAGTCTGCTCTGTGGTTCTGTTTGGTACTCTCAGGGGGTGGGCAGTCTGGGTCTCAGGCACATCTGGCTGGAGGAGGAGGACAGGGCCTGTGTGTCACAGGGGAGCCTGAGCTGGTCAGGCTAGGAGGCTCTGTGGGGGCCCCAGTGTGGAGCGGTTCCAACATGGAGCTGCTGTTCTTTTTAGGGGAGTCAGGAGCAGGCCCTCTGTCTCTTCGCCCCCACCCTCAAAAGACATAAAAACATATTCCCCTCACCCTCTTTCCCCATCAGAGCAGAGGGACTTGCACTGTGACCCTGTGAGGCGTCACTCACAAAGGCCCTGCCTTCCTCTGAAATGTGCCTCTGTGTGTTACACCCAAAGATGCTTTCTGATTCCCGGGGAGGCTTTAGACATCAACCCGGGAGCCTGAGTGAAGGGGCAGTTGCAGCAGTCTTGGGTTTTCCTTAGCCAGAGTGCAGACACATCACATGCGTATTTGTGTATATAAGGTGTGGGGGAGTACATAACCTCCACCTCCTCTGAGGGGAAAAGAGTTATTGTCCATGTCACATTTGCTTAGAAACAATAGAAAAACCACATGTTCCCCCACTAAGATAGAAAAATAAGACAACTTCATGGAAAGACCTATTGTTTCCATGTCCAGGTGGTCTGTGCCCAGCCACCAGCATTCCTGGTCCCCTAACATTTGAGTCACACATGTGCTCAGACTGACCAGGTCCAGCCAGGAGTAGGAGACTGGATTTTAGGGCCTCTTGGTAGCACCTGGGAGGTGGGCTGGGCCCTGCTGGAGGCTCTGGAAGAAGAATCACCTCTTCCCTGGTCCTGCCTTCAGCTGCTCCTGGCTGCAGAGAAGTCATCATATTGACCTGTTGCTCAGTAATGCCCTGTTCTGTGGTCAGCTGCTCCCAAGTCACCTATGGCCCTGGACAGAGCCTCCCCTGCCTGTCAGAATCCCCTGTTTGATTCTTCATTTCCCCAGTACCAATTTCCTGAGCTCCTCTGGTATACCTGATATTTGGTGGCATTCCCAGAAACATGGGGTACAGACCCATCCCTCTGGAAGCTGAGCCTCTGATGTATGTCTCTGATGTATGTGCATGTAGGGGGATGGGGGGAAGCAGGATGATCACATGTGCACCACCCAGGAGCTTGCAGGGGCCCTCCCCAAACTCACTGAATCAGAATCTACACCTTACAACTTTCCCAGGTGATGTACACGCACATTACCGTTGGTGAGACACTGCCCTGGAACACTTGTTTAATAAATATTTGTTGACTGATGGTTAACCTTCATCTCTACTCTGTAAATGGGAGGTGGCCATTTTAAGGATGAAGAAGCTGAGGAAGTTCACGCAGCCTATAAGTAGCATTGGTGGCCAGATGGATGTCTCTAAAGCTTGTGTCCCACCTGTAACAGAGGAGCCCACCAGAGGGTGCTGGGAGGCAGATTACAGTTGCCTCCAAGATGGGTCAGACAGATGAGGACTTTCTCCTCTCTGGGCCTCCTTCAGCCCTGGCTTGAGTAGGGGCTACAGCCCTGGTGAAGCCCTGCAGCCATTTTCTTGGCATTTGCTTTCCCAGGGCTGTTTTTGGGTATTTGTGGACGAGTTGTTCAGAAAATTTGCTTTTATATTTCAACCTAACATCCATCAACTTGGTCTAGAGTGGAAGCCCACTCCTCTCCTACCCTATTCCCCAGGCCCTGCCATGGCCCCTTTGTAACTTCCGCCAGCCTACGGACCCCTGACCAAACATGTCAGATCAGGGGAAGACCCTGGAAAGGAAATGTTCCCAGCCGATTCCAGGTGCAGGTGACAGATATATATTCAGATGAAACAGCTCCATTACCATTCTTGTTTGTTTGGTAAAAAGGGAACATCATCCATTTACTCTGTATTAAAAATAATCAGGCCGGGCGTGGTGGCTCACGCCTGTAATCCTAGCACATTGGGAGGCCGAGGTGGGCAGATCACGAGGTCAGGAGATCAAGACCATCCTGGCTAATGCAGGTGAAACCCTATCTCTACTAAAAATACAAAAAATTAGCTGGGTCTGGTGGCAGGTGCCTGTAGTCCCAGCTACTCAGGAGGCTGAGGCAGGAGAATGGCATGAACCCGGGAGGCGGAGCTTGCAGTGAGCCGAGATCGCACCACTGCACTCCAACCTGGGTGACAGAGCAAGACTCCATCTCAAATAAATAAATAAATAAATAAATAAATAAAATAAAAAATAATCTAGGCTGGGTGCGGTGGCTCATGCCTGTAATCCCAGCACTTTGGGAAGCCGAGGCGGGTGGATGACTTGAGGTTAGGAGTTTGAGACCAGCCTGGCCAACATGGTGAAACCCTGTCTCTACTAAAAAAAAAGAAAGAACAAAAAATTAGCTGGTCATGGTGGCATGCACCTGTAATCCCAGCTACTTGGGAGGCTGGAGAATCGCTTGAACCTGGGAGGCGGAGGTTGCAGTGACCCGAGATCACACCATGGCACTACAGCTTGGGTGACAGAACAAGACTCCGTCTCAGAAAAACAAAAATAATCTAGAATGCTTTGGTTTCAAGGCTCTTCTAGGATGGCCTGTCTGCAGTGCTGCCCACTCCCTTGGCAGAACCCTCTGCATTTGACTCCATGTGCTCATGGCTGTGAGCCCTGTCTTCCACTGAATTCCAAGCCTCTTGAGTACAGGTGGTCATTTCTTTTGTACCCTCAACCAATCTCCCTCTCTCCTTTCCTGAAGCCCCACCTGTCTGCCTAATGAGGTCTGCTCCTGGTGTCCAACATAATCTGTGAAGTTCTTCCCTTCACTTCTTCTTGGGACATTGTCCTTGCCTTTTTTCTTCACTCTGCACAAAGCTGTTTCCTTACATTCTCCTCCGACACAGTTCAGTGTGTCCTGTGCTGAGAGCTTCCCTTGGTTGTTCAGCCTGCAACATCGTCTCCCTCCTCCCAGCTCACTTGGACCTCAGCTCAGTATGCACGTCCATTCTACCCAGTTAGGGGTCAGTATGTTCCTCCACCGAGCGTCTGACCTCTTGCAGTTGTATCCCCCAAGGCTCCTGGCCCACCTCCCACAGGAGGAAGTAAAATTTGTCAGCAGTTGATTCAGCAAACACCTGCTGGGAATGCCAAGTTAGGGTCACTTCCTTTGAGGGAGTGGCAGGTGGGTGAGCAAAGCATGCTCCTGGAGGGATGCAGCTAGAGGGGAAGCAGCTGTTTGGAAGACCCCAGAGTGGCTGGTCTGCTGCTCCTGCCATGGCTCATTGGGGCAGTATGGCAGACTTCCTGCCTGGCCATGGTGTCTCGGCCATATGGCTGTCTCTAGTTCTGTCCCATGGGAAGCTCTGCCTTGACTCTTGGCCTTTTGGCCACCAGAAAAGGCCATTTGTGAAGAGTCCCCTCTGGGCTGCTGCTTCTGGGCAGCCCACCCCCTGATGGGAGTGGAACACTTGAGCCTACCTGATAGGTTGAACAGTGCAAGGGCTTGTTTGCCAGGTTTGGGGTCTGTCTGCCTCTACAGCTCCTTAAAACTCTGTAGTAATAAGCCTTTGGGCAATTGCCATTGCATCATCTTCATGGGTGAGAACCTAGAGATAAAGATGGTGTTGACTTCAAGTCCATGGATCTAGATCCAGGCCTCAAGGGTCTGTCGCTCAGCAGCAGGCCTCAGGGCTCTTCTCAGGCACCCACCCCTGGCTCTCTCGCAGTGCAGTGAGAGCTGCAGCAGGGGGTCCTTGTGAGGTTTGCATGGGGAGGGATTCAGGCCTTTCCAGCCTTGTCTCCTAATAGAATCTGGTCCCCCTGTCTCCTCTGGCACTGCCTTCAGCAAGGACAGAGAATTTTCAACTCCATTTATCTGACTTCACTCTCAGCTGTCTTGCATTGTTTTATACAGACAAAGCTTTCTTATTCGGAGAGGCTGCCAGGAGTGCTGCTTGTAAGGCTTATTTTTATAGGGCTTAGCATGGGCCCCAAGAAGCATCCGGCATAGGCCAGTATCCTGAAGTGTTCCACCACATGCCCAAGGTCTCACCTCAAGACAAAATAGGCTGCATTCCAGCCGGTAGTGCTGCTGCTGTCTATCTGGAATTCCAGTTTCTTAGCTTGGAGATGGCAAAGTCCTCACTGCCCCACCTGACCTCAGCCCAGCCAATCCTGTATTTCAGGAATTTTCCCCTCGGACATCATGCCTCTGGGGATCAGTTTCTGCATAACCAGACTTATGGTTATAATAACCAATGTACAACTCCAACTAGTTGGAAAGTCACAACAAAAAGGAGGGACTGGATATTTATGGCCCCTTGTACTAGAAAGTTGTTGGAGCAGCATGGCATCAGGCATAGCTGAATCCGGGGGCTCAGCTATTGAGGTCTGTTGAGGTCTTCCTCAGCAGCTCCAGGAGTACATGGTTCTTGCAGTATGGCACCCACAAACTCAGAAGGAGAGACTGCCTGGGGAAGCTTCTCATGGACCTGGCTTGGTCTCATGCCCACCCTGGAGCCAATTGTGCCCAGCACCTAGGATACTGGGCTGGTGTCAGGGGTGGGATTTCCCCCACCTGAATCTTGTGGACTGAGATGTGGGAATGGTTCCTCAAAGGAAAACCAGGGTACGGTTATGAAAGTAGGTAAAAGGCATGGAGGCAGAGCCCCAGAGCGCAGGCAGAAATGATTCACCTCAGGTTACACCAGTAGTTGCAGGGTCAGGCTGTGGACATCGCTCTCTCTGACTCCAGCATTCAGGCTTGTTCGATTGAAGCACTCTTGCAGAGGGAGGTGAGATCCAGCTAGTTGTGGGGCCTTCACAGGCGAGCTGGGTGGTGAGCCTGAACTTGAGGATGAATCACCTACAGTTGAGGGGAAGAGGTGCCTTCCAGCAAGGGAAGGCCAAAGGGAAGCCCCGGGGGAAACAAGGGGAGGTGGCTTGTTTGGAGGTGCAGTGTAATCATACTTCTTGGAGCCAAGAGGAGGTGTGTGTGGGATGGATTGGGAATGAGTGTGAGGGCCAGGTGGGCCCCATGAGAGGGCCCAGAGCGGAGAGCCCACAGTAAGGCTCAGGGTGTCTCTCTTCACTGGGGTTTCTAGATCTTTGGCTGTGGGTCACCACACCCTGAGGTGCACCACAGCCTGTTCCCCCTCAAATCAGGCTCACCTATGGTTCAGCACTCTGTCTGGGGCAATCTTCTCTAGGGTCTGGAGCTGAGGGGTCTGGGCCCTAGACTAGGATGAAGCCTTTGTGGATCCAGGGTAACAAATCACCCACTTTTTTGTTGGTCTGAGCTCTGAGGGTTATTCCCTGGCTTTGATTGGCATCCAGGATGTTTCGGGGCCTGCTCTTTGGACATCTCTAGCTTTAGCCCGTTCAGCCTCCCCAAGCTCCGGTGGGTCTCTTCCATTTCTCTAGCACTAGCTCAGTGTGCTAAGGGCATGGAGAGTGACTGCCATTTCTCCAGCCATTCATTCTACCTTGAGCCTGGCAGACCTTAGTCATTGGTGCCTAATTTAGGGTTCACTGTGGCTCCATGGATGGAGCACAGGCCCCTTGAGAATGGGTCCTGCCCCCAGCGTCAGCCTGGCCGGCTCGCGTTCTCCTTCACCTCACACCCAGCGCCAGGGAGGTCCTGATGCCCTGACCGTGGTGCACATGAACTGTGCAGTGCAGTGACATGCTAGGTTGTGAAGCTGCTGTGCAAAGTCAAAAGGTGAAATGCCCTCAGCAGCCAGAAGGATTATGATCTGCAGATTCTCCTCTCCCCGCCCGTTGAAGATGGGCTTCTTTTTTTACTGTTCTCTTTTGGTCAGTGCAACCCCAAGGTATTCTGCTGTCACCTGGAATTGTGTGGCTGATTAAAACTTTTTAAAAAGAAAGAACACTACGCTGCTTCCAGGACAGGATATGATAGCATACTTGGTTTTTGTGTTTTTAGCCCTGGTATGGCGGGAATTCACTGTTGATTTTGGCTTCCCTCTCCAAGGGGTGTGGGCTGTGTGCCTCACATGGACAGGAGCTCAGTCCCTGTGGCACTGCTGTCTTGGCCCCAGGTGAGAGGCTGGCTTCCAGATGGAGAAGGAGGAGCAGGCTGCTAGGGGATCAGGCCTCATCCAGCCAGAGACCTGGAGCTAGTCGACACTGATGCTTTTAGCTGAGGGGTCTTGGAATTAATCCGTTTTCCCTGGATTCATTTTTTTTTTTTTTTTTTGAGACAGTCTCACTCTGTTGCCCAGGCTGGAGTGCAGTGATGCGATCTCGGCTCACTGCAACCTCTGCCTCCTGGCTTCAAATGATTCTCCTGTCTCAGCCTCCAGAATAGCTGGAATTACAGGCACGTACTACCATACCCTGCTAATTTTTTGTATTTTCAGTAGAGATGGGGTTTCGCAATGTTAGCCAGGCTGTTCTTGAACTCCTGACCTCAAGTGATCCGCCTGCCTCAGCCTCCAGGAGTACTGGAGTTACAGGCGTGAGCCACCATGCCCCGCTTAGATTTTTTATTTGTAACTCTGGAGAAGGGTTAAACCCTTACCTAAGAGGTTATTGTGAGCATCACTTGAAAATATTTTCTAAGTGCATACTTTTTTTTTTCTTGAGGTGGAGTCTTGCTCTGTTGCCCAGGCTAGAGTGCAATGGCACGATCTCAGCTCACCGCAACCTCCACCTCCCGGGTTCAAGCAATTCTCCTGCCTCCGCCTCCCGAGTAGCTGGGTTTACAGGCATGCGCCACCACGCCTGGCTAATTTTGTATTTTTAGTAGAGATGGGGTTTCTCCATGTTAGTCAGGCTGGTCTTGAACTCTCGACCTCAGATGATCCTCCCGCCTCAGGCTCCCAAAGTGTTGGGATTACAGGTGTGAGCCACTGTGCTTGGCCTGCATACTTTCTACTCTTTATAATATTTCATCTAATTTAATGATCATGGCTACACTACGAGCTAGGCATTATTAGTAACTCTATTTTGTATTTGCGGAAACAGACTTAGCACTCTGTGAACATTTTGAGGTATATCTTTCCAGTCTTTTTTCCCTATAGGATTATATATGCTTTTAAAATGTAAGTTCATACAGTCATGTTTTATAATCTGCTTTTTAAAAAAGTATTTCATGAGTCATTTTTCAATACACCTCTATGTCACTGTAAGTAACTTCATAGCATTTCATTGTAACGTTCTATCCTAATTTTGTGAAGTCCCGTCATTGGACCTGTATGCTAAATCTTTTTTTTTTTTGCCATTATAAATAATACTGAAATGGATATCCTTGAAGCTAAATTTTGTATACATCACTTTTTTTTTTTTTTTGGTGGAGATGGGGTCTATGTTGCAAGGGCTGGTCCTGAACTCCTGGGCTCAAGCAATCCTCCCACCTTACCCTCCCAAAGTGCTGGGATTACAGGTGTGAGTCACCACCCCCAGCTTTTTTTTTTTTTTTTCGAAGATAAATTCCTAGAAAGTAGAATTACTGAATCATAGAGTATACATTTTTTGGAGACTTTGATACAGAAGCCAAATTGCCTGTGTTTTTTGTTTTTTTTTTTTCCGTTAAAAAATTGTGTTGGCCGGGCGCGGTGGCTCATGCCTATAATCCCAGTACTTTGGGAGGCTGAGGCGGGTGGATCACCTGAGGTCAGGAGTTCAAGACCAGCCTGGCCAACATGGCGAAACCCCATCTCTACTAAAAATATAAAAATTAGCCAGGCGTGGTGGCGCGTGCCTGTAATTCCAGCTACTCAGGAGGCTGAGACAGGAGAATTGCTTGAACCCAGGAGGTGGAGGTTGCCGTGAGCTGAGATTGTGCCACTGCACTCCAGCCTGGGTGACAGAGCAAGATTCCGTCTCAAAAAAAAAATGTGTTAAATATACATACCATAGAATTGACCATCTTAACCACTTTTAAGCGTACAGTTCGGTACTAAGACACTGTTGTGCAACCAATCTCCTGAACTCTTTTAACATTTGCATTATTGTGCAACCAGTCTCCAGAATTCTTTTACCTTGCGAAACCAAAATTCTATGCCCGTGAAACAGCAACGCCCCATTCCCTCCTCCCCTAACCCCTGGCAACCACTCTTCTATTTTCTGTTTTTATGAATTTGATTACGCAAGTACCTCATGTAAGAGGAATCATACAGTATTTGCCTTTTTGTGTCTGGCTCATTTCACTTAGTAAAATGTCCTCAAGGCTTATCCATATTGTAGCATGTGTCAGAATTTCCTTCCTTCTGAAGGCTGAATAATATTGTATTGTATGTATGTATATGTGGCATTTTGTTTATGTGTTCATCTGTCAATGGACACTTGGGTTGCTTCTACATTTTAACTATTGTGAATAATGCTGCTATAAATGCTAGTGTACTAATACCTCTTTGAGACCCTGCTTTCTATTCTTTTGGGTATATACCTGGAAGTGGAATTGCTGGATCATATGGTAATATCTATTTTTAAATGTTCTAATTTTAACAGAGTGATCTGTGAGGGTTCTTTCCTACCTGGCCTTTCGGTTTCCCCCCGAGAGCTGAATGAATTGCATTTTTTCGCTTCTTCCCGTGGCTGCAGGGTACCCAAGTCTGGGATTCATCTTCCGTGGGTGCTGCAGCTGTCCTCGTGCCCTTTGACAGGCTGGGTAGGTGGGAGGGAAGGGGTTCTGTTGCTGAGGATGTTTTCTGTTTTCTACCTCTGCATCCAGGGCCCAAGGCTCCAGGGTTCCAAGGGTGGGGCTTCTTGGAAGGGCGGCTGCCTTGGATGTGATGAGTCATTCAGACTGAAGGAGTTGGGACCAGCCTGGTGTTGGGCCTGAGGCTGTGCCAGGATCAGCTTGGCTCCAAATCGAAAGTTCTGAGTTAATGAAAAAGCAAGTCCTCCTCTTGCAAGGGACCTTTCCTAGAGCTGGGTATTGGCACAGAAAGGCCCTTGCCGGTGGGAATCACAAGGCAGTGCCTGCCCTGCAGGGCTGTGTTACAACCCTCCGATGCCTCAAGGACTGGGCGCAGGGCAGCCCACCTTCATCCTGGATTGAGCACTGTAGTCTGGCCGTTTGTGCAGAAGCGCTCACGGGGCAGAAGGTAAAGAAAAGAAACCCAAGCCTGCAGCACCTGGGTGGGCTTCCAGTCAGATGTTTGTGGACAGGAAAATAGACCTTATCAACCAGGGGACAAATACAAGGTTCCCGGCCCCTTTTTATGGGCAGAACTGGGTGACTGGACTGTGACCTTGCTTAGGAAAAGCCACTGCCAGCTCCAGAAACTTTTTGGCCCTGTGTATATTGGAAATTGCTTTATAGAGGACCGCCTCCGTGAATGTACCCCTCTACTTTGAACTTTTATTTCTCTGAATCATGACAGCTCCCTTCAAAAAGGCATTATCTCCATTATTTTTAGATAAATTTTCATATGGTGACATGTACAAATCTTAACTGTATAATTTCATGAATTAGGCCAGTGTAAATATCCATGTGACCAGTACCCTAATAAAGATACAGAACATTTCTATCACCACAGAAAGTCCCCTTGGGCTCTTTTCTAATTGGTCTCCACCCCAGGCAACCTCTGTTTTGTTTTTGTGTTTTTTTTTTTTTTTTAAGAGATAAAGTCTCGCTATGTTGCCCAGGCTGGTCTCGAACTTCTGGGCTCAATTGATCCCCTGCCTCAGCTCCCACAGTGCTGGGATTACAGACGTGGGCCACCACTCCTGGCCTTATTTTCTATTGATATAGATTAATTTGCTTTTTTGAATAAATGAAATCATACAGTATGCATTTTTTTTATGTCTGGTTTCTTTTGCACATGTAATTTTTAAGTAATTCATTTGTGTTATGTGTATATAAGAGTTTGTTTTAAAAAAAAAATCTGGGCCGGGCACGGTGGCTCACACCTGTAATCCCAGCACTTTGGGAGGCCGAGGCGGGTGGATCACGAGGTCAGGAGATCGAGACTATCCTGGCTAACATGGCGAAACCCCATCTCTACTAAAAATACAAAAACAAAATTAGCCGAGCTTAGTGGCGGGTGTCTGTAGTCCCAGCTACTCGGGAGGCTGAGGCAGGAGAATGGCGTGAACCCGGGAGGCAGAGCTTGCAGTGAGCCGAGATCGCGCCACTGCACTCCAGCCTGGGCGACAGTGCAACCTCCGACTCCCTGGTTCAAGTGATTCTCCTGCCTCAGCCTCCTGAGTAGCTGGGATTTACAGGCATGTGCCACCATGCCCAGCTAATTTTTGTATTTTTAGTAGAGACGGGGTTTCACCATGCTGGCCAGGATGGTCTCAATCTGACCTCGTGATCCGTCCGCCTCGGCCTCCCAAAGTGCTGGGATTACAGGCATGAGCCAGCGTGCCTGGCCCAGGAAATATTTTTTAAGTAGAGAGGGAGGAACTCCTTTGGGCTGTACACTTGGCTACGTGAATATGCTCATTCATCTATGCATCCGTCTGCATGCTTCCTAAACCCTAGGCCCTGGCCATCACTGGGGTGCAAAGATCAGTCGGAAATGGGTAGAGAGGATGATGACAATGCAGGAAAAAGGCACATACTTAGGAGATGCAGCCAGACTGTTCAACTGGTTTAGACACAGGGAGGCTTAACTCTACCTGGCAGGGTTTCAGAGAAGAGGTGGCTTTGCTTTGAGCTTTTTTTTAAATTGAAATGGGTCTTGTTCTGTCACCCAGCTGGAGTGCGGTGGCATAATCTTGGCTTACTGCAGCCTCCACCTCCCGGGCTCAAGCAATTCTCCCACCTCTGTCTTCTGAGTAGCTTGAGTCACAAGTGTGCGCCACCAAGCCCAGCTAATTTTTTCTATTTTGGGGGGGACGGGGTTTCACCATGTTCCCAGGCTGGTCTCAAACTCCTAAGGTCAAGCAGTCGCTTGCCTGGGCTTCCCAGTGTGCTGGGATTACAGGTGTGAGCCACTTCGCCTGGCCTGCTTTGAGCTTTCAAGAAGGATGGGATTTGGGGTTCTTGGAGAAGCATGATGGGGAGGCCCCTGCGGGGAGTGGAAGGAACAAATGCCACACAGGGAAGGTGGAGGCCCACAGACCATTGTTCCTGAATTCACAGCTTTGCGGTGGCCAGCCCTCTGGAGGCTTGGGGCTGGCAGCTTGAACTAGCCAGTAGCTGGCATCACCCATCCCAGTGCTGGACCCGGAGGTGTGGCAGGAGGGAGCCCAGCCTCAGCACATCTCTCCGGGGACTACAAGGCAGCTGTGTTGAAACAGATCCACTCCATGTCCCCTGGAATTGGCTGTGCCCTGCCACCTGCAGTTGGTCTCCTGGGCCAGGCCTCTGAACAGTTCGTAGGTTCGCCCCACCTTCCTGCAAGGTGGATAGGCTGCATGTCTGGGGAGCAGGGGCTGGCCTAGCTCTGGCAGTGAGCAACGAGGCCTGCCTCCTTGATTCTTTCTCGGTTCCTCTTCCCCCTTTAGTCCTCTGGAATAAGGATCCTCCCCCTCCTGGTTGTGAGTCATTTGGCAGTCGTTGACACCCAGTGTCCTGGGCACCTGGGTCTTTGTGTTGAGCAAGGACCTTCATGTTCTCTGCCCGCTTTCCTCCAGGCCAAGGCAACCGAACTTTGGATCTGGTCACACCCCAGCCTGGCAAAGGGACAAGGTCACTGAATCTGTGTGCATGGGAATGTGGCTAAGAAAAACAATAATAATTCCTTACCTTATATTTGCAGAGCACTTTGCACTTTGTCAGACATGACCAGGCTTGTGTTTTTTCATCCAGCCAGCAAATGCTTGTCCAGTACCTACTGTGTGCCAGGTGGTAGAAAAGTAAACACGATTAGGTTGATGTCTTGAAGGAGCCTACAGTCTGGGGAAACATATGAACAAATAAGTATAAGAAATGGTGAGTCAGGAATATGTATAGACTGGGGCTTAAAGGAGGAATGTTTGGTTATACCAGGGAATATCGGGAAGGGCTTTGTAGAGGAGGTGGCATTTAGTGGGTCAGAATATGAACAGTAATTTTGGGTAGACCTGGTGGGGTGGATACATTCCAGGCAGGAGGAACAACTTGAGCAAGTCAAGAAGGCATCCTACAACCTAGCAGTTGGGAGCAGGAGGTTAGTTGTGGATATGGCAGGTAAGGTGAGGGATGAGGCTGGAGAATTGATACCAGGAGGGCCTGGTGTGGAGCTTCCAGAAGTTGGACCTTACTCTGTAGCAGTGTGGACCCCTGGAGAGTTTTAGAAGGATCCCCCTGGGGATTAGAGTGAGACTGGAGGCAGGGAGGCCAGTTAGGCCGATGTAGTCATCCACTCAGGAGATAAAACCTGAAATAAGGTAATAGGAAGAGAGGAAGGGAAGGTTTGAAGTGCTGAGGACTTGGTCATTAGGTGGATGTTGGGGCTTATAGGGCAGGAAACAGTTGAGGATTCTTCCATTATACATCTCTTCAGTAAGTTCATCTTGAGCCTCTACTTACTACATGTAAAGTACCTAAAGTGTACTGTGTGGGCACAAAGATGGGACAGACATTGATTCTTCCCGTTGGGAACCAATAGTTCAGAAGGACAGCACTCTCTAGTCAGGTCTATATTAGCTGCAAGTGACAAAAAAAAAAAGAAAGAAAGACAGGAAGGGACGGAGGTAGGGAGGGAGGGAGGCAGGGAGGGAGGGAGGAAGGAAGGAAGGGAGGAAGAAGACATGGGAGCTATTTAATGGCACTCATACACTGGAAATTTCCAGCAGGTAGAGCTTCAGGCAAAGCTGGATCTAGGTACTCCGTCTCTTTAAGAATCCACCCTTCTCTGTCATGTCATGTCTTTTCTCTGCATGGATTTCATTTTTTTCGTGACTAAGAGTTTATTCAATATTTTTCCTGTCTTAAAAAAAAAAAGTAACCTGACGCAAATACAGTTGTTTTTCCATACAGCATTAATTTCTAGTAAGGCTAACAATGCTATATCCCTTCTGTGTTTCTTACAGATTGTTTTTATTTTTTTGAGCTTTTTGTTTTTGGCCTTGAAGCTTTTCTTAAATAAAAATTTTAAATCGCAGTAAAAAAGCCCCATACAACATAAAATTTGCCATCTAAACCATTTTTAAATGTACACTTCAGTAGTGTTATTTATGTTCACATTGTGTAGACTTCATTTTAAGGCAGGTTTTCTCTAACATTTCTAAGCTGATGTCTGGTACCAGCTTAACAACCCCAGTGGAAAGAGCGACAATTCTAAGACTGGTTTTTATTGGCCCAGATTAGGCCATGTGCCCACACTTAGCTGATTGCCATGGCTGTCATGATCAGCTGAGATTGCAAGAGAGGTGGTCAAAAGGAGAGCAAGGTGCTATTACTGATAAATGGGAAAGTGGGTGTCCCCTGCAGGCAGAGACCTGAGCATGGGTAACTTCTGCAGGGAGGAACTGTTGGGTTCCATGGGAAGTGTGCATGTAAAATGCTGCATAACTCGAGCACCTACTATGTGAGGTGCTGTTCTAGGGTTGTGGTTGTCCAAAAAGGTTCACATTTGCCCTCGTGGAGCTTTCAGCTAGTTGGAGAGAGAAGAGCTGGCCGGAGATGACCAAAATATAGTGTAGAAAGTGGTGAGCACCAGGAGGGTGGATGTTTTTCTTCTAACAACTGGAAATGTAACCAAGTAACCCCATCTTCAGGCCAGAATTCACTGTGGCCCAGATGGTATTGGGTCCAGATAGTATTATGGTAAAACATCCTCTTTTTCCTAGTCATGGGCTCACAACTGTATGCTTTTCAATTAACCAAAATGCACCCCGAGGGGCTCTTTGAGGGGACAAAGACCTTGTTGCCCATGTCCAATCCTGTTCCCTCTTTAAATCCAAGGCCCAGGAGCAGAATGGAGCCCCTGAAATTAAGGGTTGTGGAACAGCAAAGTGAAGGGAAGGGGAGAAACTTGTCCTCGCGTTTTATGGAGGAGATAAGAGTATGGACTATCTGGCTGGCTTTTGCAGCACAGCCAGGTTTTCCAAGAGTGGCATGAGAGAGAGAATGGAAAGAGAGAGGAAAAAGTAGAGTGGCAGAAGAGGAGCTCGAGAGCCTTCCAGCCACCGCATGGTGCAGGGAAACCCTTGCTACCCTCATTTATCCCCCGTCAGGGAGGGCCTCAGTGCCGAGTGCGGCGGAGGATGGATCCCTCCCACTGCCGCAGGTTGCCGGTTGAGGTGAACTGTTTCCACCTGGAGGGAGCTAAGGAAAGAAAGAAGCCTGTACACAAAGTCATACATTCACACAAACAAATGGCGTGCTTCCAAACAAAATTCCCAGTCGAGGGACTGAGTGGAGTTCTGAACCCCCTGCCTCAGCTCCAGATACCTTCACAGGCAGCTGAGTCCCTATAGTGACACAAATGTAAATGCTCAAAATGCCCAAATCGTGCCAGTAGCGGCCAAGTCTGCACAGAATGAAGTCCCAGGATACCCAGAAGAGACAGAAAAAAGTCGGGTACAGTCCAACTTGCTCACCCAGTTTCAAGGTTGCCGGCTTCTTCAGAGGTCACTTTCTTTATACCAGTGAAGCATTGGAGGCAGCAGATGTCGTGCCAGGGGGTGAAAGGGAGGTTTCCCCAAAACAAGAACGTTTTGGCAGCTGCTGAGAAATCCCCTTAACATTCCTATCCTGGAGTCCAGTAGCCAGGAGCAGCTGGTGCTCCCAGGCAGCCCCCGCCTTGCCTGGTGGTGAAACCAGGCTGATAGGCTCAATCGTCCAAAGTGTACTGCAGTCCTCATAGGGGCCACCAAAATTGTAACTGAAATGCAGTTCAGTCACTCGCCACTTGCAGAGTCCAATTAACAAGAGCGAGGTCTGGAATAAAGAAAGTGACTTTATTCCAAAGCTTAGCTTAGGGGAAAAGGTACAGGCTCCTGCCTTTAAAGATAACCACTTCAGTTCCTGGGCAAAAAGCAGGGGCTTTTAAAGGGGTACTTGGCATGAATGCCATGCAGAGGAGGGAGCAAGCAAGTGCAGGGTCTGCATGACTTGCCTTGGTGCCTTACCTACCAGGTGGTCGAGCTGGCACCGTCACGGGCAGAGCTAGGTTGTAAAGTGAGCATTGCTTCAAGATACTCTCCAGTTGGGAGAGAGTTCCCTCTCAGTCACACTTTAGGATGTAAATTGACTGTTGTCTCTAGAGGCAGTCTCCTGGTGGGAAAGTTCTGGATCTGGAGCTTCTAAGTCAGCACATGGATAAGCTTGCTGTGTAGGGAGTGTCTGGTGAAGGGAAGGTAAAGGTTATTGCATTTCTAAAGAGCTAAGTAGGAAATGGGGAACTAGGGAAAAGGAGGAAAGAGGAAAGAAAAAAATAAATTTTTTTAAAAAACCTCATTCTCTTTCGCTTAGAAAAATGGGGATACTGCGTTACAGAGGAGGGGTCAGGAGTGGCTTCCCCGGGTAGTTGGGCTGGGGTGATGCACTGTGATTCCCCACGTGCTGTCCCATCGCTTACTCCCAGCCACTGCTAACACCACCGTCGCTTCAGCTTCCTCCCTCCCCTCCGCAGACCTCCGCCTCCTCCTGGCTGCACCAGAGTGTCTGCCCCCTCGGATGAGCCCACCTTCGGCCCATGGGGAGGGCCTGGAGTCAGGGGGCCCGAGCAGGACAGGTCTGAGGCACCCTCTTCCTCCCGCAGGCCTCTCTCTGGAACGCCTACCCAACTCCATCGCCTCCCGCTTCCGCCTGACAGAGAGGGAGGAGGAAGTGATCACCTGTTTTGAGAGGGCCTCCTGGATCGCTCAGGTGTTCCTGCAGGAATTGGAGAAGGTGAGCTGGAAATAACACCGTGGTAGGAGCTGCTCTCTATTGAGCACCTATGTCTATGGATCCCACTAAACCCATAGGTCACCTGTGTGCTAATTAGAAGAAGTCACCTTCTCTGTCCCCCAAAGACACTCTACTTCATAGTTGGAAAACTCATTATAGTATACTGATTCCACTAGAATGAGACTCTTTACTGGAAAATAGTTTGATAAATGAGTCCATGCCATCCGCTAGGATGTTTAATAGATGAGCTTTAGGAGATTGAATCATTTGCTCACCATTTCTTTCCCTGGCAGGGGTGGAGTCTGCCTGGGTCTTGCAGTTGGACATCCTTCCCTGCTCTCGGTGTCCCAGAAGCTCCTCCCTGGATCCTGTGAGGAAGCAGGATCTTGGGACTCCTTCTCCGAGCCTTTCAGAGGCTGGTAAAAGAGTTGGTCGGCAGGGCTCTGGCAGTTTTCAGATCCCCCTCCCTCCCCACTCCCTGTGGTGGGTCTGGGTTAACTGTCTGCAGGGTATCAAGTACAGGTGGTAGCAGCGTTTGCGATAAGTATCCCAGCCCTCCCCCTTCTGGGAGGCTCTGGTTTATTTTTATGTATTTTTTTACTTTTATTTTTAATTTTTATGCATTTTATTTATTTATTATTATTTTTTAGATGGAGTCTTGCTTGCTTTGTTACCCAGGCTGGAGTTCAGTGGCACGATCTCAGCTCACTGTAACCTCCACCTCCTGGGTTCAAGCGATTCTTCTGCCTCAGCCTTTCGAGTAGCTGGGACTACAGGCGCCTGCCACCGTGCCCTTCTAATTTTTGTATTTTTAGTAGAGACAGGGTTTCACCATGTTGGCCAGGCTGGTTTTGAACTCCTGACCTCAGGTGATCCACCTGCCTCAGCCTCCCAAAGTGCTGGGATTACAGGCCCGTGCCCAGCCTCCATTTTATTCTTTTTCCCTCCGCATCTTAATACTATGCCATGAGGGGCCCTTGGTTCAATGCTAAGGGGACAGGCAACTATATTCAACAGAGATCCTGCTAGCCCTTCTTGAGTGCCTGCTTTTGTGTCAGACACAGCTCCAAGCACTTTACATTCATTCTATAATTTAACCCTCACACTGACTGGATGAAATCGGTCCTGTTGTCATTCCCATTTTACAAGTAAGAAAACAAATTTGAAGAAGAGTTAGCTTCCCAGAGTTTACCTCATTAATAAGTGCTATTGGCAGGATTTGAACCCAGGGAGTGTGGCTGTGAATGCTCGTGGGGAAGATATTGGGGATGATGCTCAGGTATTCTGTGGAAAAGATAATTTAACATGTTAGATGGAAGGTTCTAGAGCAGCATAGATTAGGATTGGTGCCCTGAAGGAGGAGGTGGTCATGGGCCGAGAGACTAAGAGCCCAGGAGACACTTGCACCTCGCCTTCCTTGGCAGATGCCAAAATGTCAGTCCAGTACCCGTTTTTGTGATGGGCCATTTTGGAAGAGTCCACCCCAGGCCAGGTCATTTCCCCTAGAGCAGGATTCTCAACCTCAATGCTGTTGACATTTGGGGCTGGAGAATTCTTTGTTGTTGGTGAGGGCGGGGGGCTGCCGTGTATATTATAGGATGTTCAGCAGCATGCCTAGACTCTCCCCACTATGCCAGTAGCACTATCCCCCTTGTTGTGACAACCAAAAATGTCTTCAGTTACTGGCAACTGTCCCCTGAGGGCAAAGTCACCCCCCTGCTGACAGCCACTGCTCTAGAAGATGTCTGCTTGATTGGACTTTAGGAGGAAAGGAGAAATGACCGATGGGCTCAGCAAATATAGGACTTGAGTGCCCATTCTTTGGCAGAGGCCACTTAAAGGCTCAGCATGGTTGAGTTGACCTCCACCAAGGGGGAATGGGTCACTGCTAGACAGTAGTAGTGTTTTAGGAGCTTTTCATATTTGCATTGCATGTGGTTGGGAGGAAACTTTCATGGAAAAGATAAAGTCTGCTGCTCAGCTGGAAGCCTAGGCTTTGGACTTTCAAAAGGGGATTAAGGCGATGAGCTATAATGCCAGGCACTGTACTGTCCCTGTCAAAGGTCTGATGATGATGTCCAGGGCTGGAATCAGTGCCTGGTAGCAGTGGGCAGACAAATGGGACCCTATAGTTGTTATCTAAGTTGAGGGAGGGCAGGCCACAGAATCTTGTGCATCCTCAGAAATACTGTGTGTCCCTCCTGAGACCCAGTCCTGA
This sequence comes from Homo sapiens, assembly GCF_000001405.40. Classification (NCBI taxonomy): domain Eukaryota; kingdom Metazoa; phylum Chordata; class Mammalia; order Primates; family Hominidae; genus Homo; species Homo sapiens. The sequence continues at coordinate 46,977,322 of NC_000002.12, forward strand.
CCTCTGAGGAACTAAGACCTTCTCTTAAATCTCCTCTGGATTCTGAAAGAGGAGGTGGATGCCTCATTGATTTTTTTTCCCCTCAGATTAGACAAAGGAAATGGTATACAGAAGGCAAGCCTGTCTGGTTGGGCAGGAGGACCCTGTTAGAGCTGAGGCTTTTAAGCAACAGCTCAGTTAATGAGGTAATTGTTCCTCAGCTTTTCCTGGAACCAGAGGGCTCTCAATTCTCTGGATGTTCTGACGTTCCATGCTTGTTTGAGAGGGACAGTACGGTGCCTGGCATATAGCAGGCACTTAGATGTTTGTGGAATGAATTAACTGATACATAGTAGAAATAGCTTGGAATCCATACCTGGCTAGGCTTGAGTTTGAGGTCCGGACTGACACCAGCTTTGTGATCTTAGGCATTAAATTATTATTGATGGATTGATTGGGACAGAGCCTCACTCTTTTGCCCAGGCTGGTCTGGAACTCCTGGCCTCAAGCGATTCTCTTGCCTCGGCCTCCCAAAGTGCTAGGATTATAAACGTGAGCCACCACATCTGTAATTGACACTTTTGACCTTAGACATTTTCTGAGCCTCAGTTTCCTCATCTATAAAATGCAAACAAAACCAGCCCTGTAGGACCGTTGTGAGGCATAAGTAAGATTTGGGCTTGGGTGGCAATTTTCTAAGAGTTTCATTTCCCCTTCTCTTTCCTTAACTGGAGGTGGGGCATGGACAGTAGTGAGACTCAGGAGACACAGCTCCTGTCCTGTGGGAGTGAAGTCTGGTGGGAGCTGAGGTTTGCATACACAGAACAGGGAAGCAGTGCTGCGTGAAGCGGTCTCTCTACCATGTGCTCAGGCAGTGAGTGCTGTCTGGTTGAAGAGTGAGTGCTCAGCATGGTTCTGGACAGACAGAGAAGTCCTCCTGCAGTAGAGGGTAAGAGTGGAGAGGGGAACCTGACTGCCTGGCTCCGCCACCACCTGCCACGTTAGTGGCCTTGGGGCAGGAAGAGACCCTCTCTGTTCTCACCGGTGAAATAGAAATGATGACAGTTCCTACCTAATAGAGCTGCTCTAAGGACTAAATGAGCTAATGAATTTAAAGCTCTGTGATTGTTGAATGAATGTTAGGGGCTTAGTGCAGTGGTTCATGCCTGTAATCCCACCACTTTGGGAGGCTGAGGTGGGAGGATTGCTTAAGCCCAGGAGTTTGAGATCAGCCTGGGCAACATAGTAAGACCCTGTTTCTTAAAAAAAAAAAAAGACAGAGGGCTTGTGGGCATCTAACGGTTGGATGGGGAGAGAATGCTTTAGACATATTTTGAGTTAAAGCGAGTTAGATCAAGCCTGGTCTGAGAATGCAACAATGTGCCCCTGAACAACTGGGACTGGGATGGTGATGAGGCCACCTCCTCTTGCTGAGTGACCCTCTGCCTCAGAACTTTGAGACAATGGCTCTCTCTCTGTTTCCCTTCCCAGACCACAAATAACAGCACGTCGAGGCATCTGAAAGGCTGTCACCCGCTTGACTATGAGCTCACCTACTTCCTGGAAGCTGCCCTCCAGAGCGCCTATGTGAAAAACCTGAAGAAGGGGTAGGTCACTGGTAGTTGAGTGAGTGGGAGAACGATTCCCCTGGGCTGAGGCTTTTGACGTGGCCTTAAGGCTGCTCTCCCTCTTCTCTGGCCTGTGCATACGTGCTCTTCCAAGAGGATTGGTGGGAACTGGCTTGTGTCACATCTTGTCAGACAGGAGTGTGCAGAGACGTTCTTAGTGGGAAGGGCCACGCTTCAGGAAGCCACAGAAGCAATAAAGCCTGTGTGTGCTTGGGGGAGACTGCCAAGAAGAGAAACAGGAGTGGGCATTTCAAGAGGGGAGGGTGGAGGGCATCTGGGAGGTGATGTTGAAAAAGCAAAGGACAGTGAGCTGGCCAGTGGGTCTGGTTTTGTCTACTGTTGTCTGCAGTGTGAATGAAGTTATTTGGTTCCTCTGAGCCTCACGTTCCCCAAAAACCCAATGGGAAGGCAGATTCCTGTTCATTCCGGCTTTTAAGGAGTGGTGAAGGACGAGGGAAAGTATGGTAGAAGTGAAGTTCTGGCGTCACGCTGGGGCTGTGGCTGTCCCTGCTGACGAAGCAGCAGAAGTGCTTGTTTTCCTGTGGGTTGTCTTGAGGTCCCTGGAATACTGGCCTATCTGAGACCTAAGAACCATAGTGCCTGGAATGCCTTCCGTAGGCTTTTGCTCCTGGGTGAAGCAAGACCTGCCTTGTTGAATAGTCGAGGGGGTGGCTGGTGTTAGGCCGGGAGTGGTTGTTTCATGGGGTGTGTTGGGTGGTGGCAGGGGAAGGAGAAGATTCAAGATGAGGAGTGCGTATTGGCAGCAAGTGTCGCTTCATGGCTATTCCGCAACTGGTCCGGTCTGCTGGCAACATCTCCACCAGTCTGGGGACTCCCAGGCGGGAGCTGAGGTTTCCTGCCTGTCTCTGCAGCAGAGGCTTTGGGCCCCTTCCTCTGCGTCATTACAACCTTAGACAGACACAGTGGGCTGGGGCTGGAGGACATCACTGACGAGAGGAGCAGACCCATAGGTGCCAAGCGCAGCCGTCCCCCGTGCGTAGTCACGCCCTGCCTCACTCAGCCTTCCATGGCCATGGGTCAGGCCCAGTAGGTGTGACCACCTCCTCACACACAAGGAAACCAAGGTCAGGGTCACACAGCTTTCTTGTCACTGACTGCCTGGAGTTCTCTGAGGCCTGTGTGCCATTTTTAGTGTGATTTATTTTGTTACATTTCACTTTATGCATTCTTTTCATTACATGCTTTTGAATACATGATTGTTGCATATGGTACTTGTTTAGTAGGATAAAGCAAACTTACTGTTTTCTTCTACCCTATACTCTCTCTCTTTTTTTTTTTTTTTTTTTTTAAAGACAGATCTTACTCTGACATCCAGGCTGGAGTGCAATGGTGTGATCATGGCTCACTGTACCTCCTGCGTTCTGGGCTCAGGTGATCCTCCCACCTCAGCCTCCTGAGTAGCTGGGACAACAGGCATGCACCATCACACCTGGCTAATTTTTTGTAGAGAGGGAGTTGCATTTTGTTGCCCAGGCTGGTCTCAAACTCTTGGACTCAAGTGATCCTCCCGCTTCAGCCTTCTAAAGTGCTGGGATTACAGGCGTGAGCCACTGTGCCTGGCCCTACTTTATACTCAATACAACACAGGTCATTTCTGTGACCAAATGTGGGGTTTTTTCCGCGACTCACAACCAGTTCTCTGACACCAGCTGGGTTTCCAACAATTAAATTCACCTCTGATGCTAACCGTCAGGCTTGATCTGGGCCCTGGCTGGGGCAGGGGAAATGGAAGGAGTCTGGGAGGGGCACAGAGGCTCAGTCCCATGAAAGACTGCCTTCCATAGCAGATACCAGTCACAAATAGCAGGTTCCCAGGTTACCAACAACTTCTGTCTCAACTGGCTACAAATCAGGTTCCCACAACCTCTTCTCAGATCCATAAGTTGCCAGAGCAGCTCATGGAACCCAGGAGAGCAGTTTACTTGCTAGATGACTGGTGTGCAGTACCACGTAAAATGGTACAGCCTAGCCAGGTGGAAGAGGCGCATAGGGCTAGGTATGCGGAAGGCATGCGGAGCGTCCAGGGCCCCTCTGGGTGCACCACTGCCACGTGTCCAGCAACCTGGAAGCTCTCCAAGCCCATGCTTTTGGGTTTTTATGGCTGCTCCATTACGTAGGCATGATGTATTATATCATTGGCCACTGGTGATCAGCTCAACCTTCAGCCCCTCTCTGGCCCTTGACAGAAAAAATTTGCTGATCCCCCCCGCCACTTTAAATAATTACTTTAAACATTTTGATACATCTTTCGTGTTTTTCTATGTGTAGATACACAGATGTATTTTTTTTTTTTAACAACCACAACAAAATAGTATCCTAGAGGACACACTGCTTGTAGCTTGCTCTTTCCACCCAGGCTTGGCTGTGAGCCTCTTTCCTTCCTGCTTATCTCCCTTCCCCACAAAGTTGCTCGATGTGGGGGTCGAGGAGGAGGTGAGCTCAGAGCTATGTGGGGCTGGGCACATAGTGGACTGTGGCAGGTCAGGCTTGATCTGGGCTTTGGTGGGGGCAGGCGAAATGGGAGGAGTCTGGGAGGGGCAGAGAGGGTGGGATGAGGCTGAGGATTGTAGGACAGTAGGAATCTGCAGGAGAGGGTCCATGGCCAAATAAGTTTGGGAAACAATGGATTGAAGACCTCTGAGACTCTCTAGAACCGGAGCCTGAAGTGGGTCATGAATCTCCAGGAGGCGGCAAAGGCCCATGAAGCTGCTGACTGTTCGATGTGGTGCCCTTGTATGGAGTGGGTCTCCAGGTGCTCTGGGACTGCCAGGGGAGCATTCTGACCAAAGCACACCGTTCTGGCCCAGGCAGCTTTTCCATCTAGCAGGTATCCCTGCCCAATGGAGCTGCTTATCAGTAACCTTGAGCTTGAGTTCTCAATTGCCTGGAAGAGAAGGAGGTGGAGTTGTTTGTCCAGAATGTGGAACAGGCTGTGGTGAGGTCACTTCCAGGAGGCAGTGGCTGTGATGACTGCAACAGGCAGGTGGACCTGGGCCTTGGGGAGGCAGTCCTGCCCCAGCAGGACCCTTGACCCAGGGGAGGCCTGTGCCCTTTTCTCTTTCTCTCCACCCTGCCCTTGCGGTTGTGGGGACAGGCACGCACGAGTCCCTATCTTCCAAATGGAAAGAATAGGGTGGAAGGAGCTGGGAGCAGTGGCTCACATCTGTAATCCGAGCACTTTGGGAGGCTGAGGTGGGAGGATCGCTTGAGTCCAGGAGTTTGAGGCCAGCCTGGGCAACATAGGGAGACTTTGTCTCTACAAAAAATAAACAAAACTGGCCAGGCTTAGTGGCATGCACCTGTAGTCTCAGCTACTTGGGAGGCTGAGGTGGGAGGATCATCTGAGCCTGGCAGGCGGAGGTTTCTGTGAGCTGTGATTGTGCCACTGCACTACAGCCTGAGCAGCAGAGTGAGACCCTCTGTCAAGAAAAAAAAAAAAGAATAGGTTGGAAGGGCCCCTACTGGGAAACAGGCTGCCTCCCTTTCTCTCCTCATGCCTGGCAGACAGGAGAGTGAGAACCACAGCTGTGAAGTCAGCACACCTGGGAGCCAATCCCAGCTCTTATGACAAGCCTGTGTGTGCATGGGCAAGTCCCTTGAGCTCTCTGAACCTCTGCTTTCCTTATCTGTAAGCTGGTGGTAAGGACCGTGCCTGCCTTCTCATAGCATTGTTGTGGGGATCAAATTATATGTGAACACCCACCCACCCATCCACCAGGGTGCCTGATAGATCACAGCTGCCTGGAATTCATGCCTGTAATTCCACAGCTTTGGGAAGCTGAGGCAGGAGGATTGCTGGAGCCCACAAGTTTGAGACCAGCCTGGACAACATAGTGAGACCGTCTCTACAAAAAAAAATTATTTTTAATTAGCTGGACATCGTGGTGTGCACCTGTGGTCCTAGCTGCTCGGGAGGCTGAGGTAGGAAGATTGCTTGAGCCCAGGAGATCGAGGCTGCAGTGAGCCATGATCCCACCACTGCACTCCAGCCTGGGCCAACAGAGCAAGACCCTCTCTCAAAAAAATAAATAAATAAATAAAATAAAAATAGAAATAAAGGAAAAGAAAAGGAAAATCAAAGCCAGTATTATCATTTGTTTTATTATTTTTGTGTAGTCCACAGCTGGACAGGCTGCTGGCCCAAATATGAGTCACCTTTTGTTTTCTTTGTGTAATTTCTCAAGTGGTAGGCCAGGGAGGTGGTGGTGTCTCTGTTTGGAATATGTGGATGTGGAGGCTGGGAGACCCGAGGCAGTTCACCTGCAAGGGTAGGGCCTGCCATGGAGTCCTGGGCTGCTTGGACCACTTGTGCCAGAGATGGGGCTGAGGACGGCCCGGGGCACTGAGAAGCACAGCTGCCTCGCTCCACCTCCACCATCTGCTTTTTTGATCCTTTTTCGGTTGCTGAGCTTTGGTTTCAGAGAAACGGTGGCCTGGAGGGCTGGTTCCTGTTTTCATGGCCCGGCAGTTGAAGCTGGAGATCACCACTCCCCCACGGCTGCTGCTTGGAGCGCCCTTGTCTCCCTCTGCCAGTTGTGAGCTCCCAGGGATGAGTCTGGGGGACCCAAAGAGAGGCCGTCCTCAGCTGTGCCTGCAGAGCTCTGTCTGCAGAGATTTGGGAGGAGCAGGGGTCACCACTTTAACTCCTCAGTGACTTATGAAGCCCGGCACGGACCTGGGGCAGTTGTGCCTGTAAGGCAGGGGTGGCCTGCCGCCACTTTTCTTGTAAATAAACTTCTGTTAGAACACAGCCATGCCCCTTCATTTGCATATAATCTCACCACAGACTGGAGTAGCTGCATTTGGGACCTTATGGGAAAGTCTGTAAAATTTGCTGTCTTTATTTGCCCTTTAGAGAAAACAGTTTGCTGACCCCTGCACTACAGAGGTTAAGGAGTCCTCCCTCCCTCCCAAGGACCTGTATAGGCACGAAGGCCAGAGGAGCTGTTCTTATCTATGAAAGCTTCCTGGAGTGGATTTCGTGGGGAGGGGACAGTTCTAATTTCAATACTCTGTCTCCTTTATTCATCCATTTCAGGGATATTTCTTAGGATAATGCATGCCACTTAGGAAGGGCTAAATTCACACCAGGCACTTGCATGTCTGTTAGTCCTCCCAGTATTCCCTGAGGGAAGCACCATATTTAGCATCCCTGCTTCACAGATGGGAAATCGAGGCACGGGGAACAAAAATGACTTGTCCTTGGTAGAGCCAGGATTCTGTGCACAGGGCCCGGCTGACTTTCTTAGCTGGCGGTCTTATCTGATAGGCTACACTGCCCACAGCAGGAATCCTGTTACTGAGCTGAGCCCCTGGGGATGCTCACGCCCTGCAGGTGCTGTGTCCCAGCTTCTGGTTTGAAAACTTTGGTGGGTGCCCTCACCATCTGGAGGAAGTAAGGGTGAGGCCCTGGGGTTGGAGGCCACTCTGTGGCCCTGAACAGGTTCCCCCTCTGCCCCTCTAGTTGGCTTTCTCCCCTCTAAGATGGGGCTTCTGTTTGTCCATGTCCCAGAGGGTGTGAGGGTCCAATGAGAGGGAAGGAATGCAAAACACCTGGAGTATTTTCACAGCTGTTAACTTCCTCTCCATTGAGAGCCCCCCGACAGCCACCTCTAGGGGCTGCCTGCTCCCCTTCCCCACAACTGAATTTTCTGCAGGTATGACTTTAATGTGAACATCAAGGACAGCCAGGAGGGAAAGAGGGAGAGAGACCAGTGGCAGTCATGCTTTGCTTCTGCTGGGGGCCTGGCTGAACCATGTGCTTGGTGTACAGTGCTCTGGGAAGGCCAGGTGACCCCATTCACTAGTGAGGGAGGCTTGGAGAGGTTGAGTCACTTGCCCGAGCTTACCCACTGTGATTCCAGCTTCGGGCCTGAGCGGCCTGGAAACTCATGCCATTTCCAAATTTTGGGGCGTGGAAGGACAGCCTGGGCAGCCCGTGGGTGTGTGGGAGAAGCCAGGGCCTAGTGACAGCGGGGAGCATAGAGCTGATGCACGGTGCGCTGACTCCCACCCCTCTGGGACCCTGAATCACCATTCTCAAAGGATGTCTCCTTGCAGGTGGTCCCACCCTCCCTAGAGCCTGCTTCCCCCTGTCTGCACTCTGTGCTGAGGCCACGCATGAGGGTTGTGGGTCAGTGGGTATGCAGTGCTGCAGTGGGTGGAGGTGTTGACTGACCGTCACCCCCCAGAAAGCCCAAGTGCTTTCAGTCACTTTCTGTTCCTGTAGCTCCACCCCCTCCCTTCCTCTTCTTTCTTCCTGAGGCACATGTTTTGGTCCTTACAGCCAGGATCCTGGCTCCACCCTGCCCCAACCTCACCACCCTGAAGAGGGGTAGAAATTGAGTCATCATTTCTTTTCAAGGAAACAGCCCAAACATTTGAAAGTCTTGAAAGTCTTGGCGTGTAAGTAGCAGTCCCAGGACACGTGGCAGTTACTCAGCCCCTGTGTCTGTTTCCTGTGGCCCATCCAGCCCAGAGGAGCTGGAGTTGCAGCCTGTGTGGCTGGACTGTAAATAATTTCTGTGCACCTTTCCTCATAATTGTGGCTAATATATGTTGAATACTTAATACTTAACTTCATGCCAGGTAGAATGCAAATGCCTTTCTGTATAATCCTGTGATGCAGGAACTAATACAATCCCCATTTTACTGAAGAAAGGAGAGGTTAAGTAACTTGCCCAAAGTCAGAGCTCACAGGTGTAGACCCCATGAGCCTGGTGCTGAAGCTGGGTCTGTCCAGCCCATGGCACCACGCCCAGCACAAAGCCTGCCCATGGCATGTCTACATCAGTGAGCCTGTGTAATACCACATTGTCCCTTGGTCACAGTGATATCCTCGTAGGTGAATCATCAGTTTCAGTATTTTTTTTAAATGCATTTGTTGTTAGGAAGTTAAAAAATAATATAAAGATACCTTAGCCCAGGGTTTCTCAGCCTCAGTACTGCTGATATTTTGAGCCAGATAACTTCATCATGGGACTCTGCTATACATTGTAGGTTTTAGCAACGTCTCTGGCTTCCACCCACTAGATGCCAGGAGCACCATCCCCCCACTCGCCCTGGCCAAGTGTGACACCTGGAAATGGCTCCAGACATTGGCACGTGTCCTGGGTGGGGGCACAGTTGCCCCCAGTGGAGAACCGCTGTCTTAGCTTAAGGTGCTAGAAGCAGAATACCTGTCAGATACTGACGTCAGCTCATCTGCATTCGGGCATCTCTGAATGGTCTGTTAAAGGGCTGTGGAGTCAGGCAGCATTTTCTGCTGGTTACATTCCATCCTGCCCTCCTAGCCTCTTGGGTTGTTTGGGAAGCAGGGAGAAACCCTTCTCGGTGTTCAGGGAGCTTACTACCCCGTGAGGGGAGTCAGGTTTAGGTGACGAAGCCCAGAGAAAGGCCCTCAGTTCCTGTCCTGGGTTGCCTCCCAGTGCCTGCTATGGGCCAGATGCCCCGCCCTCACTGCGGGGTTCGAGCTATGGCCAGGAGGAGGTCCCCTCCCCTCGTGGAGTGACCGTCCCAGAGGGGAGCCTGTGGTGGAGACGGTCAGGCAGTGCTCTGTGCTGGGGGGGAAAGAGGCAGAGAGGTGGGGGTGCTGCCTGGGGTGGGGTGGACCCTGAAGGTGTCTGAGGAGCAGTTCGCCCCAAGGGGCCAAGAGTAGAGCAGAGGTGCTGCAGTTCCTCAGAGTCCCAGGGAGAGGGAGGGATGGTGGAGCCTGCTTCCTGCCTGAGCTCATTCCCACATGGGCCTGGGTGGACCCAGCTGCCAGCGAGACTAAGGAGACCCTGCTGAGAACAGGGTGGGGCCAGATGGCCACAGGCAGTGCCCGCCCCCAGAGTCCGGCTCGTCCCTCCCATTGAGGACTTGACCTAATTTAAAGAGTGTGCTGTTGTCCACTGTGTACGGTGGGTGGCGATTGCTGGACCCCAGACGCTTTCCTTGGAGCTTCAGGAAAGCCTGGGCCTCCCTGTCTCTGGCTAAGCCTGAGACTGCTGCCCAGTTCCTCATCAGAATGTCTGAGGGATGTTAATTTCCTCCAGGAGTCTTGCCCTATTGATTCAGTAGCTGATTCCCCCAGATGGCTCTTGCCCCTTGCTCTGTGGCTGATGACAGGGTTCCTAATTGAGCTAGAACTGAAGGCACAGGCCTGAAAGGACCATCAGGAATTGGGAGGCCCCAGTGCAAAAGAGCCCTCGGTGGGTGGGGGTGGAGGGCGTCTCTTCCCCTCACCGCCACTAGAGGGCAGCCGTGGACTCTGGTTGGAGCCTCGCCCCAGGCAGTTCGGCCACCTGGTTGCCAGAAGGGGGCACCTTTCTGACATGTTTTTTGGGGAGGCGGGCAATGGCTGCTGGGGCCAGGGTCCAGACTATGGGGGAGGCTCCAGAAATGAGCTTGGTTCTCTTTTGCATGAAACAGCTCTAGGGGTGAAGCAGTGGGGGCCTGAAAGGGGAGGGGGACCGTGCAGTGCCAGAGAAGCTGGTTGTCCCTGTCAGTGGCTCTAACTGCACTAGGACAAGTGCCTGGGCATCTCCCAAGGACAAGAATGTGAGCGGACTCTGCTCCTTTACCCAGAGTGGGCAAGAGCCCATTTCTCTCTGAGTTGGTTTTTCCCTTCCTTCCGCCTAGACCTGGCAGCACCTATTCTTTGCTCTGGGTCCAGAGTGAGCTTGGGCCGTGCACATTGAACCAGGTGGGCAGCAGGTTTTGTGCTTGTTCTTTTAATTTTGTTTTAATTAGTAAAGCAACATGTGCTCACTGCACCAAAATCAAACAACAGAGAAGGGAGTGGCTGTGTTTTCTAAGGGAGTTCCCCAGGGCTTTGGCAGGTTGTTCAGGCCGGTGAAAGCACTGTCCCTTTCCGCGCGTGTGTGTGTGTGTGTGTGTGTGTGTGTGTGTGTTTGTGTGTGTCACCTTTCCAGCTGGATGCCGAGTTGGAGAGGCAGCAAAGGCACCTTAGAAAGCCCAGCCTGCTGTTTGGTGTGACCCCCATGAGGGGTTCCATCAGTAATTTTGCCTTGTTCTAGTAGCCACCTGGTATCTGCAGGGCTAGGGGAGGACAGGAGTCAGACTGTTCTCACAAATCTGGGGTTCCAGGGCCACAGTCACCGAACAGCGAAGCTCATTCTGAGAGCCTCCTGGTGCTCTGTGTCATGCTTTGGGGCAGAGGGTAACCTCTGAGGCCCATTCCAGCCTCTCTGAATGCACAGCCTTTGTCTACTCTTAGCACTACCTCCTCAACCTTCCCCACCCCCATCCCCGGCCTCACTAGAAAGGAAGGAGCCCGGCACCTGGATGACATCCTTGGTGCCACAGGAGGGAAATGTCACAGCCCTATTCTGAGGCTGGGGGTGAAGAGGAATCCTCTGTTTGAAACAGAGGATTTGGGTCTGCGACAGGGGTGAACAGTTTGATGACCATTTGAACTTCACCTGACCTTGTCCCCTGATTCACCCGTTCAGCTGTTGGGATCTGCCAACTAGCTATGCTCTTCTGGGTCTTTGACTGGTAACCTTTCATACACAGTTAGCAGTACTGGCCCTGGAATGCGGACATCTGGCCAGGGCCATATGCACTAGTATCTGTTTAGGTTCCATTCAGCCATCAGTTCCATGTAGTTTCTCATTCTCTGTTTCAGCTCAAACCCAGTCTTCCCCAAATATTTTTTTAACACTTACTGTGTGCAGAATACTTGGCTAATCTCTATTGTGAACAGAGCTGATGACCAGGCACTTGGTAGGCAGCTGGCACTTTGTAAAGACTTAGCAAATTGAGTCCCAGGAGTTCTGGAGTTCACATGGCCAGGAAAAGAAAATGTAACCATGCTGGGTCAAGAGACAGGTGTTGTCTTTCTCAGGGGTCTCAGGGTGAAAAGAGAGGAAAATCTGAACCCTTTTGTGCTTGCCGTAAGCCTGCCTCTCCCTTTTGGTAAGTGACAGCCTGGAAAGGCAGGCATCTTCCAGGCTCTTTTTCCTGTTGGAACATAGGGATTTATTTATTCAGTGATCATTTCTTGAGCACCTTCTATGCACCACACATTGTGCTGGTACAGGGATAATGAAGCCTGTCTCCCTCACCAGCCTCATTAGAAGCTGCACGGACTGAGTAAGGTAAAGGAAGGGCTCCGCGAAACGTGTAGCACTGCCTGCTGCCACCTAGGGGACTGGGGAGCTTGCCAGCCGCTTGCACATCCCACCCAGAGGCTCCCCTAAGATGAACCGTGTCCTTGACCCATCATCACACCCACATCTGTCTTTCTGTTCCTGGCCAACCAGGCTTTACTTGACTTGGAATAAATGGCTTCCTGGCTTCTCCCCACGCAGGCTGTTTCTGGGCCAGGGTTTGTTTGAGGCCCTGTTTGGATATTGTTAAAAGTGGGCAGCTTTGCTCAGAAAGGTCAGCATGAGAGACAAGAACAAAGAGATCTTTCAAGCTGGCCTCTGGCAGGGCAGCCAGCAATGGCTCGGAAAAGCCCCAGCTCCACCTGGCACTGGCAGCTTCAGAGCTGGGACGGGATTGCTCAGGCTCATGGCCATCTGCAGAGCCCTGGAGAAGCCCCGTGTGCTTTCTCATTTCTCAGAGGAGTAAGCTGAGGCAGAGGGGCATTCTCAGGTCAGTGTTAGCTGGGACCCCAGATCTCTCCCTGTACAGCCCTGGCCACTGGGACCTCTCTATTTTTTTTTTTTTTTTTCTTGAAGGACATTCAATAAAAATTGGGATTTACCCAAAACATGCCTGAGGGTGATTATTTGGTTTGCAAAAGAATTCCTGGGAGCTTACATGCTAGAGTAAAAAGACACAGCTTTTAGATACAGAATCTTAAGATGCATAATGTGCAGTCCTGATTCTTTAATTGCGTGTGTGTGTGTGTGTGCATCTGTGTGTGTGTGTGTGTGTGCATCTGTGTGTGTGTGTTTTGGAGGGGAGTCTGCATTTCTCCCAAGCTTCCAGGTAATGCCACTCTGCTGGTCCAAGAGCGTTGATGATGTAAAGGCTAAAGGCTGAGCTCATTTGGCAATGCAGAGAGAGGACAGTCCTTGCGGTGGAGTGGGAAGAAGGGGCCACAGTCATTCTTGGCTTTGGCCTCTTGGTAGCAGGTGCCAGGACCTGCCGGCCCCCTGTAGGCCACAGGGCCCTAGGCAGCCCCGGGGTCCAGCCCTCTTCAGCCTGCTGCTGTTGGGCCCAGCTGCCAGGGTTGTCCTAGACTGATGTCCCAGAATCAGCCAGTTCTTTTCTCTTCCTGGAGCTCGTTGAGGTCTGTCCTTTTACTTAGTTTGCTGCAGTCTGTCTTTTTCCTGTCTTCTGGTGGTGGCTGGTGCTGGGCTGTCCCCTTAGCTGGCCTGGCCTGTGGCCTGCTCTCCAGCTCTGGGTTATTTCCTGAGACAGAGGCCTCAGTGGAACCGAAGGAGCTTCTTGTGGGGGGCCCGGGCCTGTCCTTGGGCCTGGCTTATCTACCAGGAATCCTGTTCTTCTGTCCTCTGTGGGGCAGAGGGCTGGTAGGCGGAAGGTGGTCACAAAGCCGAAGGGTCCCTGCAGGCACTTGTGTCCTCTCCCCTACTCATGAGCTCCCAAACTTCCAAACTTTAACATAAGTCAGAACATAAGTCATATGATCTTCAAGACCCAAATTAGAAGGAGAAAGGAAGAGAATATTTAATGAACCTCTGCTACATGCCTGAGTGTGCTTGGGGCCACATGTATGTCATCTTCCTAACAGGACTATGAGGAAATGAAAAGAGACTAGGACTTAGGGAGGCTGCCTCACTTTCCCAAGATTACAGACTTAGGGACTGGCTGCAAAGCTGGGGTTACTGTGTCAGATTGTCCCTTCTGAAGCCCGACTTCTTGAACTAGGAGAACTAGAAGACCCCAGGGCATCCCCTAAACCAGTGGTTCTCGACTTGAGTGTCCATCAGAACCCCCCTGGTGATCTGATAAAGCCCAGATTGCTGGGCCCCACCCCAGGGGTTGGTTGGTTGGTTTGTTTTGAGATAGGGTCTTGCTCTGTTGCCCAGGTTAGAGTGCAGTGATGCGATTTCAGCTCACTGCAACCTCAGCCTCCTAGGTTCAAGCAATTCTCCTGCCTCAGCTTCCCGAATAGCTGGGACTACAGGCACGGGCGCCACCACAGCCTAGTTAATTTTTGTAGTTTTAGTAGAGATGGGATTTTACCATGTTGGCCAGGCTGGTCTTGAACTACTGACCTCAAGTGATCCGCCAGCCTCGGCCTCCCAAAGTGCTGGGATTATAGGCATGAGCCACCACACGTGGCCCACCCCAGAGTTCTTAATTCAGCAGGTCTGGGTGGGGGTCTCAGAATTTGCATTTCTAACAAGTCCCTGGGATACGGACGCTGCTAGTCCAAGTACTACATTTTGAGGCATTCTTGTCTGAATTATCATTTCTGGCCAGGCGTGGTGGTGGCTCATGCCTGTAATCCCAGCACTTTGAGAGGCTGAAGTGGGAGGATCACTTTAGTCCAGGAGTTCGAGACCAGGCTGGGCAACATAGCAAGACCTCATCTCTGCAAATAAAATAAATTATCATTTCTTAGAGTGTGGGACAAGTACTTCTAGTGACACACAATGTGGTTTTAAGTGATGTGCACACTAACTTTTAAAAAATACTTCTGTTATTTCTAAGGGAAGGTGAGTTATTTACTCACCTTAAAAGAAGAAGGAAGATATAAGGAAAAGTACGACATAAATAATAATACCGGTGATAGTATTATTAGGACTAATAGTGGTAAACATGGTGAATGAGGTATGCAGTCTACAGAAGTCTGGGAGACACTGAGCTAAGTGAAGTCTTCATTTTACAGACCTCACCCAGACTTGATGGTCTCTAAGGGGGCTGAGGTTCCCTGTCCTGCTTGCCACTCCCAAGTTTTCAGAGCACTTGGCAGGCTAGCGAAGGTCATCGTAACTCTGATCCTACCCCAGGAGTCTCCATTCTCAACTCTGAAGACAAGGGTCCATCTTGCTTGCGTGTCCTGAGGCCAGAGCTTTCCAGAAGGCAAGGGACTTGATCTGCAAAGGTGTCCTTTCATGGCTCCCAGGCCCCAAAGCCCCCAGGAGCCTGTTTTGTGCATGAAATTGAAGAAGGGGCTTATGTAACTTTCTTGGCTGCCAGCTTTGGCTCTTCACCCTCTGTGATCTTAATTTTTCTGAATTCGCCAGCCCAGCAGCCTCTGCTTTCCCTTGTGTGGTGTGATCCGGGGAACCCCCTGAGTGGATGAGCAGGGCAGCCCTTACACTTTCCTGAGCATGTGCTACGTGGCAGGAGCTGCTGGGTGGAGCTTTAGAAACACGGGAGCGATGCGCCTGGCCCTCAGGTGGCCACAGTGTGCGAGGGTCAGACCTGCAGGTAGAAAATGACCTTGAGTGGTTTTACTTGCTTCAGAAGAGGAATTAACAGGCAGGGCAGCATGGGGAGGGGTCTGGGGAGGCTTCATGGAGGAGGTGACATTGGAACTTGCTTTTGAAGGATGAAGTGGGGAAAGGCCACGTAAGGCAGTGGAAGAAGCCAGTGCCGAGACTTGATATAGGGGACTGCGGTCATTCAGAAAGGACTTGCTTGAGTGCTGGGGGCTGAGGTGGGAGAAAGGTGAGGGGCAGGCCCCACAGCCTCAGGAAGCTACGCTGAGGGCTTATTCTGTGAGCCCTGGGGCCACTGTAGGGCTGGACTTGAGAGGATCCAGGTGACCTTCCTGCATCCACTAGACCCCCAAGGCGCAGTGGGAGCAGTTTTTCACATTGTGGGCCACAGCCTGTTAGTGGGAATGCAAGATCTATTTAGTGGGCTGCAGCCAGCATGTTACAAAATGGGGGTAGAGGTAGAAGGAAAATGGAAAACCTCAGTGTTGATTGCACATAGGAGAGATGGGTATTTTGTCGAGAAACTTCGGTTTTATGTCAGGGAAGTGTATGTGGGTAATGGGTTGCCATGTAAGATGTATTTGTCACTATGGCTCACACTTTTAAAAGCTTGAAAACTATTTCAAGGCACAGAGGCTGACTGAAAGTGGCGAGACTGGCTGGTGTGGTCATCAAGGCCCAAGGTGAGGCAGGCCAGCCTGGGGCCATGGTACTGGGGACAGAGAGGGGAGGATGGAATCCAGCATCAATCGGATACAGCAAGTGAAGCTGGAGAATTTGAGACTGACTGAGGTCAGAAAGTCTGACACCAGCCCAAGGCTCTTAGTCCAAGGTCACACCTTGTTTGAGATACTCAATCTTGGTACCCCTTTGGTGGTAAACCGGAAGCCCAAGTTGCTGGGGGGAAAGAGGGAAAGGGACTAGGGGAAAAGGGATCCTCCCTCCTTTTTGTTGATGTCCTGGGCCTCTAAAGTCCTGGTGTTACAACTCTAACTTTTCACTCCAGTTATCGAATGTGTTCAAATAAAACTCCAGCAGTCAGCTCCTCCTGGGGTCTGCTGGTGTGCTGAGAGCATCCTTCTTTGCGAGCTAGGCTGGTAACAAATCTACTTCTGCCGTCCTCCCACCAGGAACATCGTGAAGGGCATGAGAGAGCTCCGGGAGGTGCTGCGGACTGTGGAGACCAAAGCAACTCAGAACTTCAAAGTGGTAATGTGGGGTGCTGGCAGTGCTGGCTTATTTAGGAGTCAGCTTTGGTGGGAGACAACAGAAGTCCTTGCAGGGAGCCTGTGAAGCAGGGGTGGCAGTAGGTCTCCTGCCTGCTTGTGGCAGAGGTTGGTAATCAATCTCAGCATCCTTTCCCACGCAGCCAGGGAGGTGCGGCCTCTTTCCCCCCGCGGCATTGCAGATAGTCCCTCATGTTAAATCAGATTTCAGATCTACTGCCAGCGCTTCCCTGGGCAAACTGTGTTGACAAACTTGCTACCACCACTAGCAAGGTGCTATGCGAACTTTTAGGGATTTGTTTATGATCCTAATAAACAGCATTGACCCTGCTTGCCTGCCCCAACACAGGCCTGCCCTCCTAGTCCTTAGTTTGTCCAAACCAGAGAGCCACAGCTGCTTCTTATGCTATAATTCTCCATCGAATATCAGAAAGGCACCTGAGAGAGAGAGAGCTGCCCATGCCTGTGGCATTATGCTCTTCCCAATACTGCAAGGTCCTGCTGAATACTCAGAGTGGGGCTGGGCTCCAAGGGGTCAGGAGAGGGAGGAAATGCTCCTCTTGTCTAGGAGAGGAGAGAAGAGAAAAGATGAGGTAGGAGCCGTCTGAGGCCAGCAGAGGGGTGGGAGCGCCAGTGTTGGAGGGACTGAAGGAGCAAGGGGGCTCCTTGGGAGTGGGGTTGGGGAGTTTACCCAAAGGGCCGCACATTGCAAGCGGGGCAGATTTAGCTGGGATGGGCAGAGGGCGTTCTAGGTCATGCTGGGGTAGAGCTGACAACTGTGCCTGGGTCCGAGTGCTTCCCTCTCTGCCAGATGGCGGCCAAGCACCTGGCGGGGGTCCTGCTGCACTCCCTGAGTGAGGAGTGCTACTGGAGCCCCCTGTCCCACCCTCTGCCTGAGTTCATGGGCAAGGAGGAGAGTTCTTTCGCCACTCAGGCCCTGCGGAAACCTCACCTCTATGAAGGAGACAAGTAAGTTCTGCCTGCCCTGCTGCACCTTGCCAGTCTCACATCTCACGCAGGGTTCTGTCCCCACTGGTGGCTTCCTCTTTGCCCCATGCTCTCCTCCAGTCTCCACTCAGCACACTGCCAGCCAGCCTCCTCAGTCTCAGCAGGAGCCAGATGAACTAGAGAAGGCAGGTGTTGGGGTCCAGGTTGTGGAGATAATCCTATAAGGCACTCGGAGACCAAAGAAATCATTTAGAAGTTACCTGTCTTCCCAGTAGTCTTGTCTGATACACCTCTCTCTCGCTTGTGCCATTCATCGAAGGTGCGGTCTGTAGCCAACCAGCAGAGCGTAGTTCTGGCTTCTCCCTGCTTCTTGCCCCAGCCATTCCCTGCAGTGCTGGTGCTGGGAGGAATGTTTCCTCCCTGGGAGAATCCGTACTATTCCAGCCCAGCAGCCACCACCCACCGCAGCCTTTCAGATCCATAACTCTGGGGCATATGGTATCCGGTGCCCATGAATTATGCAGGAAGAGGTCACCTTACCGAGCTGGTGCTGACTCTGGGGCAGAAGGCTGGCATGGTGGGTCAGTGGTGCTGTCTGGTGAGGTGTGTGCTCTAGCCAGGCCTGTCATTGGTGTCTTTCAGCCTCTACTGCCCCAAGGACAACATCGAGGAAGCCCTCCTGCTCCTCCTCATCAGCGAATCCATGGTAAGCTCCAGGATGTCCTTCAGGGGCCTCTGGCCCTCTGACCCTGTGGGGAAGGGCTGTGGGGCCCAGGTACAGGCCACCCGTGACCTAGCCAAACTCTGTCTCCCAGGGATACTCCTAAAGTAGATGCTTCTTGGCCCTGGGCCCCCATACAGCAAGTCTTGCTCATTAGGTTTGGAATTGGCTGTCGAAGGCTTCATTTGGAGGCCTGCGTTCTGCCCCCAAATAAGTAGAGACTGAGTGCCTAAGTCCCCACCCACCTCTTTTGGGATTAAAAAGATGATCATCAACAAGGTCACAGTAAAATGTTACATAGCTGTGTGTTGGGTGCTGTGACAGATTTGAGAACATGGCAGGTAGGGAATGGAAGGAATGTGTACTTTGGAGTCAGAAAGCATGGAATCAGGTTCCAGTTCTGCGTGTTAGTTGAGGGCTGGGGCACATCACTTATTTTCTCTGAGCCTCCGTTTTCTCCCCTGTAATATAACAATACTCACAAAGGTAAGTGTGCCTATGGAAGGAGTTCATTTATTCACGCAACAGCTATTTATTGAGCATCTACTTTGTGCCAGACCCTGCTCTAGACACCAGAGATGCCGCAGCAAACAAAATGGAGAAAAGTCCTTTCCCTCGTGGAGCTTACATTCTAGTAAAGGGAAGCAGGCAGTAAATTAATCAAAAACTACAATATGCAGGATGTCCACGCGTGAATGCTATGGGAAAAGAACACAGAGGAGAAGACAAATCGTGCTAGACAAAGCACACATGAAGTTGGCTGTTTAGACTTTTCTACAGGACCCATTGCTCATGTCCTGGGCAGGAAGATGAGGCAAACACAAGCACGTGGATGCACGCACACACTCGTGCTTGCACACATATGGTGGCCATGGTACCAAGGAATGTTTGCCCAGGGCCAAGCACTTTGGGTGCTCAGCAAAGGAGAGTGCACTGTGGCTGTGTGGTTGAGGAGGTGGTAAGATGAAGGATGGACTGGACTGGTCCAAAGGGGGCACAGGAAGAGTGGGGCAGGAGCATCAGAAGCCAAGCACACAGGAGTCATCTACATGGTCAGGTCCAAGTCCTCCGACCAAGGGGCCCATCAGAGCTGGTGAGCTGGGAACCACCAGGTTGAGAAATAGGTTTTTAAAAAAACGACGCATCTGAGAGCAGTGTATGGATATGGAGGTTAAGAAACCAAGATCCCGTGAGCTGGATCCCTGAACAGCCAGAAGTGAATGTTCCCTTGGATGCCTGGGACCATGCGATGCCAGGGCTTGCTTAGATAGCGTTGGTAATCAGATTGCCTCTGGTGCCTCAGGCCTCCCAGCAAATAGGAGCAGGCGCTGGCCTGTGGGGCAGAGGGATTGCATCCTGCCTCAGCTGGGGCTGGTCCATGTTGGATCTGAGAGTTTCTGTGTAGGGTGTGGATATTTGGATGGGAGTGCCAGCTGGCCAGGGTGTTGCCCTAAAATGTTTGCCTGTGAGGTGGGTAAGTGGTTGCCCAGGGGAGGGGCCATCTCGCTGGTTAGCAGCTGTGGAGATACAGGGACCATGTGCCACATCTGATTTTCATGGGAGAACAGTGTGCTTTTTACTTTTTAAAATGGGCCCTTACTCTGACCACAGACTGAATCCTAGTTTTGAAATATGGAACCCCAGATGCAGACCAGTATTCCCATCCCCTCTCCGCCATTTCACCACGTTCACCCTCCAGTGAGACTGCCCTGGAATCATCTGTCTGGAAACACAGAGTTTTTTTTGTGGTGGTTGTTGTTGTTGTTGTTGTTGTTGTTTTTTGAGACAGAGTCTCCCTTTATCGTTCAGACTGGAGTGCAGTGGTGCGATCCTGGCTCACTGCAACCTCTGTCTCCCAGGTTAAAGCGATTCTTCTGTCTCAGCTTCCCGAGTGGCTTGGATTACAGGTGCGCGCCACCACACCTGGCTGATTTTTGTATTTTTAGTAGAGACGGGGTTTCACCATGTTGACCAGGCCAGTCATGAACTCTTGACCTCAGGTGATCCACCTGCCTCAGCCTCCCAAAGTGCTGGGATTACAGGCATGAGCCACTGTGCCCGGCCTAAACACCGGTTATTTTGTGGCCTTTGTGTACTGAGGCTTCCAGTGCAATTTACAGGTAGGTGGTGAAAGGCTGGAAACGGGGTCGTCTGTTAGGTCCTTTCTCAGCTAGGGAGGTTCCAAGCTGATTAGGTGCGCATTATGTTGAGTCATATGAAATTGCCAATTTTCAATTGTTTATGACCTGCAAAAACAACAGTTTCATATAGTTCAGTCTAATACTGTATGTTCCCATCTTACAGATGACAAAAGTGAGGTCCAGGACAGGTATGGCTGTTGGTCAAGGTCATATACTAATAAGCCTTGAAGCCATGACTCGAACATGTCCTTCTCCCTCAGCAGTTTCCAAGCCCCAGGACGCAGGGCTCCTGGACTTCCATCCTGGTACTTCCCTTGCCCACTGCTCTAATCCTTGTTCTTAAGTGTAAAAGGCCAAGGAGGTGACTTTGGGGATCAGAGGGCTTTGTAAAAGGGACAAGCCTGTCAGGGTGAGGATGGTCATAATTTTTCTCCTGGTAGGAGTGAAGCTGAGCTCTGTCTTCCCAAGTCATTTTCTGTAGCCTCTGCTTGATCTGAGTCCTCAGGACAGAGTTCAGATGCCTTTCAGTTAAGGCTGTCCACCCACCCCCAAACCCTCCAAGTGGAGAATGGCCTTTTACAGAAACATGGCCCGTGCTTGGAGCCAGGTGGGTTTTCCTGAGTATGCGATCTCCTCCAAGCAGCTCTTTCCCTTTTGTAAGACAGTGTGGCTGGCAGCCTGCCTCAGAGACTAGGGGTTATGGGGTGGGTGAGTCTGGGTTGGCTGGCCAGGTGGTGTCCTGGGAGATTCCCTGTGGCATAGGAAACAGAGGCACTGCCCAGACGCTGTTTGCACTGAGGCTGGGAGGAGGCACCTCTTGTGGGGTTGGCTGGTTTGTTTCCCCTTACGCACACCCAGCCTGTTAGACATTCAGAAACTTGAGGGATTTGGGGGAGAGTATTGGCAATGAACTTAGTTTTAGTGTTTCATCTGCAGTGACCTTTCCCCCGGCTGCTGGATCTGGCCTCTGTGGCTGGGAATGGTTTCTCTAAGTGGCCAGACCTGCCTTTTCTCCTGCCTTTGTTTTAAATTCTCCTTCCCTCCAATCTCATTCTTGATCAGTGAGAGGACTAGGGTATGGGTTCCACTCTACCAGCCTCCCAAGCTCCTGCCCTGATACCTCTCAGCTGAACCCCAAGGCTCCATGTACCTGCAGGGTTTTCCTCATCCCGCTTTGATGTTGGCTGGGTTTGGCTACAAATGATGGGCTTGGGGAGAAACCTCTAGAACAGCAGCTGGTGACCTTGGCTGCTACTTAGGTTCTCCTAATACCTGCAGAATGCATTATGCTGCAGTGAAAGCTTTTTCCACAGAGCCAACCCAGGAGGCATCATCATCATTGCTTCCACCTCCAGGACATCCAGAGCAGCTGCTGCAGGAAACGGTGTTTGCAGGCCTCCTTGTTTTGTGGTTTGGAACTCAGGAGTGGCTGTGTGGTGTGGGGCTGCTACCTTGGATATGGTTTTTATTACAAGCTGACTATGTGCGATCAGAATGAATGAGGGAGACCTTGTCTTTCAAGAGGTAAATAGAAACCTTACTAATGCTTTCACAGGAATGCAAGGAGGATATAAGATATAACTGGTTGAAGATGATTTCTGTTTTGGACCTAGTTTTGGGTCTTCGGAGCCAAAATGACATTTAAAAATCCACATACTTATCATTGATTCATTCATATATCGATCACCGACCCACTTTACCATTTATCCTTCTGGCCATCTACCCTCCCATCATTTCTGCATCCGCCCATCCTCCTACCCACCATTCATTCGTCCACTTATTAATCCATTCATCTACCATCCATCCATCCACCCATTAATCCATTCATCCACCATCCATCCATCCACCCATTCATTCATCCGTCTACCCACCCACCCACCAACCATGCATCCCCCTACCTATTCATCCATTTATCCATCCACCTCCCATTCATCCGTCCACCCTTTCCTCCATCCATCTACCCACCATTCATCTGTCCACCTATTCATCCACCTATCATTCATCCATCCACCCATCATTCCATCCATCCCCCATTCATCCATCCAGCCACCTACCAACCCTGCATCTACCTACCCATTCATCCATTCATCTGTCTATCCACCCACCATGTATCCATCTAATCTTATTCAAGGAGCTACAGCATGCGGGACCATGCTCAGCAATGTAAAGACAACGATTAACAGTTCAATCATAGTTCCTGTCCCAAATGGACTCCCATCTACTGCAGTTTGTACCCAGGGATGTGGAGGAAACCCTGGTCCCCAAATCAGAAGGAATGACCCCAGCCTGCTGAACCTCAAACGTAAATTCTTGTTTTTGAAAGAACCGTGTATCAAACCAGCCTGATTTTCTGAGACAGCTGGGGAACTAGGAGATACAGGAATCTTTCTTATTTCTGAAATACTGATCTGGGGCATAAAAATATGTGCTAAAGTAAACTGAACCCTTGGATCCCTGTTTCATTCAGCTGGCGAACAAGTTGCTGCTGTTAGAAATGGAAAGGGTACAGAGCCCTGGTGTTGAGAGTGGGGTGGATAGGTAAGTCTCTGGGTCCTGGGACTCTGCAGATTAACAGACTTTGTGCCATGCCCAATGCTGGGCATCTGGCTGTTTGAATCTTGAATTTACCATTCACAATCTGTGTGGCCTGGTTGAGCTTCTTACCACCCTGAGCCTCGGTTTTCTCATCTGTAAAATGGAGCTAATAAGATCTTTCTTGTATGACTTTGGTGAATTAAATAAGAAAATGAATGTGAAGTGCCTGGTACATTTTGGTTGTTCAATATGTCCTGATAAATTTCCTCATTCTGTCCTGATAAATACTTGATTCTGACTTAGTCATTTTTGAAAATGTTCAGGTCTGATTGGGAGATAAACTGGATTAAGGGTGCCATTCAGTTAAAAAAAAAAAAAAAAGTGCTTCCTGGGCTTGATTCCATTAGGGATTCAGCAGATGAGCACAGATTGTTTCAGCTTTTGGGATCTGGTTTGTTCTAACACAAGGCCCTGCTCTGCTGAAGGCTGAAGCGGTGAAGGGTCTGATAACACTGCCAGCTTAGAGCCCTTGGTTCAGTGGAGGTGGGAGAGCCTCTCTCTCTAACCGGCAGAAAGAGCTGTTTTTTCTGCTGCAGGAACCTGACGCAGCAGGAGCTCGGAGGCTGGCGTGGGCCTGGCCTGGGTCGCTGGGTGGATGGAACATGTCACAGAGCATGTTATTTCTTGGCTCTGTGGACTGGCAGCTCGAGAGCCAGTGGTAATTATGTCTGCTGGTGGGGACGACAGCACAGGGGGAGCATGACAGTGTCCTCCAGGGAGGGGGCAGGTGCTGGGTACAGATACTGCCAGGAGACTTGTTTCTGGGGTAGTTTTGCGGGGGCTGAGGGTGGCAGCAACAGGCCCTGAGCCTTGTTCCTTGGCCAATGGAGAGCCTGTTTTTGAGAATGCGGTTGATCAGGGCCTTGGACTTGTTGCCCAGGGAGCATGTTCTTTGCAGAGAAGCAGCACCCAGGGCCTGATGGGAGAAGCCTGGCCTTGTGTTTTGCTTCAGTTCTTTTATAAGCAGAGCCAGCCCAGGGTCTCTTATGGCACGGATGAGGCTATTGGGCACTTCCTCGGAGGTACCTGGAGGCACAGAAGGAGCCAGGAGTGAAGTCAGAATGTCTGGGCTCTAATTTAGGTCCCAACCCCCTGTCTTGTATGCATTGGAAAGCTTACCTGGCCTCCCTTAGTCTTCTCATCTGTAAAATAGGCTGAGAGTACACAGAAGATTATTGTGAGCATTGTGAGATGCCGTACAGAACATGCTCCACATGGTAGTTTCCTTTCCTTCTCTTAGACTGGAGCCCTGTTTATGTCCAGGGTTAGAGAGGAGAAACAGGGCTGGGCAGAGGGAGAGGTTAGTGCTGCCTGTGGCCCTGCAGCCACCAAAGGATCAGGACTAGTCTTGTATCTTACTAGGTTGGAAAAAGCTGGCAGAGGAGCCCCCAGGCAGCTAGAGCTCAGGCAAGCAGCAGCAGTCCCAGACTGGCCGACTGAGGGAATGGGGGGTGGTTCAGCCTCAGCTCCCTGGGACCTTATGCAAGGTAGTTCATCTTCTGGGGCTCAGTGTCCTCATCTGCAGAGGGTGGGGGGTGGTCAGTGGTTTCATCCCTGCCCAGGGTTACTGTGAGGCCAGATGAGACGGTGGATGTGACAATTCAGCTTCTAAAGGAGTAATGCAGGCCGGGAGCGGTGGCTCACGCCTGTAATCCCAGCACTTTGGGAGGCCGAGGCGGGCGGATCACTTGAGGTCAGGGGTTCAAGACCAACCTAGCCAACATGGTGAAGCCCCGTCTCTACTAGAAATACAAAAAAATTAGCCAGGCGTGGTGGTGGGTGCCTGTAATCCCAACTACTTGGGAGGCTGAGGCAGGAAAATTGCTTGAACCCAGGAGGCGGAGGTTGCAGTGAGCCGAGACCACACCACTGCTCTCCAACCTGGGCAACAAGAGCGAGACTCTGTCTCAAAAAAAAAAAAAAAAAAAAGAGTAATGCATGTCACACGCATAGGGCTGGCTGTTTGACCAAGAGTAGTCCCTGCCTTGGGTTTCTCATGGGCCAGCCTGCCTGAGGCCTTTCCCTAAGGTCCCATGTTTGCTTCATGGATACTTGGTCAAAGACCAGAAATGTGTTATGCTAGCAGTGCTGAGCTGTTGGGTGATGGGTGTATGGGGACTAGCGTTGTTTCTTTGGCTTCTCCTCTTCTGACCTGCCAGAAGGCTTGCAGTGAATGTTCTTTAATTGAGGAGGGGCTACCCTAGGAGAACAGCCGGAAGGACAAAGGCTAGGAGCAGGACAACTACACAAGCCCTAGGTTTAAATCCTGGGATTAAATGCATGGATTAAACGGAGCAGTGCATCCCCAGCGCTGGGCAGCCTTGGGGTGGGTGTGGGGGTTATGGCAGTGCACACTAGGCAGGGAGAAACCAGAGGAGAACATTCTGCCATTATTCTAAGAACAGTGAGGAAGAGACGGTGAGAAGATTTAATGTTCATGTATTACTTTAAGGGTCACAAGTGCATTCACATCTGTTACTGCATTTGATCTAGAGGATTTTCTAATGAAAGAAAGCAGGATTCTGAGGCCACTTCAATGGTGGAAGGGAAAGAGTGTGGCTGGGACTAGGTCAGAGCTACTCCCAGAGCATGGGGGTACACCATGTGGCCTGAGGGCAGTGAGCCAGGGAGGAGGGAGCAGGACAGCTGGGGGTGCTGGGAAGGAACTGATGCTCCCATAGTGTCTGAGGCCCTGGCCTCAGAGGCTAGCCCTGGCCCCTGAGCTGCACATTAATTCTGTTCTGCTGTGGCTTACCCACCAGCCCCCATGCCTGCCTTTTCTCTGTCCCATTTCCCCCTACCCCTCCCTGTTGCCATGGTTACACACACAGGCACTGCCCAGCAACCACCAGGAATATTTCACTTCGGCCCTGCCCCAAAGCCATAGTAACCACTCAGCCCACTTCTGCTTCTGGCTGGGGAATCACAGCCCTCTCTTGCACAGGCCCCAGTTCGCACCAGTCCCTAGGACCCCCAGGGAGCCTTCCTGGCTGCCTGCCTATTGAGGGCCTATCACCAGCCTGAGGATTTGTGCTGCTGCTGCTGCCGCTGCTGCTAGTATGCTCCTCTCTTCTGTTCCTATTCTTCTGACCTAATTAACGCCCGGTTCTGAAAATCCACCCCTCCCTCTGCCAGACACAAATTCAGACACTGTTCTCTTAAAGGTCAAGGTCTAGGGTGGACAGGGGGAGGTTTCCACTCCAGGCCCAGAGTCTTTCTCTCCTGAGTGTCACACCCTGCAGGTTGAGTCAAGTTCTGTGCGTGAGGCTGTGCCTGGGGCCAGGAGTCTAGCCATGAGCAAGAACTGGTGAACCAGACGGGGGCATGTGAGCTGAGGCATGGGCTGGGTTGGGGGAGGACAGGAGAGGCCTGACCTCTCCTGGTGAGATGAGTTAGGGATGGTGCTGTAAGAGGGTGGTCCTGAATGGGGTTGTGAGGAGGTAGAAGGTGTCCAGGTTGATAGAGGGAACTGCAGCATGACCGAAGATGGGCCATGGTGACTGTAGGGACCAGCAAGGGGTTCCATGTCACTGGAGAGAAGCCCGCCAGTTAGGCTGCCCCAGAAAGGAGTTTAGATTTTATCCTGATGGCCATAGTGATGGCTCGCAGCCCACTATCCCCTGAACAAGATTGGTCTGCACAGACAGGCAGGAGGGTCCCCAGACCCTGGATGTGCCCAGCCAAGCTTCTTCCCACCCCTGCAGACTGCCTGGCTCCACCCGCTCCCATCATAACCTCTTGCTTCCACCAGAATTCCAGGTCAGCCTCCACTCGGGGATGTGCATCCTATAATGCTGCTCCTTCCTGTTCTCCCCATGGGCAGGGCCTCTGTGCCCCCGTCCTCTCACACCCGAGCCACTCTTGCCTGTTGGAGGCCGCCCCTGTGGGTCCCCACCCTGGGTGGCCAGAGCTGGGGAGCTGCTGGAGGTGGTGGAGTGGGTCAGTACATCGCCGGGGACAGAACGAGGGCTGTATTCCTAGTTGGCTCAGGGGACTAGCTCCTGCCAACCCTCTCCCTAGAATTTCTTCTCTCTTCCTGTTGGTGGCTGTGTGGGTGGACTTCACTGGGAAGGAGGGGGATTTCTTGGCACCTTCTTTCTCCACTCCTCTCCTTCAACCCTTTGGAGCTCCTGAGTGGCTCCTGTTCCACAGGCTGACTCCAGAGCTCAGCCTTGCCGGGATTTCCGGGCATCCCGGCACCCTCTCCTGGGCCATCTAAGTCCATGGGGGCATGGGCAGCACTCACCAACTGTGGCAACAGGGCAGCCATCAGAACCCCTGGCCACCAGTCTCTCAGTGACTGAGCTGTCCCCCAGGGTGAGTCACTTCCTTGGGTCTTGGAGGTGTTTTGGCTTCCAGAGGCTTCTGGGAGGACTCCCTCCAGCCCTGCGCTGCAGGACACACCCAGAGCCTGTGGTCTGGAGGCCTCAGGGGCTTGGGCTTCTGCCTCCAGCGCCTCACCTGGAGGAGGGGAGAGCAGTCCTGCCCAAGGGAAGCTGTGAGGCCCACTTGCTGCATAGGAGGGATGGGGTAGCTCTGATGAGGGAGATCTGGGTTTTTAGGGCTGGCAGCTCCTTTTTATTCGGTTAGGAAGGCTGAGTCCTTGGTCTTGAGGTCCTGTGTATGGAAGCAGAGGAGGGCAAGTACTATTGTACAGAAGGAGGCTCAGACAGAGGGAGGGAGATGCAGGAGAGAGCCCCATTTGGCAGAGGGGAATGAGCAGGAGAAGGGAGGATGCTGGGGGCGGCCCCCAGCAGCATCTGCCCAGAACACAGCTCTGCCCAGCTCCCGCACAGCCCTTGGAGTGGGGGTGGATATGTTACCATTTCTGGCCCCAGAGTGTCCTCTGCCTAAGTCCCTGCCCTGTGGCTGCTTGGAGGCCCCCATGACTCCTGCAGCTGAGGAGCTTCTCCCTTTCCACCTTTTGCCCCCAGCCTGCGTGTTGCCCCCAGGGTATAGAGGTGGGCAGAGGGGTGGGACTATCTGCACATACCAAAGAACACAAGAGTCCCACATCCTTGATGGGGAGCTTCTGGCTTGGTGATGAGGAGCTCCCCTCTTGGAATTAGACAGAATTTCCCGCTCATACAGCACCTTTCCCTCTCCTACCGCCACCCCCAGCAGCCATCTGGCAACTCTGTGAGCTACTGAAATCCTCGGCGCTGGACGCCAAGAGCAGAGTTCTTGAGTGTGGGGAAGCTCTCCCTGGGGAGGGACGGAGGAGAGTTTCCATGGTTGGAAGGAGCCAGGAGAGGGTCCGGGCTGGACACAGAGAGGAAGGGAGGGGGGGGCTCTGGGAATGTCGTTGTCAAAGCTACTTGAGAGGCTGAAGAGGAAGAGAAGAGGGCACTGGGGGCCACAGCCCAACCTCCCCACCAAGAGTCAAGCAGCAGAGCCACCTACCCAATCCAGGCACTTTCACATCTTAGCCAAAACTCTTGCTGTAATTGTGAGAATTGCAAACACACCAGGGACTGTTCCATAAAACGACTGGCCTGTGCTCCTCAAAAATGCCAGTGTCATGAGAGAGAAAGGTGGAGGGCCGCTTCCAGATACAGGGAGATTAAAGAGACATGGCACCTGAATACAAGGTATGATCCTGGACTGGATCCTGGACAATAATAGTTATATAGAGAGAGGAACATTGAGGAAGGGTTTTCGGTTATGAGACTATTCTTGCAACTTTTCTGTAGGCTTGAAATTTTGTAGAATAACAAATTGAATACCAGAAGCTTGACCCCTCAGAACTGCTCCCTCACCTAAACTGGGCTAAGGGTGAAGGATTTTCTCTCTTGGAGAGGGCCTTTGTGGAGATAGGAAAAGGCCATTTCTGGGAGTGTGGCCATCTTTCTGGCTTGGGGCAGTGGCAAAAAGGTGATAGCGGCTGGGCCAGCAAGGTGGGGGCCCTGCGAAGACAGACACCTGCTTATCTACTCTCCTCACTCTTTCCCAAACAATGTCCCACCCACAGGCAACTCGAGATGTGGTGCTGAGCCGGGTGCCGGAGCAGGAGGAGGACCGGACAGTGAGCTTGCAGAATGCCGCAGCCATCTATGACCTCCTGAGCATCACGTTGGGCAGAAGGGGACAGTACGTCATGCTCTCGGAGGTACGGCCGGCCATGCAGCCCACCCCACTCTCCGGAGTCAGGTGGTCTGTAAAGGAAATCAGACAGAGCCATTTGTCCCTTCTCCACCTGTCATTCCCCTGCCAGGCTGCTCTGCCGCTTTGACCTCGGCAAGTTGTACAAGTCTCAGCTTCCTCATTGGTGAAATATGGGTAGTTAGAGAACCCACCTGACAAGGTTGTTGGGGAGAGTGCATGTGAAAGGCTGAGAACAGTGCCATGCACAGTAATAATAAATGTTCGCTGCTATTTTTATTACATGTCTACGTTTTGAAAGCACTTTCACAAATCTTATTCCATTTGCTCTTTGCCATCACCCTGTGAGATCATTCACATGTTAAGGAGGTGAACTGAGGGCCTGAGAGGGTGAGAGACTTGAGTAGGGTCACACAGCAAGCCAGGGGCAGGAACTGGGTTTCGGCAGGGTGTCTCCCAGGAGCCAAGTGCGGGCCTCCTGCAGCCTCCCAAAAGCGGTGACTTGGGCAGTAACTACCCTGGAAGGGTGCGGATGGCTGGGGTGGGAGGACCCCTGGTGGGTAAATGCTGACTATCTCCCCTCCCCAGTGCCTGGAGCGAGCCATGAAGTTTGCGTTTGGAGAATTTCACCTTTGGTACCAGGTGGCCCTCTCCATGGTGGCTTGTGGGAAGGTAAGGCCCAGGGGGCGCTAGGGGTTGCACACTCACCCGCAGGGGGCTCTGCTGAGATGGACAGAGGGGCTTTTCTGGCCAGGGGAGTGGGTGGGTATTATCCTGCCGCTGGTTTGAACCTCCGGGAGAGTGAGGGGCGTGGGGTGGGCCACACAGACACCTTGTGTGAATTCCTGTCCACGTGCGAGCTGTGAGTGTGCCGGTGTGCTGGTGTGAGTCTGTGGATGCTTTTCTCTGAGCGTGCGTACATGCATGGGAGCACTGTATCCTCTGTGCTGAAGAGCTAATAATGTGACTGCATGTGGTGGATATGAGGTGCATCCAGGTGAGTGAACATTGTTCCACGTGGGCTGTAGTTCTCATCCTGTCCACTGAGCATAGCATCAGGAAATGGCCTGCTTGTGGACTGGAGACTTGCCTCGGAGGGGAAGCTTAAAGGGCAGAGCAGAACAGCAGCACCCACAAGGGAGTTCGGAGGGAGTACTGCATGATGCATGGGGCTGGGAGCACCTGCATGGGGACAGGGCCTGGCGGGACGCTGCCCGGAGCAAGGAGCACCGGGCATGAGTTCACTCTCTATCCACCCAGCTCCGGTGCCATCACCCCTGCTTTTTGCTCCGATCAGAATTATACTTACATAAGCCTCTATTTTAAGCAGTGACATGAAAGGAAAACCTTTCTGGAGCTGAGTTCTGAGGGTGTTGGGGCTGAGGATGCTATGAATGCAGGAAATAAGGTGGCATGAGCTTGCAGATTGTTCCAGGAGCTGTAAATATCCAGAGCCCTTTCATGGGGCTGAGGGAATTCCTCGCCCCCCTGGCCCATCTGTGCCACGTTCCATTTCTGGCCCCGCAGCCGTCTCTGAGGAGGGCCCTCCTGGCTTGCCAGTGCCTCCTCCACGCATCAAGGGCGTGCCAGCCAGCTCGGGGCCTCGGCAGCCGAGGCAGGCCAGGCCCTGGCAGGGAGGGGGAAGAGGAGCAGGTGCTGCAGCCTGAGTGCGGGGAGAGGCTTGCTGGGGAGCCTTCCCTACCCCCATCTGCTGGGCATGTGTCTTTCCAAACCTCTCTCCTCTCCCCCATCACATCGGACACCTCACAGAGCATCTTGAAGTCACAGCATGATCTCCTTGGCTCTGTGCTCAGCAGGGTCTTGTCAAGGCTCAGGGAGAATTCAGAACACAGGGCAAGGCCCTGGCCCTCCAAGGGTTAGAGAGTGAGAGAAACCCTCCTACAGAACTGCAGGCAAAGGAGACAATGTGGGCAACGGTGAAGGGGCTGGAAAAGACGAGCTGGCCGTGGGGATGGGGACAGGAAGGTGTTGAAGGCACCGGTCAGCCTGGGGTAGTAGGGACAGGGCCGGGAGGAGGTGGGGCTGGATCTTCCATGGAGCCTGGGGAGACAGCTCACAGTGGCATGGGCAGGTTCTTCCTACCTCTGGGAAACACAGAAAGCCCGTCTAATCTTGGGACAGTGAGTACAGGTGGGAGAGGCCTAGGGCCAGAGCAGTGGTTCGCACCCTTCTGTGGGTCCTGGACTCCTTTCAGGAGGTAAGGGAAGCTGAGGACTCCTGCTCAGAAAAATTCACTGCACGTGCAAGTTAGCTTTAAATCCGAGAGAGGCTCCTAGACGCTCTCCAGGCTCAGTCAAAGGTGTCGTGATAGCCTGGGAGGTAAGGAGTCTTCTGCCTCTGACTAGCTGGACTCAGAGAGATCCAGACACAGCCTGGCACCATCCCAGCATCCAGGGAGCTGGTTTCGCGACTTGGCTCCTTCACAGACCAGCAAGGTGGCCCCGGGAGTGGGCTTGCATCAGGGAGTTAAGATTGGCCAGTTGCCCATGCATGAGGCTTCATGGGCTGGAGACACTGTGTGTTCGGTGCAGCAGGAGATTGTTCTGGAAAGCATTCTCCACCCCCCTTGGGAACCCTGCCCACCAAATCAGTCTGCCTGATTGTCCCAGGCAGCCCTCAAGAGTGGCCAGACCTTGCCTTTGCTGAAAGCCTAAGGTGGAATCAAGGGCCTGTATCTGTGATTATGCCCGAAAGGCCTTCCAGAAGGTGAGTCTGGGTAGTTGAACCTGCAGGAATAATGGATGAGTTCCGTGACATGATTTAGGTCGTTCCTTCTCTTGCTCTCTGTGCGGCAATTGCATTGGCTGTGTTGCTAGGTAACCAGCATGACAAAAAAAAAAAAAGCTGCTGCTCCGGCTGCTGAGTCCTCAGATGGCTCCTTAAATAGCAGCGTTTTTTGGTGTACGTGGGGGTGGGGTGGAACGGGGTGGAATGCAGAGGGTCAGGGTTAGAGAACCCTGTGTGGCAAGGATCCAGAGTTCAGCAGCCATGAGAAGGAGGCCGAGGAGAAGCCTGAGGCTTGCTGGGGTGTGGATGGAGGGGCCTTGGGGAGGGACTTGGAGTGGTGTTCCCAGGGCAGGGCCTCAGGAGGAGGTAGATAGCCTGACAGTGCCTTCAAGCCCCTCAGGCACCCTGGCACCCGCCCACTCTGGGCACCCTGTGGAGTCTCCCAGCCTGCAGGAGCTGGTCACCTGCTAACACCCTCTTGTGCTTGGCCTCCTACCCTCTTGTTTCCAGAGAGAGCCATGGGGGTGGTGGCCTTTTTTGTCTCTCCCACCCTTTCTGTGGGGTCCTTTGAGGAAAGAGCCATGACCTCATCCCCTTTCCTGAGTGACCGCACAACGCCTAGCCCAGTACTGGGTGAGAGCACACCCTCGGCAAAGACACCCGCAATTAACCTAATAAGTCTGAGCCAAAGCCCAGGGAAATCTATCACGTCTGGGTTGAGAAAAGCTCTTCCTTAGATGGCGGGGAAAAGGGGAGGCCAGCTGGAGGGAGGCGGGGTGTCCAGGGTGGACATAGACCATTCGGATCATAGCTGTGCACCTGCCAGTTGCTCATACCCTGCTGTAGACAGGCGAGCCTTCCAGAGCCTCCGTTTCCTTCTGTACCTCCAGAGTTGCTGGGGGGATATGAGAGCTAATTAATGGGGGGTTGCTTGGCCCACAGTAGGGCCCAGTACATGGGAATTGTCATAGTTACACACAGGTACCTGTAAACCTGGAGGTCACACAGGTACAGGGGTGTACACACTGGGAGGATTACTGCTGAGTTTCTTAGAAAAGGTTCCAGCCCAGAAAGAGTGTGTGTGTGTTTTTTTTTTTTTTTTTGGTGGTGGGGGGGACAGGGGAGGGGGCGCGCAGGGAAACAGGCCGCCTTTCTGGCCAAGGTGCTTATCATAGAGGCAGTGTAGGGTAGTGGTTAGAGCCAGGCTACGTTCAAACCTCAGCTCAGCCATTCATAGGCTGTGTGGCTTTGAACAAGTTACCTGACTTCTCCGCATTTCAGTTTTCCCATCTGTAAAGTAGAGTCAGAGTATCTGCATCATAAGATTGCTGTAAAAATTAAATCACTTGGTATTTAAAATGCACTTAGAACAGGGGTCTCCAGACTCTTTTCTGTAAAGGGTCAGATAGTAGACGTTGTTGACTCTGCAGGCCCAACAGTTTTTTGCAACTATTCCACTCTGCTACTGTATCAGGAAAACAGCCATATACAGTATGTAAATGTAATGCACATGGCTGTGTTCCAGTAAAACTTTATTTACAAAAATAGGCAGAGGGCCAGATTTGGCCTGTGAACTGTTTTGCCAACCCCAGACTTAGGACAACGCCTGCACATCCCAAGATCTGGATAAGTGTTTGCTGCTGCTGTTCTTCTCATTACTGTTATTGGTAACATTCGTGTCTGGCTGTGGCTGCCCCGCCCCGCCCAGCCCTCCTTCACACTTGGCCGTCCTCAGCAGGTCCAGTCTGAGTCCCTGAAGCCTGGGGGGATCCTCAGATTACTGTCTGGAGGTTCTCTCCGGCTCTGCCAGTTTAGAATATCTCCCCTTCCTCTCTGCCAGCCTTTATACGACCCCCAACCCCGCCATTGGCCATGCCTCCAGAGTCCTTATTTATTTGT
This sequence comes from Homo sapiens, assembly GCF_000001405.40. Classification (NCBI taxonomy): domain Eukaryota; kingdom Metazoa; phylum Chordata; class Mammalia; order Primates; family Hominidae; genus Homo; species Homo sapiens. Next base: position 47,010,700 of record NC_000002.12, read on the forward strand.
TTGTTTGTTTGTTTGTTTGAGACACAGTCTCACTGTGTCACCCAGGCTGGAGTGCGGTGGCACAATCTCGGCTCACTGCAACTTCCACCTCTTGGGTTCAAGCGATTCTCGTGTCTCAGCCTCCTGAGTCGTTGGGACTATGGACACACGCCTCCACACCTGGCTAATTTTTGTATTTTTAGTAGAGACGGGGTTTCACCAAGTTGGCCAGGCTGGTCTCGAACTCCTGAGTTCAAGTGATCTGCCTGCCTCGGTCTCCCAAAGTGCTGGGATTGCAGGCGTGAGCCACCGTGCCCAGCCCTCATTTAGAGAGCCCCTTTCTACCTCTAAAATTTCTGTGCTTGAAATTTGAATTCCTTGGGGAGACCTTCCATTCGTTTTCATGTTAGCTGTCATCATGTTACCTAAAGAGCAAGGGTCACAGCCTCTAATCTTCAGATGAGGAAACTGAGGCCCAGGGAGGGATTTGCCTGCCGACACTGCCTAGGCTTCTCTGCCCTGGACCTCTTCCTGGCTCCTGAGAGCAAAGGGATACAGAGCAAGGCTTGGTTGTTTGGGAAGCTCGCCCCACTGTGGGCCCTTGAGATCCAGGACTGTGAGTGACAGTGTTTCCTGCTCTTTTTTTCTGCAGTCAGCCTACGCTGTGTCCCTGCTGCGGGAGTGTGTGAAGTTGCGGCCCTCGGACCCCACCGTGCCCCTGATGGCCGCGAAGGTCTGCATCGGGTCCCTTCGCTGGGTGAGTGAGCTGTGAGGGCAGGTCCCAGAGGCCTCCTGTGGGGAGGGTGGCAGCAGCTGGCTGTGCACGTCTTGACGTGTATGTGTGGGTGCATGCCGAAGGTGGAAAGGATGGGAGCTACCAGGCAGATGGGCCTGGGCAGGGAGAAAGTCTCTGAGGAGCTGCCAGCCTCCAATGGCAGGGTCCCCTGACTCAGGATGGTGTCTGGTTTGGCAGTTCAGCCTTGAACTGTGGCCTCCAGAGAGTGAAACATAAGGAAGTAGAGGTGTTCCCCACCTGCCCAGCAGCAGAGTAGTAGGTAAGACCTTGAGTCACCTGGACCAGCCTCATCATTTCTGAGGCTTCAGATGACCTTAGCATCCAATCTGCAAGGGCCTGCAAGGCGCGATTCTGGGGGCAGAGCTGCTCTTGGCGGAATGGGAAGTTGGTCTTTTCTGTCAGCCCCTCTCCTTCCTCTTGGCTCCAGCCCTCCAGGGCCCTGCCCTGTGCTCCGCTGCCTGCTTACTGCTCTCTGCAGAAGCAGCTGAACTGTTAGGAGGCTATGGCTCCAGGTCTGCTCTTTCCCCAGTTCGAGGCCTTTAACCCCCCAGTTGGGGGTTGCAGGCTCCTGAAGACTCCCATGAGATCAGCAGCTTGGAGTAGTGAAGGAGAACAGTGCCAGGAGCCCAGGTCCCCCGCCTTGCTGTAGTCCTCCTGCCCTGGGCCTACTCGGATGCTGCTCCAGGCCTATGGGGGCTCTTGGGCCACGGCACTGGGCCCCAGCAATGGGGCCTCTGTGCAGGTATCTCTTCCGACTGGGGGCCCACTTCTGGATAATCTTTGCTTTCTTCAGTCCCAATCAGCTTGCTGATGTCAGCCTCCTATTTCTACCCTCTCAAGCAACACAGAGCAAGCGCATTCTCCCTCCCACATGATGGATATCAGGCCCTTCTCCACCCACATCTCCCCAGTTCCTTCATCTGCTCTCCAGGCCCAGGGTCTCCTAAAGTGGGCACTTCCCCTGGAGATGGCCTCCCTGTCTTCCAGTTGGCCTGACACCTTCGGCCACCCCCTCACCATTGTGTGCCCAGCTTGTTTTAAGGCAGTGGGGGCCAGGCTCTGGGTGCATGCAGCAGGAGCTTCATAATTAGCAGCCTTTACAACTCTTCTTGCCACTTTCCCTCCTGTACACAAACAAATCATGGATTCTGGGGAGGGAGGCAATGAGCTTTCCACAAATTCCATGTTCCAACCTTTCTTCCCTGGGATTGGAAACTGGCCCCATCCCTCTGCTGGGTCCCCGCCTCATCATCGCAGCAGGGCTTGCCTTCTCTCTGCTCCAGGGAGTCAGTCCTCCCAAGCACAAAGAGGCTGGGTGAAAAGAGCACCTTTCCCCTTTTCCACCTGGTTCTCAGATCCCTGTGTCTGAAGTGCCCCATCCCCTCTGTGGCTGATCAGGAGGAAGGGAAAGTGTGGCATCTGGCTCGTGTTCTTTATGCTGTCATTTAGGCTGGGGAGAATTACGTGAGATCAGTCCTGTAATGGGCTCTGGGCTTTGGAAGGAGCAGTGTAATGAGGTAGTTAAGAGTTTCACTGCCCACCCACTGGGTACCCTAGAGTAAGGCACCTAACCTCACTGTGCCTCAGTTTTCTCATCTGTAAAATGGAAACAGTAAGTCTCCTCGGGTGGGACATAAATGACCAAGTAGGGAGAGGGCTGGACGGGTCAGGGAGGCATCATGGAGGAGGCAGCCTCAGACTGAACTGAGAGGGCAAGGGAGGATACAGGAGGGCCAAAACCAGGCCCTTGCATCACAGCTTGCTTTCCCCCACCTCATGAGTATCAGGGAACCCTTGGTTCCCAGGTCTTTTGGGGAAGACAGTTGGCACCCAGAGGTAGGGCGACCTTGTGAGCAAGCACTTCAGATACAGGTGGCCCATGGGTGCTGAGCACGTGCAGCAGAGGGTGGAGATATGAGCCAGAGTGTGCAGAGCAGGTGGGCTCCCCGACCCCAACTCAGGCCGCTGCTTGCTCCTAGGGCTTCTGAGAGGGGCCTCAAGCTCATCTCTGAGATGAAACCCAAAATACCCATCTCTGAGGGGGTGTAGCGGGGGAGGGCATCTGTGCCCCTCAAGGCTGCCAGCTCTGAGGTAGCTGTGGGTCCACCCAGCCAACGGCCGCCCTTGCCAGGAAGCCCTAAATTTAGGTCTTCCCACCATGCAGGAGCTGTTTCCCTCAGCAGCATAATTACAGTAATTATGTGCATTCAGATTACATGGTAATAAAATTAGGATCAAATCAGTCCAAATTGAAATCAGATGAGTTAGGAGCAAAGTAATCAATGACAACATAAATAGAAAAGCCCAAAAGGAAACTTAAACATGCAGACTTGTCATCAGAATCGAGGAGAAGGGTGAGCTGTTTAACTTCAGCTGAGCAGCATATTTGGGTTCAGGGGCTAGTTTGAGCCAGGGTTTAAATCAGGCACAGGCCAGAGTGATGTCCCATGGGTGGCCCGAGAGTGGGCTCCTGGCAACCTTCCCTGATCTGGAAGCTTCACCCCCTGCACCTCCTACCTGTCTTGGATACAGATCACATCACATTGTGATCATCTGTGTTTCTTGAGTGCAGGAATTATCTGTCTCTTCTTTGAAACCCCAGCCCAGGGTTCAATGCCTGGTGCTCGCTGGATGGATCCTTCTTGCCGATGGACACATTCACTTGGCAATGAATTCTGTCTTATGTGGTGCATGACTTCCCAACTAGGTGGGGAACTTGCTCACTTGCCATGTCTTGCACTCTGACCCCCTCTCCCCCACAGGAAGCCTACATATAGTAGGTGCTATACTAGTAACTGACGAAGCGACACACATCCCAACCTGCCAGGAAGGGACCAGATGAGGGATCTGTATTTGGTTTGGGGGTTCTCCCAGCACTCTGCACCTAATTCTTGCTCCCTAGGTGGCACTGTAAAGAGAGCAGGCTGTGGGATATCCAAGGGTTCTGAGAAGGGAGGCAACAAGCTCCCCACAAATTTCGTGTTTGAGCCCCTTTTTCTCAAGGACTGGAAACTGGCCCCATCCTTCTGCTGGGTTCCTGCCTCACCATCCCTAGTTCTACAGGGAGGCCCAGAGTGGGTCAGCCCTGTACTCTCTGTTCCTGAGGCTCACAGTGAAAAGAATGGGTCTGCCTGGCAGGCAGGGGGTGTTCGTGCATGAGACAGGGCACAGATCCCAAAAGGCGGCTCACACCCCCTTCGTCTCCTGCCTTCGCAGTTATTCTGGCTCACGTCAGCCCCCAGCAGGCCCAGCCAAGCCCCATGAGCAGGGGACAGAAATCTGGGGGTGGTCAATTTGGCCTGGGTTGCAGAAAGGGAGGCTGAAACTAGGACATTTGGAAAACGAGTTGTGCTGGGTGAAGCTGGACTGGGTGGCCATGTGCCCAGAGGCGGAGCACCTGCTCTTCCCACATCCTGTCCTCATGCCCAGAGCCACTGTTGGACACCCCATACCGGGTCTGGGTCTGAGAGCAAGGTTGTGTCTTGGGGATTGTGGCAGGCAGAGGGACGTGCATGGTCACGTGCTGGCTGGCTGATTCGGGGGTTTGCACCAGGGTGGGAGTAGCTGAGCAGGTTTGGGTTTGGAATGGGAGAGCACTGACCCTGGGGCTTATCTTGAAGTTCCCCTTGGTGAGGGAGGGCTTCCCAGGCTCTGACTCAGTGACGCCAGCACTGAAATCAGAGAGGCCTGCATGGCAGCCTTCTGCCTTGGCATGCCCAGCCTCCTGCCAGGGTCCCTATTTTTGCAGCAGAAGGAAAGAGAGATGTAAATATTTTTTTGTATCCCTCCAATTATTTAAAATTCATTTAACTTAAAAAGTTGAAACCTTTACAGGAGGCAAAGAGGAAAGGCTATGCATGTGTGGTGTCACACAGACAGCAGAGGAGTTGCAAAATGGAAACAGGGCATGCTTATCTTTGGAAAGGTCTCTGATGCCATCTCTCACCTCCTTCCTGAGGAGGGCAGCAGGGGGTAGTGGAAAAGTGCATAGGCTTTGGAGGCAGAGATGGTAGAGTTCAAATTTCTGCCTACCCATGTACTCCCACTTACTAGCTGTGTGACTTTGAGGGAGTAATTTACCCTGTCTGTGCCTCGGTTTCCTCATCTGTAGCCTGGAAACAATCATGTCCGCCATTATGGGGTAGCTGTGAATATCAGAGATGACATGAAGAGTGCCCCTGCTTAGCACACTGCGGGTACCTGCATGGTTGCTATCACCGTTACAGCCCCTTGAAAATAGCAGGCACACAAAAAGGATGCGCCTTGATGTTTTTGACTTCATTTTTCAAATTCAGGGGTGGGCAGAGCCAGGAAGATGGATTAAGTGTTGATGAGGCAGGGGAGAAAGAATGCCAGCCCTCCTGCCACCAGCTTGTAGAAATTGGAAAGAGTGCCTACTACTCCTCCCAGGGAGAAAAAAAGGGGATTTTTCAGTAGAGCAGCTAACAGCAGGTTCCGGGCTCGTGGGAAGGAACTAAGGAGAAACTGGAGGTGCTGTTAAAAACTCTGCGGGCTCAGAAACGAACTTTCTGTAGTTCCCAGAAAGAGAGGAACGAGGGTGAAGATTCCGAGGGCAAACCTTTTTGGCTCACTGCAAGGTGAGGTAACCCTTGAAATGGAAGGCAGTCCTGGGCATTAGCAGAGTGTGTGAGCAAGAAGCCAGTCTGTGTAGGGACCAAATTCGAAACACTGGAGAGACAGAGGAACTTGTAAAGTCACAGGAAATTTTCCCTTACTTATGTAACACAAAAACAAAGGATCAAAACATTATGTCCTTCAATGCATCCTTTTCCAAAGGGTCAGAGAGGAGAAAAATGAAACCCTCCAGAGGGTAGCTGTGAATCAGCATCAGGAGACTGGGGTTGGAAACAGTTCTGCTACTTCCTAGACAGGTGACCTTGGATAGGTCGCTTCAGCTCAGCTCCCTGTGCCCTCAGCGCCTTCTGCTGTGAAACACCAATGCCATCAGGTAGCTGTGGTGCTGTGAAAATGCCAGGGGAGCCCCTAATCACTCTAGAATTGCAGAGGACTAGGCAGGGAAAGATCTTCACCTGGGTTTTAGTGGCAAGGTTCCATGGCTGCCCTAGATAAACAAGGCATTCAAGAGCAGTGTATCACTGGGAGAAGGAAGGTTGAAGAGAACTCTGGAAACTCACCCTAGAAGTATTTTGATGAGCAAGGAAAGCCCGGTGCTGTAACCTGAGCTTGCTGCAGAAGCAGCAGCCTGGACTACAGAGCCACCAGCTGTTAACTTGGAGGCCACAAGGAGGAAGTGTCTGGAAAGGGCACATGAGGTGCTAGGCAGGGAGGAAGACGTCTGGAGTAGAGCAGAAGGGCAGGCGCTGGGCCAGTCTGCAGCCATCTGATTAGAGCAATTTTTCCAGATCGCAGGTGGGGCCCATTAGTGGGCTGTGAAATAGAACTCTTAAAAAAAAAATTTGAGGCCGGGCAAGGTGGCTCACACCTGTAATCCCAGCACCTTGGGAGGCCGAGGTGGGTGGATCACCCGAGGTCAGGAGTTCGAGACCAGCCTGGCTAACATGGTGAAACCCCATCTCTACTAAAAATAACAAAAATTAGCCAGGCATGGTGGCGGGCACCTGTAATCCCAGTGACTCGGAAGGCTGAGGCAGGAAAATCGCTTCAACCCAGGAGTCGGAGGTTGCAGTGAGTCAAGATCATGCCACTGCACTCCAGCCTGGGCAACAAGAGCGACACTCTGTCTCAAAAAAAAAAAAAAAAAAAAAAAAAAAATTTGAGACTGGGGTGGTAGGTCATGCCTATCATCTCAACATTTTGGGAGGCTAAGTGGGAAGGGTCGCTTGAGCCCAGGAGTTCCAGACAAGCCTGGACCACATAGTGAGACCCACCCTGCCTCATCTCTACAAAAAATAAAAATAAAAAGGTAAAAAGTCAGCCTGGTGCAATGGTGCGTGCCTGTGGTCCCAACTACTTGGGAGGCTGAGGTGGGAGGATCGCTTGAGCCCAGGAGGTCAAGGCTGCAGTGAGCTATGGTCATGCCACTGCACTCCAGCCTGGGTTACAGAGCGAGACCCCATCTCAAAAATAAAATAATCAAAACCTTGAAATAGACTGTAGATTATCAGAGAATAAGATAGGAAATACTCCAGTGTATTACCCACAGTGGGGTGAGTGGACCCTGGATAGGGGATGGAAAGCTCGACCAGCTCAGCATAGTGGACTGTGCGGGCCTGCGGAGGTGCCAACTTATGCTCATGTAGAGTCACTCCTCTGTGGCTAAGGATCTGGCTGAGAGACAAAAGGCAGGCAGTAATGTCTACTCTCTGGATTCCAGAGGGTCTTTGATGCCACTTCCCAATTTGTCATGTAGCTATGAGGAACCAGGACTATACTCAGATGACACTTGCCATCAGAGACTTAGGCTGAGATATTTTTAAAACCATGGAAGATTAATTGTATAATACATATACAAAATATGGATATATATATATTAGTATATATGAGTAGTTGTAATTGATATACATATATATATGAACCTGGCTAGCTGCAGTGGCTCACTCCTGTAATCCCAGCACTTTGGGAGGCCAAAGCAGGTGGATCACTTGAGGTCAGGAGTTTGAGACCAGCCTGGCCAACATGGTGAAACCCCATCTCTACAAACAATACAAAAATTAGCCGGGCATGGTGGCACACACTGGTAATCCCAGCTACTCAGGAGGCTGAGACACAAGAATCACTTGAACCTGGGAGGCAGAGGTTGCAGTGAGCCAAGATCGCACCACTGTACTCCAACCTAGTGGGTGACAGAGTGAGAGTCCGTCTCAGAAAAAAAAAAAAAAAAGCTGGCCAGGCACAGTGGCTCACACCTGTAATCCCAACGCTTTTGGAGGCCAATGCAGGTGGATCACCTGAGCTCAGGAGTTCGAGACCACCCAGGGCAACATGGTGAAACCCTGTCTCTGCTAAAAATATAAAAAAATTAACCAGTGTGGTGGTGTGTGCCTCTAGTTCCAGCTACTTGGGAGGCTGAGGCAGGAGAACCATTTGAATCCCAGAGGTGAAGGTTGCAGTGAGCTGAGATTGTGCCACTGCACGCCAGCTTGGGATACAGAGTGAGACTCCATCTCAAAAAAAAAAAAAAAAAGCTTATATTATTATATCAAAGCTTATATACATATAAGAAAGTAGATATCATATATGAAATATACAGTTATATATCTACATATGTAAATATATAGATATATAAATTACAACTATTAATAATAGTTATTTTTTTTTAAGCACTGCTGTGAGCATTGCCCCATCTTATCTCATCCTGTCCTCCCAGCACCTCATCCAGGGAGAGACACTATTGTTATCCCTGTTTTACAGAAGAGAGAAGGAAGCACAACAAAACAAAGTGACTTGCCCAAGGTTAGCAAGTGACCAGCCTAGGATTTGGACCAGGGTGTTTGGCCCCAGAGCTTGTGTTCTTAGCTGCTAGACTGCCCTGCCTCTTTGCATGAAGTGCCTACTCATGGATGTGGGGCTGATTCCGGAGTTGGGTGGGATTATAGTAACTCAGAACAGAGATGACAAAGTCAAATTCTCAAGGGCTTTAGGATTTACACTCTTGTGACATTATTCTCCCCTTTTGCCAGCTACAGTACCCATGTATATTAATACTGTGTGCTATTGTATTGTATATTGTCATACTTAATAGAATTGATCATACTTTTTTTCCTTCCTAATCACTGCTATGACTCTGCATGCAAAAAGCCTGCCTTGTAGTATGGTAATAGAAATCAAAATTATGGCCGGATGTGTTGGGTCACACCTGTAATCCCAGCACTTTGGGAGGCCGAGGCAGGAGGATTGCTTGAGCCCAGGAGTTCGAGACCAGCCTGGGCAACATAGTGAGACACCATTTTCTATTTTTAAAAAAAAAAACACACACAAAAAGAAATTAAATTATGTTGGCCATATAGGGAGATGGTACATTAAGCCTTGGGATTTTGATTTGAGGCAAATGCTGACACCAGGCTTAGAGACGGTTTTAAACTACGTGGACAATGCTGGCAAGTACTGGACAAGGAGTGCTACTAATCTCGGGGTCAGAGTGGATCACAAGTTGGACACATTAAGGATGTGTGTCTTCACTTTATAAAGCTAAAGGATGATTAGCTCTTTTAATCTAGAATATGATGTATATGAACTGGAGAACAGATACTTTGCCAGTATCTGCTGAGCCGTATTCCTGGCACCCTCTCTGCATGGGTTGCAGGAGCTGAAGCTGGCATTTGCTGAGCAGAAGGACATGGCCGTGTATTCATGGAGTGCAGCGGGTGTCTGGATTCTTTTTATAACTTGTGCTTGGTGTTTGTAAGAAAGCTTTTTCTGTTTGAATGGAGCCTCATAATGCCTGAGATAGTGTGTGAGATGAGCCTCATTAGCCAGGGGTATATTAGGAAGAAAAGAGCGTGCTATTTGCTTACTTTCCCCTCCCTTGTTGCCTCCTTTTCCACCTCTGCTGCCTCCTGGGGTAACCACAGCCACCTGATAAGCTCTTGGAGTTCCAGTAGCCCTATGTCAGCACCACACAGTGGGGCCTTAACTAGGGGCCACCTGGTCCTGCCAGGTGTGTGCCTCCTGTGTCAGCTCCTCCGCCAGGCCTAGCACAGGGCCTGGAGCTACAAAAACCTCAGTGAAGGGCTGTGGGGAGCGGGGAGGAGCGGGGGTCCCACCTGCCATTTTGCAGATGAGGACCTTGGGACACAGAAACTGAGCCCCACAGCTGTCAGGTGCTGAGCCAGGAGTGGAGCCTGTCTGGGGCTTGTCTTCCAGTGCTCTTCTCACCATGTGGCTTTGGCTTCAGGCCCCAGCAGCCCTCCTGAGTCCTGCTGCCACGTGGCCTAGGAGACAGATCTTAGCATCTATAGCCTTGGGTCCACCTGGCCGGCTGAGGCTGAGCTGTAGACAGCTGTGGGGTTTCCCCGACTATGGCCTCCCATAAGCCCTGGGTTCTCGGGCCTATTGGTGCCAAAGACAGAAACCCAGCTCCCCAGACACCCTCATCCTTCCAGTGGCCAGCCCAGCAATCAGGAAGCAGCCCACTGCCCCGGCTGGCAGCTTGAGCTCGCCCACAAGGTGGCTGTAGGGCTGCTCTGGTCAGCTGAGTCGGGCATGGTGGGCAGACAGCCTCTCCCGCCGTCTCCCTCCAGGCCATCATGCAGCTTTCTCGGCTTCTCTGTGCCTTGCCTCTCTGCTCTTTCAGTTTGCACATAGCTCACCCTGGCTAATAGCCTCTGTCTCATGATCTCACTTCCTAACTCCAGGGAGAGAGAATCCACTGCCCCTCTTCCTGTGTCCAGTGGTCAGGCCCAAGATACCCAGAGCTGCCCATCTCCTGCTAGCGGGATGGGCCTGAGCAGGGATGGGGGCCGGGCAGGGGCAGCACTGGCTTTGGGGCTAGAAGCCAACTTGGGTTTGAATCTCATTCCCTGGTCTCCTGACTCTGTGAGCCTCTGACCAGGAGAAATGCCCATGGCTTGGGGCTTTGATGTCTGGGTGGCACTGAAGGGTTTGCACATGGCATTCAGTCTCTTGCTGTGGGTGGGTCAGTGCCAGTCTTAGTGACAGAGGAAGCATCCCTGCCCTCTCTGGAAACTGGCGTTTTCAATGACATGAACTTGGGCACACTACCACACCAGGCATGCCATTTCCTGGGTTGGATGGGAGGAAGGGGGCCTTTCTTGGAGGCATGTGTGCCATGAGTGGGCATGACAAAGGCCCCTGGCTATCCCTTGCCCCCTAAACCGGCCTGACTCCTATGGGGGCCCAGAGTGTCCCCAGGCCCACCTTGTGCGTGCCCCTCTCTTTGTGTCCCATGTCATGTGGTGATGTGTGCACATGTGACCCATACGGGTTGGTCCATTTCCAACTGGAACAGTCCCTCCTGCTTCCAGGACAAAAACAGCCCCAGGCCTTTTTCCCCTGAAAGTTTGAGCTCCTTGTCTCAGAGAGGGAGCGAGCTCATGGACGGGGCCAGAGTGGCTGCCTGCCTGCTCCATGGGGCTGAGGACATCCAGCAAGGCACATGTTCCTGAGGCCCAGCCAGAGACCCCTGCCTGCCCCGGCCCTGGCTTTCCTCTATGTGCCGAGCAGGACAGGCACAGACACAGGCCCCTACAGAGGCCATGGGAGGAAAGGAGCTGGCCCAAACTGGCCCGGTCTTGGGTTCATGCTCTCAGCAGAACAAAATTTGGGGAGCTGGGATCTCTGGGGCAAGGGAAGCTTCTCCCTGTGAGAGTAAGGCCCTGTGACCTTGAGCACAAGGCTTCTGTTTCGGGAACAGGTCCAGGGAGTCATTCACTGGTAGAGGAAACTCCAACCCCACCTCCATGACCTCTGTCTCTCCTCTTTGCAGCTAGAGGAAGCAGAGCACTTTGCCATGATGGTGATCAGCCTCGGAGAGGAAGCCGGGGAGTTCCTCCCCAAGGGCTACCTGGCTCTGGGTCTCACCTATAGCCTGCAGGCCACCGACGGTGAGTGCCAGGCCCCAGGAGGCCTCTACTTGGGGATGGCTCAGGCTTCCTAACTGCCTCAGAGGCATCTTGTCCTACCGGCACCCCTCCCCTCAGGCCATGCCTCCATAGACACCATGCACTCCTCTGGGAGAGATGCCCATGTGTGCACACATACACACGTGCATACACACACGCGCCCCTCAGACCCATTTCCACTGTTTCCCCCAGACTGTCGCCACCCTCAAGCATGCCTTCCTCTCCCCTCTTCATGGGCCTCAAGGCCCAGCCACAGCTCCAGCAAAGCCCATGCTGATCTTCTCTGTGGAACTCCTGCTTCCTGTCTGTAATGCGCCATCAGCCCTCCACCTCACAATGCTTCCATTCTGGTTCTCATAGGCCTGCCTTTAACCTCAGCACTGCTATGATCTTCTGGAGCCTTTTAAATCCCCCTCAATACGTGGCATAGGGCTGGGTACGCAGCAGGTGCTTAGTAACTACTTGTGCTCGGCTAATGGATTCTGCTCCTTCCTGCCCCACACCTGGCCTTCTCTTGCCAACCCTGCCAGCTCAGCCATGTGTCTTACTCCGTCTATCAGGCAGCCACCTACTTTGATCTTGTAGCTTGAGGGATGGGGAGTGACGGGCCGCCACCCAGACCAAACCTGGAATAGTAATCAGCCCATGCCCACCTCCCCCAAACGCCAGTTGCTGGGAGCGGCAGTCACGGTGACATCGGGTATAAATGAGCCCTGTATAAGGAACACCTGGGTCTGCACATGCTGGTCAAGTGAGGGAGTCATCAGCCCCTTTGTCAAAGTCTACTTTGAGCAAGACACCCTCCTTGTCCTTTTAACTCTACAAATAGCGGTTGCTTTCTAAGCTTTCGAATCCGGGGAGCTCTGACAACTGTCAATGCTTGGTCCTCGCCAGTGGGATTCTGATCAGGTTTGGGAGGGGCCTGGATGCAATCATGTTAAACCTTCCTGGGTAGTTAGTTAAGTGTGCAGCCAAGGCTAAGAACACCTGCCCTGCTGCATTTTAAATGGGATGCAGTTTACCAGAAAGGTGCCTGGTTTGGGTTCAAACTTCCTAGTGGGTCAGGAAGCCTAGGAAGGTATGTGGCCAGGCAGAGGTGGTGGCCCCTCTCTCAAGGCTTGGGCCTCCTGGGTGGGGTGCCCATGTCGTGGAATGCTTGTAGGCATTGGCCTTTGAAAGGGTTAAGGTAGTTCAGGCGGTGGAGAAGGCAATGCAGTAGAAGCAACTGGCATGCCAAGGAATGTGCTAGAAGCCAGGGCATTGGCCCAGGCTGCTGGAGTTTGAAGTTTGCCAGATGGGACCCTGGTGGGGCCTTTATCTGCAGAGCTGTGTGCTTTGAGGATGGTGCAGGGCTGGGCCGGCACCCTTCAGTGACCCCTGATGGCTCAGTTTCTGTCCTGTCCCCTGCAGCCACCCTGAAGTCCAAGCAAGATGAATTGCACCGGAAGGCACTGCAGACGCTGGAGAGGTGAGGAGGCTCCCACCTGCAGCAGAGGCCCCTCTTGCCTTTGGTGGCAGATTCACAAGCTTTACGTCATCAGACCCTCTGATGTGGGCAGAACAAACATTTCTATCTCCATTTTACAGATGAGGGAACTGCACACAGCAAGCAGGGATAGGCGTTGGGGATTGGGCAGGCAGCCGAGCCCTGCCTTCAGCTCTGGGGGGCTCCAGCAGCCACAAGTCTCGGTTCCTGCTCTCCCAGGGCTCAGGGGTCTAAAATGGGTATAGTAACCCATTGCTGTTGTAGTAATTACAGAAGATAAAGCAGAAAAAGCACCTTGCACAGTATCCTATGTGTAACAGGGGCTCAAAAATGGCATTCACCTCCTTCTAGCTCCTCCCCAGCCACCCCTCCCACTAAACCCACCCACCCCTTCCACCATCCCCAGCCCCTACAGGGATTTCCTGGCATATGCTCAGAGCAGTGAGGCTAGCTTCTCTGCCCTGGTGCCTGACTTGTCACTCCCTCTCTGCCCATGGGTTGTATATTCATCCCATCGTCTTTCTTCTTTGGGGTCTGTCACCCCAGGGCTGCCCTCCCAGATGGCCCCTACCTCAGTGAGTGCCAGCCCCCTCAGGCCCACCGTCCCTGCCTTGGGCTGCCTGTGGGCCGCCTTCCTTGGTCTTCATCTGCCAGCTGGATGCCCCTCTGAGGCAGAGCCTGGCAGAATCCCCCAGGGTATTGCCTCATAGCGCCCAGCACAGGGCTGGCATGCTGGAGGCCCGAGTCACACGTTGGTCACTCAACCCCTGGTGCCTGACTTGTCACTCCCTCTCCCCACACAGGGCTCAGCAGCTGGCGCCCAGTGACCCCCAGGTCATCCTCTATGTCTCGCTGCAGCTGGCCCTCGTCCGACAGGTGGGTTGTCCGTGTTCCTAACCCCCGGGTCCTCGGGGGCTGCTGATCTTCTCCTGGAAACCCAGCTTACCAGCTGTGTGACCCTCTGCAAGTGACTTTGCCTCCCTGAGTTTGTTTCCTTATCTGTCATGTAAGTCCTTTGAGCCCTCATCAGAGGGGCCAGTAAGGATGAGGTCAGGTAATGTGGGTAAAGCCGTGGTGGGTACACAGGAAGGGCGTGTTCTCCGCCCTCACTCCCCCTACAACATTTCAGTGGACTGAGATGTTGATGAGTGACCACCTGTCACTCATTTATTTGTGTCCTCGCCTTCCACTGGCTTTTCCCCAAGGGTCTTGGGGATGGAGTGATGGGCAGGCTCATGGAGCTGTTGCATGTTGGGCTTTCTCTGTGACCCCCAAGCTACTCCTTCACTGTGTGGACACCACCATCAGGCCTTGGCTTCTGGGGCCCCATAGGGACCTCCTGTCTGCTGACTACCTTAGCCCCAGGACCACCTCCACCATGACTCTGCAGGCAGACCCGCCTTTTCCCCAGGGGTGCTGAGAGAATGCTGGTGTGTCCAGGACTCCCCACCTCAGGTCCTTCAGAGCCTCCTTTACTTTCCTGTGGCGCCTCAGCCTGCAGGCTGGCGCTCTGGGCATGCACACATCCTCCAAAACAGGACCTCTCAGGTGGCTTGACCCTGATGCCTGCCGATGCCCCCACCTGACTGCCTGGGGATTGCAGACAAGCCTTTGGCTCTCACAGTGGAGCTCTCCTTGCCGGAACCACCCAGGAAATGGGCTGAGCTCCAGGCCGGCGGAGGGAAGCCCGAAGAAGCCCATGTATTTGCTGTCAGGTGGAGGGCAGCCCTGCCTGCTGGGGATGGTGCTGTGTCCCCCATACCAGCCTGGGGAAGCCCTACCTTCTGAGGAGCGGGCCACAGCAGTCCCATTTTTTACCGGAGGACACCACTGAGGCCGAGCCAGCATAGAACCCAGGCCTCTCTGATCCACAGCCCACGGGGTCTAGGTACCCCGCTCCCCTGACCCTTTTGGAGTTGGGGCCCTGAGAGCATGCTCACCAGCCGGGGCTTGGTCTTATGGTCACTTCGGCGGGCTGCATTTCTCCTGCCTCTGGGGCAAGCCAGGCTCTGCCCTGCGTCAGCCTGGCTCCTCCTCTCGTCACAGTTACTCTCAGTGCTGGGACCCCTTCCCTCTCACCCCATGCCTAGACCCTTGTCCCGGTGCCTGTGTCTGTCCTGACCTGACCTGAATTGTCACTCTGTTTCTGAGGCATTCTGTCTCCCTCTCCAGGTTCTTCTGTCTCAACCATTTTCTCCCCAACGGCCCTGATGTCATCCTGGCTGTTGTTTCCACTGTCGTCGGTGGCTTCGCTCCCTTCCTCTTGCACTGCCCCTCCCCCTGTGACTCCCTCCATCCTCCTCCACCTCTAGGCTGCGCCCCCACCCTGTCCCCACTCCTCACTCCTGACCCCAGGTCCTGGACAGGCACGGGGCACCTCTGTGCCCCTCCAGGAGCATCCCTCCCCTCCCAGGAATACCAACTTTATTTTTAGTTCCCTGTAAAAGAACCAGTGCTTTTCTTGCTAATCTAGTGAACGATAAACCTTTGGTGATGCATTTTTTAACCTGTTCAGTTATTCATCCCTCTCTGATGAATAGCATCCATCCTCCTAGAGAGATGGCGGGCCAGGCCAGCGGAGCCAGTGGAGCCTAGGGCCCAGTTTCCTTGGAGACCTCATTTTGGCAGCCTCAGGGAGTTGAGAACTCGAGAACTCCCTGAATGGACTGTAAGCTAGAGTCCTAGCCTGCCTGGGTCTCTGAGGCCCCCAGCCAGCCCATCCTGCCAAGAGTACATCTGGCTGGCCGGCACAGTGATGGCTGTGGATTTGGATACGTAGCCCAGGATAATCAGGTCTGCTCTAGCAGAGTCACCAGCACAGGAGCAGCCTTAGGGCCACCGACAAGCCGAGCCAGTGGCCCCACTGATCTTAGTGTCCTCCTCGTATGCTCCTTGACCTATCCACAAAGTAAGGTGCCCGGGGAGAACTCCGGGCCTGGCACTGGTGCCCACAGCCTGCACAGAGGCCAGGCTGGAGACCAACACAGAAGCCAGGCAGACTGGGGACCCAAGGCCCCGCGAGAAGGGTGGAAGGCTGGGTCTGAGGTTTGGCAAGGAGCAGGACTCTTAAAAAGAGACTCATGGGGTTCCTGCAGGGATGGAACGCTGACATGGAGTCAGTCACAGGAGCTAACGCAGCTCCCAGGCCTGAGAGCACGTGCCTTCAGGCTGGAAGGAAGGTTCTGTCCTATTCCTTAGTTTTCTGGCTTTGGGGCTTGAAGAGGGAAACGCACACTTTAAAAGTGTTTGTTCCACCAGTACTTTGCAAGGCATTTTTCATAGTGTCTCATCTTCATGGACACTGAAATAGGTTTAACCATTATCCTCGTTTTGTAGCAGAGAAACTGCAGCTCAGAGAGGTGAGTCCTCTTGCCCTAAGGTGCCAGCTGGGAAGTGGCAGAGCCAGGAGCCACACCCCAACCTCACCCCAGAGCCTCTGAGCAGGAGAGGGTGTTTATCTGTCAGCCACACATCAGATTCTTTCCACATCACCGCGTGAACATGTTCAGAGGGGAGGGCCTCGTCAGCCCTGGGTATGTAGCTGGCAGATTCTTTATCCCAGGGCCAGGCCTTCCTGGCCCTCCACCCTCCAGCCTGCCGTAAGTTTCTCTCCCAACCCTCTCTTTCCAGACCTGGTCACAGCCTTTCTACAGGGTGCAGAACCTCAAGCTAAGGGCACTGCTCAGTGAAGCAGCAGTGTGTGGGGGAGAGGATTCCCTGCATCCTGGGGAATCAGGCCAGGTTGGAGGTGCTAGGAATCAGGGATGAGGAGGAGAAGGCCAGCTGGGCCCTGCCGTGCGCCTGGACCCACAGCACAAGGAGGGCTGGCCTTGACCTGCGACAGCTTTGAGGCCAGGCCTGTCACTCACCAAACACAGGCTTAGCAGCCTGCATAGCTCACACAAGAGCACTTGGCCTGGAGTCAGGACCCCCACCTGGGAGCGCCTGCTCTGCTGCTAACTTGCTCTGCTGTGTGAAAAGAATGGAAGGGATAGAAGATAGCATTTTTGCATGTACATTAGCTCTTTGAACCCTTCTGTGGAAAAGCATATGCCTAATTTGCAGATAAGGGAACTGAATTCAGAGAGAATGAGGGACAAAGGTGAGTGAGCGGCAGCACCAACTCTAGAACCCAGCTCTTGTGTATTCACAAATATAGGACCCCTCCACTTGCCAAAACGAGCAGGATCAATCAGCTCAGATGACAGGCAGCAGGTGGGGGCTGCCTCAGGCAGGGCATGGTGCAGGGGTGCCCAGCAGGGTGCAAGGGCCAGGGACTCTGGGGTGTTTTGTAGAGAACGAGGAGATGACGTAAGGGGGGCAGCGGGCCACCTCACAGGTCACATGGGACTGCGTAAGGGGCTGCTATAGTCACCAGGACTGGCAGCCTCTTTTGAAGAAGAGAGTTTATGTTGGTAACTGCCGGAATTCTTTTTTCTCCTTAATGCTTGTGGAAACATTCCCCAGACCCTGTCAGGAGTGCGCAGGCCAGGGCCCATGGGGTGGGGAGCTTTTTCTCTGAGGGTAGTAACCTCCACAGCTGAATGTAGATGGGTCTGGGGAGGTAGAATCGGAGGCAAGGAGAGGGGCCTCGGGTGTCTTTTGCATCCAGGGGACTCTTGGGACCCATCCTGGGGGTGTTGTGTTGTGCTGAGAATGGTCTCTTCAGGAAAGGGCTCCTTGAACCTTCCATATCCTCCCATAAGTCCAGCTATGGGCAGAGACCCATCCTGGCAAGGTGGCAGGCAGCCAAGCAAGTGTGTGGTCTCAGCCCTGAAATAGTCCCCATAGGATGTGCTGGGGCACTGACTGACCCCATAACCCTGTTACCACTTGCAGGTGGGGCCCTGGCCACAGCTGCAAATCACCCGTGCCCTCTGCAGCCAGATCCAGTAGAACATTGGAGTCCTGCCTGCAGGGTTGGCGGGAGCAGTAGAAGGTGCCCTTCCATGCTGCACCAGCCCCTCCTGGGCTCACTGACTGGGCTACTGGAGCAGCTGGGGCCTGCCCTCTTTCATGCAGTGCTCCGAGAAGGGAGGCAGCAAACTCAAGCCAGTGAAAATTGGGACCCATGGTGACCTCTGGTCTCCCCACCACATGGAAGGAAAGGCTTTCCTGAGGCCACATCCAAATCCAGACCCTTAGAATGTGGCTTTCCTGACCCTGCATAATCTGGCCTCATCCCATCTGTCCAGAACCAGGCTTAATAAATATTTGTTGAATTGAAAACAAAACACAAGACTAGAATCTGGATTCTAGTCCCAGATTCCCACTGTGCCCACATTAGAGGCCAGTCTCCCCATCTTCTAGGCACTTGCCTCTGCACACTTCCCTTCCTGTGGTCAAGCTGCACCCCCTACCTGGAGCACCCCATTTTCATCATCTCCTCCTGGAAGGCAGGGTCTCCTGATACATCAGCAGAACTCCAGGGTGACGTTTCCACACATGGCTGCCTCACCCTGTGGCTTCCACTCCTCCCATTTAGGAAGTGCTTCCTGGTGGCTGCCATGGTCCTTTGTGCCACACCACAAACCTGCTTCTCTTCATTCCTGAGTGTGGCAGCAGACCCCTCCTCGCCAGGCCATCTGGGGCAGGTGTTTTCTCACAGCAGCCTCCCTGCCCCCAGTGCCTGGGGCTCCCTTGAGTTGAGTGTGAGTGCCCTTGTTGACTGGCACGTGGCTCCTGAGTCCCAGGGCAGCATGTGCCTGGGGAAGGCTAACCTGGCGGGTTCCTTCAACAGATCTCCAGTGCCATGGAGCAGCTGCAGGAGGCCCTGAAGGTACGCAAGGATGATGCCCACGCCCTCCACCTGCTGGCACTGCTCTTCTCTGCCCAGAAGCACCACCAGCATGCCCTGGATGTTGTCAACATGGCCATCACCGAGCACCCTGAGAACTTCAAGTGAGTGCCCTGGGAACACTCTGGCAGTGGGGGAGCTGGCTGGCCTCTGCAGCAGGCGCCCATGCACACCTGCCCTGCCATGGTGTCAGCCAACACACATGAAGTAAGCACCCGCTGCATGCACAATCCCTGGTGGAGAGACA
Organism: Homo sapiens; assembly: GCF_000001405.40. Taxonomy (NCBI): domain Eukaryota; kingdom Metazoa; phylum Chordata; class Mammalia; order Primates; family Hominidae; genus Homo; species Homo sapiens. The sequence continues at coordinate 47,029,528 of NC_000002.12, forward strand.
GGGGTGAGGACAGGTGGGGTCAGCAGACAGCTGTGGTGCTCTGCACCAGGAGGTGCCTGGTGGGTAATGGGGTGCACATGCTGCTCCTCAGCCCCCATGAGGTGGGGTCTGCATGGGCCACAAAGGAGACTGCTTGAATGCATGTGTTTGGGCTGCTTCTGCCTGCCCTGGGCTCTGCATCAGCCTCAGGATGACAGTAACTTGTGTAAGTTAATCATAGCCCTGACACAGTCAGCCAAGGATGGGATTCTAACATGAGCTGGGCTGGCAGCTGGAGACGGGTTATGGCCCTCCAAGGTGGTCCTGCTCCTTCATACCTCCCCACCTCCCTCATTTACTGCATCAGCCAGATGTCCCACTTCTTGGAGCAGGGTTTAAGTTGCACTTGGCCTAAGTGGTGGTAGGACACAGAGGACCTGCTGCCACCCAGCCAGGACACTGGGAACAAGGCCGTGCTGGGCCACCTGAGGTGAGAGGATGTGTTGCTCTGTCAGGGGAGTTAGGGGGAGTCTTGATTTCTGCCTTCTGCCCCTAAGGGCAGGTGACACTGAGTGTAACAGGCTTTGTTTCTCAGAACCCTGTGATCCCAGATGAGGGACCCCTAAGTAACCCACTTCCCCCTGTTCCACCTTAGGGTCTGAAGGAAGGCAATTTAGAACCAGCCCAAGGCTGTCCCCCTGCAGACAGCAAGGAAGAAGCTAGAGTCCTGGCTGCCCTGATAGGTGACTCACGCTGTGTAAACAGGTTCACAAAGGATTAGGAAAAAATTGCTGGGTGATGAAGGGAAGCTTCAGTGGTGCCAGCCTAGGGAGGTTCCCATCACTGGGCTTTCACCTCTGTCCATCCCCAGCCCATCAGAGGCAGGGCTGACCACAGGGGTGGGTTCAGGTTTTCCTGCATCCTTGGCCTCCTTCAGACGACAGCACATAGTTCTGCTTGTGGCCTTTGCCAGCGTGCCGAGCACTGCTGTTGATGGCTTCCTTCTCCCCAAAGCTAAAGAAAGGTGCTTTGGGAGTGGCAGTGTTTCCTAAATATAAACCCCATAATGTGCCTCCCTGAAGAGGGGAGTCCCAGTGGCCAAGGCCAACAATGGGTGTTCATCCTGCTGGTCAGCCTGGTCTGCAGCCCCAAGACCCTTGAGCCTTGACCTGCTTGCCCTAGTCCACACTAACCCCTGCCCCGCCTGTTCCCCCTCCATCCTGGCCTAGGCAGGTCCCCACTGCTCACAGCCAGGTGTAAGCAGAGTGTGTGGCCAACTTGACACAGCCTGTCTTTTATGTTCGTGGCCGGCCCTGATTCTGAGCCTTGCCTCAGCAGCATTCAAGAGACTACTAAAGGCCAGGCGCAGTGGCTCATGCCTATAATCCCAGCACTTTGGGAGGCCGAGGCGGGTGGATCACCTGAGGTCAGGAGGTTCAAGACCAGCCTTGCCAACATGGTGAAACCCTATCTCTAATAAAGATACAAAAATTAGCTCGGTGTGATGGCAGGTGCCTGTAATCCCAGCTACTCATGAGGCTGAGGCAGGAGAATCACTTGAATCTGGGAGGCAGGGGTTGCAGTGAGCCGAGATTGCGCCACTGCACTCTAGCCTGGGCGACAGAGCGAGACTCAGTCTCAAAAAAGAAAGAGAGAGAGACTGCTAAAATTCCAGTCACTTCACCCGCAAAGGCGAGTAGCTTAGGAAATCCTAACACAGAGAAAACAGTGTGTGGACAAGGGATTAGTTGCCTTGTCTTGTTAATCCCAAGTACAGTACAGTAATACAAGGTAAGAACATTTTATTTTTAATGAAAATGCACAAAAGATGTAGGTTCCCCACTCCTAGTGCCAGTAACCTTGCTTTGATCCCAGCTCCATCTGCGCACCTCTCTGGCAGGGTCTGACCCACTACCGCTGGCCTGCGTGCCTGTGTGTGTTTACACTTCAGTTAGGCTTCATCGGAAACCGAAATGGCCAAGCAGAAAGATTTAGAATCTTAGGCTGGAGAAAGGAAAGGGCTCTTTGTCCACCCTGGGTCTGTGGAGCATTGGAGAAGCAAGAGGCCTGCCTCAGCTCGGCATCAGAATTTCCTAATGAAATCTTCCTTGGAAACTGAGACTGTGATGCAGGCGGGAGCACCGCTGCTCTGATGGAGCCAAGGAAGGTGATTTGTACCTGCCCAGTTCCAGCTGAGGGGGCCCCTCCATCCCAGCACCTGACATCTCACCCCTCAGCATCTCTTGCTGACTTCTGAGCTGATTGCTTTCTGCCAGGCTAAAGCAGCTCCCCTGGCCTGCTGTGGGGAGGCTAACTCCCTTTTTTGGAAATCTGGCTGCAGCCCAGGCTGTGTGAGGTGTGGCAGAAAATGGGGTCTGCCCAGCGTGGGGGACCCACTCGTGGCTCCCCATCAGCTTCCTTGACTCTCACCCCAGGGGTGCCTCCTGCGTTCATCTTCCCAGGCTCTTGGACTGGGCTAGGAAGCTGTCCCTCTCCCTGCGGGCAGTGTGTGCCCCTGCTGCTGCCCTGCCTCAACACGTGCACTTTCCACCCTTCCCTTCCTCCCAAGCTTACTCAGGTGCTGACTCCTTCCCCAGGAAGTGCTCCACTCACTGACAGTGCCGTTGGTCAGGGGCTGCCTTGAGGTTGGTGACTGCCCCCAGGAGGCCCAAGGGTGGACATCTGGGTCTCCAAGAACCCCTGGACCTGAACTATGACATTTTGTGCATGTGAGCCTGAGTCCATGGAAATGGCTTTCAGCAGATTCTCAAAGGGAGCCCGACCTCAAAAAGGTTGAGGAGCCCTGGTGCAGACTGTGCTGGTTGTCAATGTGCAGAGTAACTGTGCCCCTGTCTCGGGTGCTTCCCCAAGGCTTGCAAGGAGCTTCCTGGAGAGCAGTGTCTGCAGGCAGGAACCTCTGCCGTGGGAACAACTCACCCATGCAGACATCGCAGAGCGACTGCAAGGGCTTCAGGAGCTGTGGAGGGTGGGGCCTAGGGGAATCAGCTCTGAGGTCAGAGCAGACTTTCGTTCCATGCCCTGAGGGATTCTGGAGGTTATTCTGCAACCTGTCACTCACCGTAGAGTGTGCTGCGAAGCATTTGGGGATCTGCAGGCCCCACCCCCAGTAGTGCCTCACTTTCCTTAGTCTGCTTGTCCAGGGCTGTGGGTCTAGGGGGAAGCAGCAGTAGGTTCTTCATCTTGAGCCACCATGAGCTCCTCACCTCCAGGATCCCGAGGAGCTCTGTTTTGATCCAGCTGGCCCTAAAAGGCTGCAAAACTAATTGGGAAAAAAAATACAGGGACTTTTGGCCTCCAGAATTGTAAGAGAATAAATCTCTGTTGTTTTAAGCAAAAAAAAAAAAAAAAAAAAAAAAATTGTATCTCTATATACCATTTATAGAGATATAATACTATATATATGGCTGGGGTGGGGCTGAGAAGTCCATGTACCGCCAGACTATGGTGAGTGACCATAGGGTATGACCATTATCTCTTTGTAAGTAAGTCAATACTGTTCCCCACAGATGAAACCTCAGAGCATAGAAACCCATGGATTAGCAGGAAATGTCACTGAGTCCATTACAGGTCAGGGATCACTGAAAAATGTCATTGCTCTTCGATTGACACTGCTCCCTGCTTCCTCAGCTGCTCTGCATTTGAGGAGAAGCCCTGTGTGCCTCCAGCTGTTGCCAAGGCAGTTAATTAAACAACCGGTCCGGTAAATATCACTGCAGCAAAATAACAAAAACCAAACTCCCTTTGTCCTGACCTCATCGTCCCCAGTAAGATCTGTATCCACAGGACACTTAAAGTCACCTTACAGAGGGCTATCCCAGTGCCTGAGGCCTATTAGAGGCGTCTCTTTTCAGCCATCAGTGTTAGAGGCCATCTGCATGGGATCCCAGAGCCTGCCTCGGGAATGGCAGAAGCTGGCTGGTGCTGGGCGTGGGCTTTGCCTGTTTCACTGCTTTCAGGGAGGCCTGCCACAGGGGAGGAAACTGGTGGGGGAATGGACCCCTGTCCATGTGAGCTGGTCCTTGTGTGAGAGCCACAGTGAGGTCCCAGCCCTTGAGTCATGTCTGTCACTGACCTGTGCCACCTGCAGCAACTTACTCCTCTTCCCCTTGCCTGTTTGCTCATCTGCCAAAAGACAGACACCTGCTCTCTCTCCCCTGGCTTGGGAGGTTTATTGTGAGACTCAGGAGAGGGCACACAGTCGATGGACAGCCGTGTTTGAAAGGTGGCAGTAGGGAGGGGAGAGGAGGCTGCCCACCAACAGCGTGAGGCTGTATCCTGGGTCCCCAGGGCGGCAGTGCCTGGGGAAGGCCAGGTAGTCCAGGAGGTGCTGGCAGCCGAGGCTGGGCCCTGACAGAGGCAGGGAAGGAAGCTCTGGGGAAAGGTTAGTGAGCTCCTTGGCTGCACAAGAAGTCGCCACTCCCATACAGGCAGCCTCTAGGCTCCCGGAGAAAACCCGGCTTTCGTGGAGTGGAACTTTTGAAAAGCCTTCTGAATTCAGGGGTTAGAAAGCACAGCAAAGAGGATCTTGATTTCTGTGCTGTGGGATGACCTTTAGTTAGTGGAGCTTGGGTTTAAAAAGGCAAAAAACGTGATGAGGCAGAGACAGACAGCCCCACAGGGACAGCATAAACCTCGCACGGTGGGAACCAGACACCCCGAGCAGCTTCCTGAAATCCTGTGGGCTTCTGACTAAGCCCTGGACACATGTGCCAGCCGGGCTGTCCCTGGCCAAGAGGCCAGGCCTGCAGGGGGCCTCAGGGGGCAGCAGCTCCCTATCCAGGCCTGGGTTTCGGGCCAAGCCGCGGAATGTGAAAGGTCCCGTGCACGCTTGGAGATGCCTGTGTGAGTCCTTTCTTCTTGTTTTGGGTATGAGAGGCAGCTGGGAGGCCCGACCAGGGAGGGGCAGGAATATGAGGTGAAGGGGAATGGGCCACTGATAAGCGTCCTTCCTGAAGCCATGGGCTCTGTGGGGCGATGGTTTTAGGTAACAAATTCCTTGGGCTTTAGTCAGGCCGCTTGTAGTGAAGGTCACCATAGTAACCAAACAAAGTTCCTCAGCTCATGATGGGAGCTTTCCAATAACCAGCCTGTCACGGCTCCCGTCCCAGGCCTGGCAGTCTGCCAGGCTGGTTTTGAAAGCCCAGGCCATACATAGGTCAAGGGAAGAACAAACAATTTCCCCTTCCCCTCTCCACAGTGGGCAAGGCCACCTCTTCCCACCCCCTGGAACCTCCGTCGGTCAGGGTAGGCCCTCTTGGGAGTTTCTGCTGGCCCAGTACTGGTCCCGGGGGACTTGGAAAGTCCTGGGGGAAGCTTTCAGAGCCCCGGAGACCCTCCCCAGTACAGGAATAATATGGGCTTCCCGACAAGCCAGAGCACGTGCCTGTAAACAAATGGAACCACACAGCCTTCTGCCCCAGGAAACCTAGACTGTTTTGGAAAATGTTTGAGCTGATAACCAGGCATTAGCTGGAGCCATACCTTGACTGACTTCAGCTAAGGCTAACGTTGGAGCTCAAGGGCACTCCTGGGATCTACCTGGTGTGCCTCACCTTTTTTTCAGGTGGCGCTTGTTGTATATTTCTCGTGGTATATTCCAATGAGCAGGGGGGATGAGTCCCGGGGCTTCTGTTAACATTCCTGACTTAAACCCAGTGTGTTTATTTGATTGTTCTTATTAAGGACTTGTAGTACATCAAAAGGATGCTTAGCATACCAACACTCCAGTGAGGGGGTGGAATCAAAGGTATTAACACAAACATAGTTTATCACTTTGCTGGGTTCATTAAACACGTTTGGCTGCCACAGCCCCTGAGGAAGACACCAGCCATGGGGGAACCTTGCAAGCCACGTGGCAGAGGGAAGTGTTAAGCCAGTCATAATCACTGGCAGCGCCGGATCCTTCCCCAAAGGTCAGTTCCTCATTAGCTAAGCTGAGTTGACATTCAGCATTTCCCTTCGTGGGTTGTCCCGTGAGAACCTCTGTGGCCTTGCTCTGTGTGACATGTACAGGTGAAAGTTGATGGTCATCATTCTCCAGTTAGTGGTCTGCCTACATTCAGACTTCTAGGGTAGATGACACAGGTTGTTTTGTTTGTCTGGGGAAGAGAGGAAAGAAAGGAAAGAGGAAGGAACATAGATACTTTCAGGTTTTGTTTTCAAAGGTGATGGTAACCCTTTCCTTCTGGTACTTGTTGCTTTCTCTGCTTGCGGCAGGGGCTGGAGGCAGGAATTGTGGCCCAGGGCACATGGTTCTCTGTAGCAGGGGAGGCCCAGCCCCAAGACAAAGCCTTTTTGCGCCTGGGAGAAGGCCTGTGTCCACAAAGCAGAGCTGACCTCTCCTCTGCAGTGGGAGATCTTCAGGTCCCTGGGGGTCTGACACAGGGCAGAGAGACCAAGGCAATTGCTTCTTTGTGTCTCAGCCCTGGCTGGGAACCTGCCTTTGTTCCTAAGGTAAGAAGAACCTAAGCGTCTTCTTTTGGGAAGTTCTTCCACCCCTGAATGGCCATGAAAAGGCACTGTGTGGTTTACATTTAAGTCTTTCAAGATCAGGAATTTGTGTTTGGGAAGTCCTCTCAAGGTAGCTGGAGGTAGCTGCAGGGAGGGAAGCCGAGACCCGGAGGCCAGTTGTGTCAGCCCAGAAACAGATAAGAATGCCATGTAACCCTGCAGCCAGCTGCAGGGTAGGGGCAGGCTGCTCTCAGAGCAGCCCTGGGGCCCTTCACCAGGTCAGGGACAGTCTTTGAAGTAAGAAGGCACTAACTTCAGGAAACCAAAGCTTTCAGGCTGTTGATTTTTAAAGCTTCAAAGTGAGATCACGTTAAATGAATTCATTAAGAGGTGGAGGATCATCATGAGCCTTATAAGATTAGAGGACATGGGTCAGTCTAATCCTCCAGACCGAAGGAAAAATAATTAGTTTTAGGGTTAAGAAGAGCTGCTAAAAAATGTCCCTTCTGTGTTAGGGATTAGTCTCTGGGAAGGTAATAAAACTGGGGCTGACTGTGGCCCTCCCCCTTTCAGGGAGGGTAAGGCCTGTTAGAGTCCTTTTAAAAATCATACCCTCTAGGCTGGGCACAGTGGCTTTGGGAGGCCAAGGCAGGAAGATCACTCGAGGCTAGGAGTTTGAGAACAGCCCTGGTAACATAGCAAGACCTCGTCTGTACAAAAAATTTTAAAAGTTAACCAGGCGTGGTGGCACACACCTGTAGTCCCAACGACTTGGGAGGCTGGGGTGAGAGGATTGGTTGAGCCTAGGAAGTTCAGGCTGCAGTGAGCTGTGATCACACTATTACACTCCAGCTTGGGTGACAGAACTGTCTCTTTAAAAAAGTCCTGAGCATGTGTTGGATTTAACATGGGTGAGAGACCATGTGTCTGGGAGACCTAGATCACTCAGCATATCCCCCGCATCCTGGCCAGGGTCTGGGTGATCACACTTGAATGGGGGTGAGGGGCAGGCTGGCTCCTGCTCAGAGGGCCCTCCCTGCCCCATCCTACTGTGCAGGTAGGGTATCCATACCTTGTCAGGCTGGCCCCTCTCTCCCACTATAGGCCTTTGTCTGCCCTTCCTGCCCATCTTCAGAGGACCCCCTCAGGTCCACTTTGTCCCCGGAGCCCCTGTACTTCAAAGCTGAACCACTCATTTGAGTACCAGATTCTGTTCTTGTTGTGTTTCCCAATGCGTTGGATGTCTTGTTTGAGTTTGGAAGTACCTTTGGAGCAGAGACTGGCCTCTCCTCTGCCTGCTTACCCCCATGGTAGGGAAACCCCCACTAAGCACAAAACACACTCCAGTGGACTCTCCAGCTGCTAGACAATGGGAGGGAGCTGTTTTGTTTTTTGGAAGGAAGAGAACCATGCGGGGATTTGGGGATCTCACAGCCAGAGTACTGTCACACCCCTCACCCAGTTTGGTTGTTTTGGTTTGGTTGCTCTGTTTTTTGGTCTTTACAGCACCCCTGTTTTGAAGATGAAGAAACTAATGTGAAAGTTAGATGATAGCTCAAGATCACATAGCTGATGAGTGGTGGAGCAGAGGCGAGAACCCATGCCAGCTGATTGGCAGGACCGCCCTGGTATACTTGAACTCCAAGAGCTTCAATAACAATAACAATGATGCACCCAGTGCTGGCTCCAGCCGGGCACTGCTGTGGGCACCTTGCTGCATTAGCTCTGTAATCCTCTCAGCGCCCTAAGAGGGATAGAAACTCATGATTCCCCTTTTACAGATGAGGAAACAGAGGCACAGAGGACCTAAGTAAGCACCTGCACGTAATGGGGATTGGGGACTGAGAATGAAAGTTTGGGCAAACATGTATTGAACCCTTTCTGAAGTGCCAGCCCCTGCTGGGCCTTTTATGTGCACGATGTCCTGCAGCAATCCTCAGGGTAAATAGACGCTGTCATTCTCATTTTACAGATAAGAAACTGAAACTCTAGGCTGGGCGCGGTCACTCATGCCTGTAATCCCAGCACTTTGGGATGCCGAGGCGGGCGGATCATTTGAGATCAGGAGTTTGAGACCAGCCTGACCAACATAGTGAAACCCCATCTGTACTAAAAATAAATTTAAAAAAAAATAAGCCAGGCGTGGTGGCGCATGCCTGTTGTCCCAGCTACTCAGGAGGCTGAGGCAGGAGAATCGCTTGAACCCAGGAGGTGGAGGTTGCAGTGAGCCGAGATCACGCCACTGCACTCCAGCTTGGGCGTCAGAGCGAGACTCCATCTCAAAAAAAAAAAAAAAAGAAAGAAAAAAGCTGAGGCTCTGTGACTTGCCCAAGGTCACATGGCTACAAGGAGGGACACTTGGGTCATCAGACTTGGACCCTGCTTTTCACCACTGAGTCCGACTTGGTGCAGCCCAGGCTGGGGACCATTTACTATGCAGCCTCTGGCCTCCTGGCCAAGGAATTAGACTTTCCAGAGGCGTGGCCACCTGACTCAGAGAATAGCCTGCTTTTTCACTCAATTATGTGTTTTCTATAAAAATAGAACTCTTCATTAAAACAGCTCAGCACAGCCATCAGCTGCAATTACTAATTACTGTCCTTTTAAGAGATAATGCCCCTTTCTATGCATTCACTACACCTGCTGCCACTTCCCACCCACCCTCCCCCCACCCACCCCCCCGACACACAGAGGGTTCCCAGAATGGCCAGGAGCCAGAGGGATCCGGAATTGCTGCCCAGGGCCCAGTGAGCACACATGGGACCAGTAGCACCTGGAAGAATGGAGAGTTTCAGGAACGCCCTGCAGCTTCACTTCCTTGGAGCTGCTTGGATCCTGGGAATACCCACAGTGTTCCAGGCCTTGGTGAGCCCTTGTGACTCAACTTTCCTCTTCCGTTCTTCAGCAATTTGTTGAGTGATATGAGAGCAGGCACCAAGGATACAAAGATAAGAAAGACCTAGTTCTCCCCCAGATGAAGGAAGGATCTCGCAGGAAGACAGGTCTGACAACAGCAAAGATGACTGAGAATGACAGCTAACCTCTCTTGAGGGGTGACATGCGCCAGGCACAGGCTCTCTTCCCCTTAGTTCTCCCAGCAACCCTCCTGGGCAGTACCATGACTGTCCTGCCTTGCAAATGAATAGGCACCATCAGAGGTGAAGGCACTTCCAGGAAGCAGCAGAGCCTGGAAGTATACCCACATCATCTGATGCTGAAGGCCCTGTCTCAACAGGGAAGTGGCTCCCTTATGTACATGGTGGTTACTGTGTTCAAGTGTTCATTGCAGGTGCTGAGTAACTACAGGGAGCTGCTTTCAGGAATATGAAAGTAAAAATGTGCACCCGACGTGCTTGCTGCCCACACAGCCTGTGTGTTTCCGTGCAGCCAGCTCTGCTCTGCCAACTTCCCCCACCAGCAAGAGTGGTGTGCTGGGGTGAGCAGCCAGGGAGGGGACACAGGGAGGGTGAGGATTGGTGCCCCCAGGTAAGGGGATGGAGATGACCTCTGACCCCAGGACTGTGCTTGGCTTAGCCAGAGACACCACAAAAATATCCCCTATCTACAAGATAACTATTTTTTTTTAAGTTTTTGGAAAAGCCATACTTACTCATTTCTGAGGAGTCTCACCCTAAGAGCTCTTTATAGCAGTGGGAAGAAATTGTTTCTCTTTGCCTCACATGGGAACAAGTCCAAGTCTTAATCCTTTTGACAAATAATTAGCAGTGTGATCCTGCCCTAGGAGTGCAGGTGAGGCATGGCTAGGAAGAAAAGGAGGAAGAGGAGGCAGATGCCAACATTCTCCTGGGAGCCTCCATCATCAGCCTGAGCTGGAGCGCTTGGGGAGATTGGCAAAGCTGGTGGCCTGTGGCATAGCCATTTTCTAACGGGGAACAGAGACACCAACCTCACTGGTCTCTAACTTCCTCCACAGAATCAGTGCTGCCCTAGACATACAGACCCTGTGGGCTGAGATGTCCCCTGGTTCAGCAGGGGCTGACTCTGTTAGGTCACCTGAGTGCCTTTCTGTGCCCCTGGGTGCTGCATCATGCTTGCAGATGGCATGGGAGTCGGCAGGTCCCAGTGGTTAGGATGGTGGGTGAGGGAACACCGAGCCTGGGTGAGGGGTGGCCGGTGTGGTCTACTGAAGGCTCTGGCAGCATCCTGACGAGGGCATAAGCACATAAAGAGGGGGCTTCTGTCTGCACTGGGCTCCCCGCCCAGACCAGGGCCTGTGTGCCACGTGGCCTGGATGGGGCTGCAGAGAGTACCAAGGATGGAGCACATCTCAGGACCCGGCCGTCCTTCCCTAGCCCCAGGAGTGTGACCAAGCGCATGGGGTGTTTACACTGACCCACGCTCCTTCCCCTTTCCCAGACAGAACACTCACTTTCATATCATCCTTCGATGCCGATGGCGTGGCAAGGGCGTTCGGCCTTAAAAGACCTCAGTGTTTACTTCACATGGGCTTCCACAGCTTAAACAGGAAAATGCTTGCAAGAGGGGTCACAGCGAGCATGCTTTGCCCAGAGCCCAGTTCCTATAGCTTTATGCATCTCCTTCCATCGTCTTCCTGTCATAAGCCTGTCTTAGGTCCTAGGAGTGAAGGGCCTAGTTCAACAGACCAAGAAGCTCAGGGCTTTCTGGGAGCCTTCAGAGGCACCTGGCCTAGAAACTTGCTTCTTGGGATCGGGCCGGCCTGCGGCTTCAAAGCAGGAGTCCCTTCCCTGTGTGCTGGAGAGCTGAATGCAGCTGCTACTTAGAGGTCATCACAGTTCAGCCTGGTGGAAGTTCGTGGGACAGGTGACTTTACTCCTGTTGTACAGGTGTGGGACCTGTGACATGCCCAGCTGGGTGACCACAGAGCTTGGACTTTGGCTTGGGTTTCTAATTCCTGGGCCAGTGTGTATTCACTTTGAGTAACGACACAGTGTGAGGCTCGAGGACAGTACTGTGACCATTGCTCTTCTGGAATGGCTCTTGTCGGAGGGCATAAATGTTGAAAGCTGCTGGATTTCGGTATTCAGGCGTTTCGATCACAGAGACTCTCCTCAGTGATACTTTTTGGCCTTGCCCAGTGACTGTCCCCTGGGATGGAGGCCCTCCACCCCCACCCCAGTCAGGAGGAGCCAGAAGATTCCACATCTGGAGCCCACTGTTCCTCCCCAGGTCCTGCTTTCACAGGGAGGAAAACTTTGCTTCTGGACAGTTTGGAATGGAATTGGCCAGCGCTCTGCTTGTCAGCTGTGGGAGTCCGGCCCACACTGCAGCTATGGGGAATCAAGTAACAGGCTCCAGGACTAGGCAGATACTGTGTGCTCAGCACTGTGCCAGACGCTGGGGGAGGGCAGCGGGGCCCTGCCTGCAGGCACTTGCAGACCAGGTGGGGACGCACGATGAGGCACAGGACAAGATAAACGGTGGTTTCACCATCCATAGGCCGGGCTGGCTGCACACTGATTCTAGAATGTCTGACATTAAAAATGCTTGATACGCCAGTCGCGGTGGCTCAAGCCTGTAATCCCAGCACTTTGGGAGGCCAAGGTGGGTGGATCACCTGAGGTCAGGAGTTCAAGAACAGCCTGACCTACATGCAGAAACTCCATCTCTACTAAAATACAAAAAATTAGCCGGGCCTGGTGGCGTATGCCTGTAATCTCAGCTGCTCAGGAGGCTGAGGCAGGAGAATTGCTTGAACCCAGGAGGCAGAGGTTGCGGTGAGCCAAGATTGCGCCATTCCACTCCAGCCTAGGCAACAAGAGCAAAACTCCGTCTCAAAAAAAAAAAAAAAGCTTGATATGAGTTTACTATTAAACTCTTAAGCCTAGGTGGCAAAAAAAGATTATATACATAGTAGGGGAAGGGAAAATGGCTTCCCTCCACCCTTCTAGGGAGGAGGGCTTTGGCTGGGCTACAGATTAAATTGAAATGACAGATTAACGGGAAAAAAAACGTATTTAATTATATACGTATGCACAGAAGTCCCACCAAGTATGAGATTCGAAGAAAGACGGGATGATTGAAGCTTAATAGCATCTGGAGCTACAGAAAGGAAAAGGGGATTGGGGTTCCTGCGGGTGGTAGAGACAAGTTATAGGAGGGTGACAGAGAGGAGATGATGAATAAAGGTCCTTTTGTTATGCAGATAAAAATCTCTCGGGTGATAGAAGTTGTCAGGAACAGCCCTCTTCTTTATAGATACTTTTACTAATGTAGATTTCCCTGAGAGGTGGAAGTTTCTAGGCCAGGCAGTGTGGCTAATGCCTGTAATCCCAATGCTTTGGGAGGTTGAGGCAGGAGGATCATTTGAGCCCAGGAGTTTGAGACCAGCCTAGGCAACATAGTGAGACCCCGTCTAACAAAAAATTAAAAAACTAGCTGGGTGTGGTGGCCCATGCCTGTTAGTCCTAACTACTCAGGAGGCTGAGGCAGGAAGATTGCTTGAGCCCAGGAGATCGAGGCTGCAATGAGCTATGATCACGTCACTGCACTCTGCCTGGGCAGCAGAGCCAGACCTTGTCTCTTTAAAAAAAAAAAGGAAATTTCTTTTATAAAAGGGCAGCTTTTCAGAGCTACTCTGTGTCTGCAGTTTCTCGGAATAACCAACTCAAAATATAAAATATGCCAAAGTATATTTTGGGGTGGCATATTCTGGTCTCAAACAGTCATATTTTAGGGTGGTGTGTCCTGAGCCCCAAGTGTGTGTGTGTGTGTGTGTGTGTGTGTATATATATGTATAAAGTAATTAAGTGCTAATGGAACACAGTGCCAGACATTCAGAGAAGGACAGCGTGGTCACATAGGGACATCTTGGAGGAGGGCTGGAGCCGTGGGATTGAAATAGTTTTTTTAGTCTCAGAATCCTTTATTCAAGTGGTGTTTTAGGCTCAGTTGGTTTATAAGACAGGTAAGCAAGGGGAAGGGGAGCCTAGGCTTGCCTACTCTATCCCCAGCCCCGACTGCCAGCAGCCTCCCCCCAGCTTCCCCCAGGAGTCACAGCGTTCTGGTGAGGCTGTGGCCACAGCTTCGATTCCCCCTGGCTGTGAGGGCCCCAGAATGTCACCCACCAGTCCTGACGGCATGCCAGGGCTCCGCCAGGCTTCCTGAAGAAATGGGCTAAGCATTGATAGGTGGGTGAGGAGAAGCAGCTACCCGTTGCAGTGGACAGGATGGAGAGGGGGCCTGTGCTCCTTAGTCAGAAGAGCAGCTGAGTTGCTCCTTCTGAGGGAGTGGAGTTGTTTGCTGATCCCTGTTGGAAGTGGGAGAAAGTTCTGCAGTGAACTAGAGGCAAGCCAGCAGAGGCACAGATAACCACATCCTGACATCAGGAAGGCTGTCTTAGAGGGGGTTGTGCACAGCCCCCATGGGGATACAGAAAGCCAGAGGGCGACATCTGGTTAGGAGCTGGCTGAATGTCAGAGGGGAAAGGGTGATCTCAGCAGAGGCTACAGCAGAAGCACAGCACGGATGAGTCCCGGAGCCTGTTCCGAGGCTCAGGGAGCTGCTAATACCCATGTGATCAGTGTACCAGCGCCCAAGGTCATGGGGAGGATGGCAGGAAGGGAGGGTAGAGCCAGAGTGGGAAAGCTGTGAAGGCCATACAGAGGCACAGAAGGTGAGGACCACAGGTCAGGGTTCTTTGTGGAAGAAAATCCCTCTGGCAGCGCTCACCTGCCAGCCCAAGGAAATCTCAGGAGCAAATCTGGATCCTCCCAGGATCCTGGAGTGAAAGATCAGACCAGAGTGACTGGTGGAGCACTTGCCCCAGCCCAGAAAGGATGTGGTCGGGTTGAGAAAATCCGCTCTGGGCCACTCATGCTAATGGAATGTCAGCAGCTGCAAAGGTACAGCCTGCCTTTGGTAGAACTTACTGTGATGCCAGCTCAGTTTTCATCCACTTCTTTGCCAGGCACATGGTGTGGTCGGGTCTGCCCTAGACCCATTCCGGCCCTCAAAGATGAAGAAAATGAGAAGGGGGCTCTGGCAGAGAGAAGTGTGATGCCTGCAGAGGGCCCGGGGAATGCAGCAGGGCTGGCCTGCCCAGGGAGCTGTCCCCAGGGAGCTGTCCCCAGGAACCAGCCCAGCCCAGGGGACTTGGCTGACTGAGGGAGGGGCTTTCCCACCTCACTGACACCTGCTGCTTCAACCAGCTGCCCCACCCTCCACACCGGAGCCTCTTCTCTCTCCCTGACTCCCAGCCAAGTCCCACTCCACCCTGCTTTTCACCAAACACCAGCTCCAGCAAGACCCCTTTCCTGTTTCTTCCCCTGTACTGAGTCTGATCCAAAAATTCAGCCCTTGATTCTCTGGGCAGTGTGTCATTTATAGCGCTCTAATTGTTGTCTCGAAGGCAGCCATTGTGTTTTCTTCTTCATATTCCCGAAAGCACAGGCCCCTGATACTTATGGAGTGTTGGATCCTTTGCAAACCTGCGGAAGGAGAGTACAGTGGCAAGACCAGTTGTCCCCAGCAGTTGCCCACTGGGGTCATTCCTACTCAGGGCTGTGTCCTGCCAGCTGTGCACTCAGGTCCGTGCAGTCCATGCTAGGGGGATCCCGGTTTCTGCCCTTGGGACCTGATAGGCAAGCCAGGTGGTCGTTAGTTCTATGTTCCAAGATGGGTGCAGGGCATCCTAAGAATTGAGAGAGGTGGGATTTAAAGCCAGGCTTGGGATGGATGAAAATGAAGAGGAGAGTTGGTATCTGGGGGGCAACCCGTGTGCAGGGTCAGGAAAGGCATTTTGGGGATGCAGTGAGGAAGAAAAATACTTGTCCAGAAATCCCCTCTTCTGAAAATCCTGGGGCAAATTCCACCCTCTTCATTCTCTACCAAGTTGCAATCTAAGAGACAAAGTATGGAAAGATGGGCAGAGAGTAAGGACATCAGAGGGCTTCATGAAGCTGGGAGCCCAGGTCTTAGGGCAGAGGCCCAGCTGAGAGAGAAGATCAGAGGGGCAACTGCCAGGGGCAGGCCTGGCCTCACCGGGTGGCACCTGCAGCCTTCGCAGTCTGGGTAGGGACCCTCCGATGGAGCAGGCCTGTGTGCTACCCTCAGGTGGGCTGGTAGAACCTCCGGGCAGTGATCAAGTGCAGGCCCTGACAGTACCGTGGTCTTGCTCATCAGTGATACTGAGAAGAAAGGGCCTCACTACTCACCACTGGTGAGAACCGGGAGGTGCTGCCGTCTGGCCCTCGGTGGTTCAAACTCTTCGCAGGCTGCCCAGGCAGCTGGTTGGGTGAAAATATGACTGGACTTCCATACTGGTTGCTGTATAGCCACTGCCTGGACCCCTCCAGAACCCCCAGACCTCCCCAGCATCTGAAGGGCCAACACCAGTCACAGCAGGGCCTCCAGGGCTCCACCCCAGCTCTTGATGAGCAAGTGTCATGACTGGCCTGTGAGAAGCATTCTGGCTGTGCCTGCTGTGTCCAGGGTAGAGGGAGGGAGCCAGCCATCCCCGCTGAGGTCCTGCCTCCAGGTGGGACCAGCTCTTCTTCTCAACCATTCTAAGGGCCACTCCCCACACTGGTCTTACCTCAGAGGACTTTAGGTTTTCAGGTCGAAAGAAATTCTGAAGTTGCTTGCTCTCATTGCACGGTAACTGTCCCTAAATGGTGATTGAAAAGGATTTCACGTCACTTTAATCCTATGGATTATATAAGGGGAGCTGGCTATTTTGGGAAATCCAAGGAAGAATCCTTTGATAAAGCATAACACCGCCTTCTTTGTGTATCTCCAGGGTCAGGAAGCAAACTTTGCAGTTCCACTTAGGAGGCGTTGCTTGGGCACCTATACTGTTGTGGCTGGCAAGGTGGGAAGTGGAGCTCTGTCCTTAGGGGACCTCCTTGCCAGTTCCTTGCTCTACCTTCACTCACGGATTCTAAGTCACTGTCTGGATGGGTCTCTTATCCAAGGTCCCATGCTGGGCCCTGTGGGGAATGTGAGTGTAAGCCTGGTCCCACGATCATTAGGCACAGGGCGTTGCTTAGTGGAGGATGTGGGTAGGAAGAGCAAACCGAGCAAGACCAGGACTCACAGAACAGTGCTTCAGAGATGGGCAGGATGGCACATGGTCAGGGGACACGGGGCATCAGCAGTGTGGGCACTGACAATGCTTCATGGAGTGCTTCATGCTTTGGCAGCAAAGATGGGGAGAAACTGAGGCACACAGAGAAAGCAAGCGGTCCAGGGGCATGGCAGAGGCTGCTGCCCTCATGGCACTCTGCTTTCTGCGAGTTAGGGAGGTGAGCATGTGGAGCCGCCCTGGTGGGGCAGGATCCCCAGGTGAAAGTGGGCCCTTGCTGGGGTGTGCTGATGGCCACTCTCCGTCCCCACAGCCTGATGTTCACCAAGGTGAAGCTGGAGCAGGTGCTGAAAGGCCCAGAGGAAGCCCTCGTGACCTGCAGACAAGTGCTGAGGCTGTGGCAGACCCTGTACAGCTTCTCCCAGCTGGGGTGAGTGGCCGTCATTGTCTCTTGGGTTGCCAGAGGGTGGTTGCCAGGGCAACAATCCACAGCTGGGTGGCCACCATGCCTGCCAAGATGGGGAGGAGAGTGAGGCTTTTGAATGAGAGCGTGGAACTTCCTGCCCACAGAGCTTTCACATCCATAGTCCAGTTTGAACCTCCTGACAGTCCTCTATGAAGTACATAGAGACCCTACGTAGGACATTGAGGTTCAGAGTGGTAAGAAGGAAGAGAAATCATTCTTGAGCACTGGAGCTGGGTGCTGGGCTTGTTCCTTTATCTTACACCTCAGCTGCTTATAGCTTATGCATTATCAGATTTTATTCCCAGCCCAGTGAGGAAACTCAGACACAGAGACTTTATATATAGCTTACCAGAATCACTCGCCTGGTAAGTGGTAGTGCTGGGACTTGAACTTGGGTCTCCTGAGTTCCAGCCCATGGAGCCTGTCACTTCTTTCCTCATTCCATTTGGAGGCTAGAAGAGGAGGAGGAGGTGTACTCCTGAAGGGCCACCCCTTCTTCCCTAGTCACCCACGGTCTTCATGCCTCCTGTCTCCTGCTGGAGACCCTGGCCTGGGACCTGGGTCTTTCATGGGCCAGAGCAGGGCACTCTTGTCCAGGCTGAATCTGCAGGAAGTCTTTGCTCAAACCCAATGGGATGCCTAGGCTTAGCCTATGTGGCCCAAAGGGAAAGTGGGCCTCCTTCAGGTCAGGAGCCCTGCCTCTTCCTGATCCTCTTGTCCTTCTTTGGGATAGCTGGCTGTGTCATCTCCCTGAGGCCTCAGGGGACCCCAGTCTGGTGTATATTTGTGTTTTCACAGAGACTTTAGGAGCCCAGAAGGCTTCCAGACTCCCCAGAGGAACATCTGTAACAGTGAAATTTACAGAGGAGGGTAATCAGACAGAGTAAAACACCTTGGGCAAAGTCAGCCCTCACTTTTCAGGCCTGGGAGACCAGGGCAGAGGAGGACCAGTGGGCGGAAGCTGCCAGAAGGAGGCTCTGGGGTTGAGGGACTTTTCAGAATGAGAATTTGAAGCCACCTGGCAGCTGGATGCATGAAGCCAAGGGCCACACTCTGGGTGAAGGGACCTGCATTCCGATGGCCTTGTTTTCCTGCTCACTGGCTGTGGCCGCACAAGCAGGTGCACAACCTGGCTCCCTTCCTGCAAGGGGGTTGCTCCAGAGCTGGCCGCTCTGTTCCTGCATCCTTATCTGGATGGCTGCTTGTCTCTTCCTCCAAGTGGTCAGTCGTGGTGGGACCCCTCTGAGCTGCAGCCTTGTCTCCCAGCATTGAAGACCTGGCCTATGCCTCCCTTGGAGCAGCAGAACTGCAGGGCTGGGGCTTGTCACAATGGGAAGCCCCTAAGCACCTCTCCTTGGCTGCCCCAAACTAGATTTTATAAGCCCTGGTTTCTGATCTGTGGCCCCAAGTTTAGAAAAGAATCCTCCCTGTCTCCTGGGAAAGCCAGGAGGATATTGGATCCAGGCTCCTGGTCCAGATAGCCCTGCCCTACACTGAGGGTAGAATCTAGTTTGGAGCCAAGGATTAAGACCACAGCCTGCAGGTCTGGCCTAGCAGACCTTCACTATCAGCCGCACCTTCCACTGAACTCCCTGACCCCCTTCCTCTGCTCTGCCTGGGCCAGCCCCACACTGCTGGTCTCATGTTCTAATTGCCCCTCAGGCCCTGTCCAGATGCCCCTCCTTCATGGAGCCACCAACCACCCAGCCTCTAAAATGCTTCATTCAACCCTCTCATGTGGGTTTTTGCTAACTGCTCAACTTGAACGGTCCCTTCTCCCCATCTGGGCTGTAAGGTTCTTCAAGGTAGGGACCATGCTGTACATTGGCCTAGAACCAAGTGTAGTCCTGGAGATGGACTCTTTGTGGAGCCCTAGGAAAGGCCCCTTCACGGGATGGGAGAAAGAGTAGGATGGGAAGCTGCACCCAGCCCTGCTCCATGCCAGCCCTGCACCAGGATCTGCCCATGTTGTCTCATTTGCTCCCCACGACCACCTTGTGTGATGGACATTCTCATGACCATTTTCAAGATGAGAAACCTAAGACTTAGAAAGGTCAAGTAGCATTGCCAAGGGTCACAAAGCTGAGAAAGGTGGCCCATGATTCCAGCCTAGTGTTTCTGGCTTTTTTGTTTTGTATTGTTTTTGTTTTTTTGAGACAGGGTCTTGCCCTGTTGCCCAGGCTGGAGTTCAGTGGCAGGATCACAGCTCACTGCAGCCTCTGTCCCCTGGGCTTAAGCAATCCTCCTGCCTCAGCCTCCCAAATAGCTGGGACTGCAGGCACCCACGACCATGTCTGGTTAATTTAAACATTTTTTGTAGAGATGGGGTCATACTCTGTTATCCAAGCTGTTGTTGAACTCTTGCCCTCAGGTGATCCTCCTGCCTCAGCCTCCCAAAGTGCTGGGATTATGGGCATGAGCCTCCATGCCTGGCCTGTCTCTGGCTTTTTTGCACCACACTTTGTGCCTCCTGGGAATGGGAAGGGGTGGGAGAGGAAGGGAGCCAGCCCTGAGCCATTGTGGTTTTATAGATGGTTTCCTCTGATGCCCACTAAAATTCCCAGACCCGAGTTGAAGCCAGGGTGAGCCTGAGTTACGATGGCAAGGACACCCCTGGTATTCATTGTGGGATCATCATCTTGGTGCTTCTCTGAAGGAAAGAAACCTTCTTGCCCAGGCTTGGCCTGCCTCCTCCTCTCCTGTGCCTTCTGCTTCTATTCTCTAAGTTTCCCCAGTCAACAGGGTCAAAGGTTGTGGGCTTCCTCGGCAGTGGGAATGTGCTGGCTGGGGCTGCTTGTGCCCCAGGATGGCCACGGCGGGCTTAAGCTGGAGGCTATTTCCTGGCTCCCCGCTGCCCCCACTCTGTGAAAAGAGGAACCCCTCCCCCCCGCCAGCAGTATAGCAGCAGGGATCTGGGAAATTGGGGACAAGGGTTGGGGGACAAGATGGGATCTCCAGGGGCTACCCCTGGAGATCTGCCACCCCAGGGGCCTCCGCTGGCTCTTCTGGGGACCCCCTGGCAGCCCAAGGAATGGAAGCCTGAGGCAGGGGGTGACATCCGGGCCCTTTTTCCATAGGGGTTTGGGGGTTGCAGCACTTCTAGTGCCCTATGAAGACCAGGCTTTCCTTGGCAGTCAGTCCACAGTCCCCACTCTCTGCCTGGCACTCTGCTGGATGTTGCTCCCCCTGGCCTGGGGAGCTTCTGGCCTTACCCACTTCAGAGAAGATAGTAGGGAGTGTGGGAGAGTTTCCAGGTCTCAGCCTGTGTGGTATGCGACCCACGTTGATCCCTCCTGCCTCTCTAGTGATGTTGGTGACTTCAGCTCTGTCTTTGGGCCTGAACCCACAGCCCCAGAGCCTGCCTGGAGTGAGGCTGTCCCATTCTCCCTGCCAGTCCTTGTGATGCTGGCCCTCTACCTCACTGGGCCCTGTGATGCTAGCCCTCTACCTTACCGGACCCTGGCCCTCTTTTGCCTTCCAGAGGCCTAGAAAAGGATGGCAGCTTCGGTGAGGGCCTCACCATGAAGAAGCAGAGTGGCATGCACCTGACTTTGCCTGATGCCCATGATGCAGACTCTGGTAAGAACGAGCTCCTTGGGCCACTGTGTGCATGGACCCACAGCTCACACTCCCAGCTTGAGAGCACCAACACAGAGAGGGGCCGGGCCCTCTCCCAGCCGGGCCAAGCCCACCACTGGCTCCTTGCCAGCTCGGGCAACTTCTGGGGCTGATCTTGGCTCTGGGTAGGGGCTGGCTGCTGGTCCCACAGTGGGCAGTGGGCAGGGGAGGAACCCTGCCTCCTGCATGGGGGTGAAGAAAGAGGAGCCTGGCTGAAAAGGTGGCTGTGGAGCACAGAAACCGTTTCCCCTTAGGCTCAAGCCAGAGGCCACAGTCCACGTAATGTCCTTGGCAGATCAAGTCAAATAGAAAGGAATGGACTGAGCTCTTTACAATTCTAAGCTGAAAGCAGACTCTTTTCTGGAAAAACTCATCCTGAAACCCATGGCTTGTGAAATTCAAATGAGTTCAGGAACTGCAGACTTAACATTTTTTAACTGAGGACCTGCTTAAAGCAGAACACCTTCATCAAAAACACAAGAATTAGTCATGGGAAAGAAGGTGTGAGTGGAGTTGTATTTAGTGGAATTGCTCAGTTTTTTCACTTCTGTAGACATGAGCCTTTCTGTGGACAAAGCCTTGCACCTTTGTTGTCAAATGACAGAGTTGATTTCAGAAGCCAAACCTAGCACCCAACTTTAGAGGCACATCTCAGGGGTGTATGGCTGTATGCAGAGCTTCTGTCTCCCAGGAGGGAATGGTTAAGGGAGGGGAGAATGGTAGCTCCCTTGCAATTAAAGAAGGAAGAATCATGAACAAAGTTATTAGGACTCCAGGTACACTTGTCTCATAAACTGAAGTCATCCGTGGTTTGCCGTGAGGTCTCCTGAGTTTATTGGAGCCTTTATTGCGTCTATGACAGAGAGAGAGAAAGTGCTCACATTTCACCTGCATGGGAATTATAAATGTCAACAGCTTATATGTCCTGAACCGGAGCCCATGTCACCCAGAACTGCCACTGAGAGAGGTTTTCCAGAGGGCAGTGTTCTGACTTGAGCTGCTATCCAGTCCTTCACAGCACAGCCTTGAATGGGTACCTTTCTACAAACAAATGAGAATATGCACTTGTGAAAACAGAAGGTGAAAATAGCCAAGGGAAGAAAAGAAAAATCATTCCTAATTTCACCACTTAGACCTTAATAAATGGCCTTTCAGACTTTTTTCCATGCCCATATTTCTTTTTTATAAAAATGTGGTCCTATTCTTTTGTAACTTGCTTGTTTTCACCTAACTATATAGTGCGAACATCTTTCTACATTGATATCTGTATTTGTATTTTGTTATTTTAATGATCGCAGAGTCTGGGATGATTATACCCCCACTTATTTTTAATCAATCCCTATTGTTGGACACTGAGGTTATTTCTGTTGTGTTCACGTAAAGAGCATCTTTGCTGACATTATTGTTTTCCCAGGAATAGATCCTAGTGGGATCTCTGCCTGATTTTCCTCCAAAGAGCTCCCCTCCCCAGCTGTGGGTGAGAGGACATAGTGGGCCCTCCCTAGTGGGTCTGTGAGCTGCTTTCTGGCTGCCCAGCCGCACCACCCTACCCTGATTCAGGGTGCCCTGTCTCCCCATGGTGCTGGGCAATGACTGCTCCTGGGGCCTGCAACGTGTGGACCTCTGACCACTGCTCGGCTCGTGCCCTCTTGCTCTGCAGGCTCCCGGCGGGCTTCGTCCATCGCCGCCTCCCGGCTGGAGGAGGCCATGTCAGAGCTGACTATGCCCTCTTCGGTCCTGAAGCAGGGCCCCATGCAGCTGTGGACCACGCTGGAACAGATCTGGCTGCAGGCTGGTGAGTGCCCTGGTCCCAGTGACACACACAGCCTGTCTGCAGGCCACCCATGCTCTCAGAGCCCTGTCCTGGAGAAGGGAGTGTGGGGAGGTGGGGACACCTTGCTAGGCCCACGCGGGTTACAGAGTCCTCGCCTCTGGCTGTGGGTCTCCTTCTCTGCCCAGTGGAGATGGTGTCTGCCTTCCTGCCTGGGAGAGCTTCTCTGGCAGCAAGCCCAAACGTGAGAGGATTGGAGGTCCTGAGAGGCCACACAGATGGACAGTTGTCTCAGTCTCAAAAACAGGCTTCAAACCCTGGAGAGCTCAGAGAGGGGAGGTGTGGAGGCCCCAAGAAAGAGAGGGCTGGGGGTAGAATTCATTGAAGATGGAGGAAAGACTGGTAACTTTGAGGTTGCCATTCAGGTGACAGTCCCTCTTGGTAACTAAGTGATACCATTGCCACCAGGCGTCTGAAGGCCAGCCAGTGTTGGGGAGGCAGGCTGTAGGAAGCCTGGCTCCAGAGTTCCACAGACCTGGGTTCTGAAAGCAGCCCACAGCTGGCTAGCCCTGATCTGAAACGAGCCAATGTGTGACACAGTCAGGGTGGCCATTACAAGTGCTCAGCAAAAGGTGTTTGGCTTCCGTCTCGTCCATGGCAGTCATGGTGGAGGAAGAGGCAGCATGGCCCCACGGACAGCGAGTGTCTTAACACCGGCTTATGAATGCCCGGGAGGGACTCGCTGCCAAGAGTTTTGAAAATTTACCCTGACAGTAGTGTGAGAGGTAGATCAGAGTGGAAAGAGAGAGAGCCAAAGCCAAAGATGACAAGTGCCTGAATGAAATAAAATGGCAGCAGAAGACAGAGGAGGAGGATAGGCTAAATGGACCCCTAAAGTACCCCAGGCCAACACAACCCCTTGGCCTAGAGCTGCCCACGTGAAGTTCTGGGCCCAGGAGTACCTCTTGCATTTTCTCTGATTACCCTCCTCTCTGCTCCTTCTCCATCATGGGGGTGTGCTATTGTCCCCAGGGGGGGAGTTGGAGAAGAAACCGAAAGTTGATGATCTCTTACTGGGACATGGGGATTTGGTAAGTCAGAGTCCGAATATGCTTGTTAGCTGAGAATCTAAGGTTTCCCACTGCATGTTCCTCACATACGGCACATTAGTATGCAGTACGCCCCCACTCTCCCCACTGTAGGTTCTGAATCTGCAAAAAACATTGGATAGGATTCACAGGAAGGCTAGACATGGGAGCACTTTAACAATGCAGAAACTGTCCCAGTTAGCATCTCGGGGTCCCTTCGGATGCTGGGGGTGGGCGGAGGCTGCACTTGCTCCACAGTCAGCTTGTTGGGTTTTAAGTAGGAAGAGGGATGTTGAAAAATCCAGAGGAATAATAAACAAGGCCTCGCCTTAGGCAAAGGTTCCCGTCGTCTTCTAAGATTCTAATGACTTCTAAGACTAAAATAATGACTTCCAACTTCCAAGGGGCCGCATGGAGCCCCAGCCCCCACAGCTTCGCACCCATGATGGGGGCTTCACCAGCTTTAAGGAATGCAGCGTAACACAGTGATCAGATTCTGCAGTTGTGGGTTGCCTGTACCAGAGCTCCCAGGCCTTTGTTTGAATGATTTGCCTTGGTTTTGGTGGGCGGGTTTTTGGTGGGTTTTTTTGTTTGTTTGTTTGGTTGGTTGGTTGGTTGGTTGGTTGGTTGGTTGGTTGGTTTTTTGAGGCAGAGTCTCACTCTGTGGCCCAGGCTGGAGTGCAGTGGTGCAATCTCAGCTCACTGCAACCTCCACCTCCCAGGTTCAAGTGATTCTCCCACCTCAGCCTCCTGAGTAGCTGGGACTACAGGTGTGTGCCACCGTGCCCGGCTAATTTTTTTTGTATTTTTAGTACAGACAGGGTTTCACCATGTTGGCCACACTGGTTTCGAACTCCTCACCTCAGTGATCTGCCCGCCGTGGCCCACCAAAGTGCTGGGATTACAGGCGTGAGCCACTGCGCCCGGCCTGATTTGTCTTGTTTGTTTACTACCATCATCACAAGCTTGCTTGCAGTTCTCAGGTTGTATATTGCTTTATACTAGGGATGTTAGCATGTGCTGATAACTCCAAGTAAGGTTAAAGGCCCTCCTGAAGCCAGTAATTAGACTTGGGAATGTCAAGAGAAACACATGCCTTTCAGTCATTTGCACATGAGCCTTTCTTCTTTGGTCATTGTCTTAGATATTCACTCCACAGAAGAGAACTCCGAGAACAGCATCTGAATGCTTTGAATGTGGCGCTGCATCAGGGTCAGGCAGTGTAGTATTAGGAGACCAGTTTGGGTGCATGTAGCAGATCCAAAATAGCAGTGTCTTGCACAAGGTGGGTGCTTATTTCTTTCTCATGTAACAGTTTACAGTTTACAGATGACAGCCTTGACTGGGACAGCGACTCTTCTGTCCCTAGGGTATCACTGTCGTCCATGTGGTCCAGGATGGCTCTCTGCCACATTCACATTCCAAGGCAAACGATTTACAAGGAAGAAAGGCACCCCCTTCCCTATAAGGACATGTCCTGGAATTGGCACACATCACCTCCCCTCATGATCCATTGGCCAGAACTTAGTTATTTGACTGCCCCTAACTGCCGAGGGCTCTGGCAGATGTCATTATTCTGGGTGTCCCATTAAAAGTCAGGGGATCAGGCCGGGTGCGGTGGCTCATGCCCGTAATCCGAGCACTTTGGGAGGCCGAGGCAGGCAGACGACTTGAGCCCAGGAGTTCAAGACCAACCCAGGCAACATGGTAAAACCCCATCTCTACTAAAAATACAAAAAAATTATCTGGGCATGGTGGTGCATGCCTGTAGTCCCAGCTGCTCTGGAGGCTGAGGTGGGAGGATCACTTGAGCCTAGGAAGTCGAGGCTGCAGTGAACTGAGACTGTGCCACTGCATGCCAGCCTGGGCAATGGGAGTGAGACCCTGTCTCAAAAAAAAAAAAAAAGTCAGGGGATCTATCCTGCTAGAAGAAGGGGAGAATACACTGGTGACTGGTGCACAACCGCCACGGCCAGGAAAGGAACATGAGAAGGTGTCCTAGTTCTTTCATTCTGAGCATGAGAGAATTCCAGGGTAATTTGCACCCCCTGAGCCCTCTCCCCTCCCCTGGCTGCCATCATCACTAGCAAGCATCTACCAAGCACCTGTTGAATGGAGGGCTGCCAGGACCAGATCACCAGGGCAATGATCTCCCTAAACCGCCTCCCCCACCTGACCCAGGCTAAGAATACAATCAGCATCCCCCCGCCAAACCCTGCCTAATGACTCCACCAGCTGCAGCAAATTTGCAGGAAGGGAAAAAGATGCCTTGATCATTTTGGAAGGAGCTAATCCCCCTGGTTTGGTTCAAGATAAATTGCATCCCAATCTGTATGGCAGTAAGTTCCATCGTGAATTCACTCTTTGGTTGAATTCAAAGAGACTGTCGTAGCCTTCCTCTCTCAACTCTTGCCCTCCTCTCCTCCCTTCTTCAAGCCTCCTTCCAATTCCAGTCCAGTGCGAGAAGCTGATGAATGGTACCCACTTGAGAGACGGGCTGCAGGGCAATGCCTCTTGGGCAGCGGGTCTGTGTGAGAGTGGGAGAGGCACAGAGTCCCATAGATGCTCCAGGATCTGAGTGTTGAGAGAGGTGCTTTCCCTAAAAGCAAGAACTACCCCTTCATCCCCCATGACCCCCATGATCCCAGGTCACGGCTCTGGGAGCTGACAGTGGGCCAGAGCAGGAGACGCATGTAGGGAGAGTGCCCCTACCCTGGAGGTCCAAGGGCTCATGGGTAGCTCTGGGCTTTCTCCAGGTTTAGGGGAAGCTGGCCTGAGTCTCAGCTCCCCAGTGCCAGACTCCTGTGGTCTGGTGCCGGTGCTCTGGCCCGCAGTTGGAGGCCACCCCAGGTGTCTCCTGGGCAGACTTGGGGGGCTGGGGTGGGGTGGCCAGCGCTGTGGCTGAAGCGGGTGTTTATGATGAAGCCATAGTCCAGGGAGAAGCTGGCGCTCACCCTTGGTCCTACATGCTCCTCTACTCTTTGTCATCCTTCCTGCCCCCCTCCTGTCTTCATTCAGTGCCTTCTTCCCACGTCCTCCTCTTCCCTGGCTCCAGCTTTTTCTTCCCTCCTCCCAGCTTCCCGAGTCAGCGAGGCCACTCTCAGGACAGGCCCATGCAGCCCCTGACTGCCTTGTGCCCTCTAGGTCCCAGGGATGGAGGGTCTCAGACCAACCTGAGAACTCCCTGGAGACCTTTGGATTCCCTGTGTTGGCCTGGGCGTTCTCCATTCTAGTCCCCTTGATCTTCACTCTCCTTCCTCCCTTGCCCTCTCCCCACCTTCCTTCTTTTTCTGGGCATTTATATGCTCTGAGTGTCTGATGCTTATTTCCTTTGGGTCACCCAAATGGCCCCCACTGAGGGTCAAGGCTAGCCATGGTGAATTCTTTTGGGGGGACTAACCTATTTCTCTCCTGCCCTGTGGCTCACCTCTCTGAAGTCTGGGGGAGGGTCTCTGTAGGAAGCACACTCACCTGGAGAAGCCCTAAGAGGCCTTGGGGGTGGGCCCAGGCTCTCTGTACCCTGCTCATTAGCACAGGGCCAGCCTGCGGGCAAGGCCCTCCCTGCAAAGGGGGTGTGGAAATAGCCCATGGAAAGTGGGCCCATCCCCCTGCCCGGGGTGGGAGAGCCTCGGCTTTGGCAGGAAGACTGGAACCAGCTCTGGGTGCAGGGTTAGACCAGGATGCCTCAAAAAAATAATAAAAGGGCCTCTTGCAAAGCTCCAGGGAACAGATGTTTTCCATTTGTAGCCTGCCGAGAGAAAGCACAGAGGAGAGGGGGTGGAGAGAGATGGAGGGAAGAGGAGGAAAACCGGAGACAGACAAGCAAGAGAAGAGGTCAGGGGGTAGGCAGGAGGATGATGAGAGCAGAGGGAAAATCAGAAAGGGGAAGACAGCATGAAGGAATGGAGGGGCCCCTTGACGCTGAGGGTGCAGCAGGGGCACCGTGTGCCCAAATCTCTGACCCCTCCCCCCCATCCAGCCCCGTGTGCTGGATGATGACCTCGACAATGAAAATTCAAGGAAAATGTGGTGCCCTGGCCAGGGGATGCTGGGATGGATGTGGGCACCACTGGGTCCTGGCAGCCACGGCCAGGCTGGGAAGGATCAGGGCCGTGGGTGGATGCGGCGCCCCAGGGCTACTGCAGCTATCTGACCATGGCTAGCAAAGCGTCGAGCAGGAGCCGAAGGCATCTGCTCAGGGACACTGAGACTAGCAAGGGGCAGTGCATTGTCACCCCAGACCTTTGGGCCTGTGTGCAGGTCAGAGGCCTACCCTGGAGGCTGGCCCTGCTGGGCACTGTCTGCCAGGCTGCCAGAAGCCTTCAGGAGGCTTCCCTGCTTGGGCTCTGGTCTGTGTCTTCTGGTTTCCTGTCTAACTGGGAATGGAGCCCATCAGTGGAGCAGCCCTAACGGTTCTTCAGGGCGTGCTCTCTGGTGTGTGGCCAGCCCAGCAAGGCCCTGGCCTCTGGAAGAACCAGGGCCCCGAGGCAAGAGGGATTGGGATTGGGTGGGGTACCCTCTAATTAAAATCTGTTGATGTGAATACACTATGAGGGGTCCCCAAGGGAGGGACAAGGGGCAGCCTCTGGAGACAGCGCAGCAAGTTGTAAACAGCTTAATCAGCTGTGCCAGGGCCAAGTAGACCAGGGGAGTGGGGAGCTTGACTCCTGGGCCCTCAGCTAAACTGAGCTTCTGGCGATGGAGGAAGCAGCCACCCTGCAAAAGTCACACCCACACACTTCCTTCTGCTTCTCCTCTCTCGTGACCCTGGGGGATTCTGCCACAGTGGAGCCCAGCCCATCTTCCTTGTCCTCTTAGTCCAAAGGCCTCTGCAGCCTTCAGGCTCCAGCTCCAATGCCTCCTCCCTCAGGAAGACTTCCCTGACCACACCAGCAGCATCGACCTAGCCCCTCTTGAGTGCCCATAACACTCAGATGTGGCACTTGTCATTCCACTGTCCTGGTCTCTGAAGTGGTTTAGTGGCTCAGCTGCTCCCACTCCTGTCCCCACTCTTTCTCCTCCTTGTGGGGAGACCAGGCACATAGTCAGTACTCAAAAGTTGTATGTTAAGCACTCAGTTATGAGGGCAGCCTGTTCAGATGCCCCAGCAGCAGCTCAACAGCAAAGCGGAGAGGGAGAGCTGAGGCTGAGAGAGCCAAATCTCTGACCCCTCCCCCTACCAGCCATCTGCCCCTGGGTTCAAAGACCCCATTTCCTCTGCTCTCTGCCTTGGGAATCTCCATTTCAGGCTGTCCCCAGGGACTAGAGCCCGCATTTCTCTCCCATATCCAGGAAGCCTGGCTTCTCTGTGTTTAATTCTCTGATCCTCCCAAGTTCTCATCTCCACTAGAGAAAAACCAGAGTCCTCTCACTCAGAAAGCGTTGTATTTTAGGATGTGGCAGGCTACTCGGGTTGCACAATGAACCTTAGGCAATGCTCGTGCTAAGTACCCCAGTGCCTGTGTTGCAGTCAAGGTTTTAGTTAGGCCTCTCCTGCTGCCTACTGGGACAGGAAGAGGGAATGTCTGGGCCTGGTTTCTCCACCTCTTTCTGGGAGCTTCCCTTGGGCATCTCTGTTCTCTATCCCACCCCAGACATAATCTGAACTAGGGTAACCTCAGCTGTCAGCTTTTGCTAGGCAGGGTTCTTGGCAAAACCACAAGTCAGACTCTGCTGGCCCTTCTGCGTTCCTCATCTGTGTCTTGATCCTTCTGTGCCTTCAGCATAGGCTCAGCCCCAGGAGTGGGCAGCCAAGCCTGGGGGCTGCTTTGGACAAAGGCTGAGTGCCCAGTGAGGCCGAAGAGCCGCGTCTCCTAAAGTGCCTACCGTGGGGTGTGCCTGTGCCACGTGGGTCTGAAATGTGTGTGTGTGGGGGCTGGCCTGGGTTGGAGAAACTGCCCCATTTCCTACTCCTCTGGTTGCAGGACAGATCCTCCCCTGCCTGCTGGCCCAAAGGGGTGTGTGTCTGCTTTGGAGGGAGGCCACAGAACTGCTTGGGAGTCCAGCCCTGGCTTTGCCCTTTCTCAGTGAGGGAATGGAGTGGGGTCCTCACCTCCTAAGCCTGCTTTTTTTTTTTTTTTTTTTTTTTTTTTTTTGAGATGGAGTCTCACTCTGTCGCCCAGGCTGGAGCACAGTGGCGCGATCGCAGCTCACCACAACCTCCGCCTCCCAGATTCAATGAACTCTCTGCCTCAGCCTCCCAAGTACCTGGGACCACAGGCACCCACCACCATGCCCAGCTAATTTTTTTGTATTTTTACTAGAGACGGGGTTTCACCATCCTGGCCAGGCTGGTCTTGAACTCCTGACCTCGTGATCTACCCGCCTTGGCCTCCCAAAGTGCTGGGACTACAGGCGTGAGCCTGTAGCCCAGCCACCTGCATTTTTTAAGTATGGATTATAGCACCTGCCTGCTTCCAAGACTTGCTGTCAGGATTAATGAGAAAATGTTTCCCAAACCTGGTGGGGCTTGGCCCATCAGCTCTCCATCAGGGCAGGGGTGGTTTCTGTAGCTGTTACCAACACTGCCTGGTTTGTGCCCTCCTTTGCCCCTGAGCTGCTTCTCCCTCATCCTCCCACCCCATCCTTGGCAGGGTCATTTGGTTCTCCCTGGCTCTGAGCACACGCCTACCTTCAGTCAGCCCCTGCCTGGGAGACCAAGGGGCCCAAAGAGAGATCCCTGGTCTGCTTCCATCCCCTTCTCCCTGGACATGCAATGAACAAAGTGAAGGAACACTGAAAAAGAGGCTGGAGTCACCTGAGCAAGCTCTTAGCTCAGGGGACGCCACATCCCCACGCGAGGTTCTGAAGTCAGACAGCCCAGTGCAAACCCTGTCTTCACCACTTACTCCCACTGTGGCCTTAGTCCCATGCCTTGACCCCTCTGTGCCCAGTTTTTGCCCCTCTAAAGTGGGGTAATAAAAGTACTTGTGCAAGGTGCGGTGGCTCATGCCTATAATCTCGGCATTTTGGGAGACTGAGGTGAGAGGATCTCTTGAGCCCAGGAGTTCAAGACCAGCCTGGGCAACATGGCGAAACCCCATCTCTACAAAAAAATACAAAAATTAGCTGGGCATGTTGGCACATGTCTGTAGTCCCAGCTACTCTGGAGACTGAGGTAGGAGGATTGCTTGAGCCCAAGAGGTCAAGGCTGCAGTGAGGCCAGGCACGGTGGCTCACGCTTGTAATCCTAGCATTTTGGGAGGCTAAGGTGGGCAGATCACTTGAGGCCAGGAGTTCGAGACCAGCCTGAGCCCCTCTACCAAAAATACAAAAATTAGCCAGGCGTGGTGGTGCGTGCCTGTAACCCCAGCTACTCAGGAGGCTGAGACAGGAAAATCACTTGAACCCAGGGGGCAGAGGTTACAGTGAGCTGAGATCGCGCCACTGCACTGCAGCCTGGACAACAGAGGGAAACTCTTTTTCTAAATAAATAAATTAATTTTTTTTAAAAAAAAGGCTGCAGTGAGCCATGGTCATACCAGTGCACTCCAGCCTGGGTAACAAAGGATACCCTGTCTCAAAAAAAACAAAAACAAACAAACAAAAAATGCTTGTTCTACAGGGTTTTTGTGAGCATTAACTGGGACGATCTTGGTGCCATTGACTGGCACTTAGCAAGGTGCCTGACACAGAGGAAGCACTCAGAAACCGTTACCTAGTGTTCCCACTACATCCTATAGTCAGTGTGTCCCATGCTGTGATTTGGTGGGATAGAGTTTGTCACCTAAGACTAGTTCCCTGGCTCTGAGGATGCAGGGAGGGGGTCAGGATGCCTCTGACTCCCCACCACTCACACCTCCCACTGCCCTTCTGCTTTTGCAGCTGAGCTGTTCATGGAGCAGCAGCACCTCAAGGAAGCAGGTTTCTGCATCCAGGAGGCGGCGGGCCTCTTCCCCACTTCTCACTCAGTACTCTATATGCGGGGCCGGCTGGCTGAGGTGAAGGGCAACCTGGAGGAGGCCAAGCAGCTGTACAAGGAGGCGCTCACGGTGAACCCAGATGGCGTGCGCATCATGCATAGCCTGGTGAGTCAGAGCCCCCCGCGCTCCCACCACCTCCTCCCACAGCCTCAGGGCCCTTATCCCGCTTTGTCCCTCCTTGTCCCCATACTCCACTGCCTGCCTGTGCCTTGCTACTGCTGTTCCCTGGTGTCTAGGGGAGGGGGCTTCCCTCCTGCTCTGTTGGAAGAGACAGTTCTTGGGATACTTAGCCTTCTCTTGTAGACACAGGCCATTTCCCTTCAATCAGGGTCTGTGTTGATGACAAAATCTAGAAGGTTTGGTTGATACTCTTTGTGACTTCCTTTTGCTGTAGGGTTCCGCAAAGGGATCTAGCCCCAAAAGGCTCTCATTGTTAACCATCAGACCCTTGCCCTGAAGGCTAATCCAGACTCTAGGTGGTTACCAAAATGCTTTTCTTTCTGGGAGTCCCCAGACCCTCCCTGTCTCCTCCATTTCCAAGGAGTTCCACATCTCTTTGGTGGGATTCAGGGGGTTTTCTGGGGTGGGCTGTCATGTCAGACCTGTCTCAAGCACACACTGAGAATGGTCCCTGGGGTGCTAAGAGGATCCAGTAGCCCCTGGTCCTCATTCATGGGCTCAGGACTTGGGTGTCCAGGGCACAGTGGCCTCCCTGTGGGAAGCTCAGAGGCTGGGGAGCAGGATGCTGATACTCTTGTCCTGGCCTTACCTCTACCTGGTGATCATGGGTAAATCAGCCACCTTCTCTGAACCTTAGTTTTAATTATCTGTCCGGTGGATATCCTCTGGTCCAGGCAACATTTATTGAGCACCAGCTCTGACAGGTGATATACTAGACCCTATAGATTATCATTTTTTCCTGCTTTCCTTTGCTGCTTCCAGAGAACATGTATCCGGATAAATATAGTGATCTGGAAGCTTGCAAGCCTGCATCTGCACAAGTGATTTTTGAAGGATAATCTAGGAGCCCACAGTTAGCAACAATCTTTCCCTCTTAGGGTCTGGGTTCCACCTTGGATGTCCCCCCTGTGAGAGAGTGTTAAGGAGAACAGCCATTAGGGTATCCCTGACGTCTTCTGGCACGTAGAGAGCACAGAGGCATCAGGAGAATGGCTCCAGATGGCTGAAGAGTTGGCATTGCCAAAAGGGGGCTGATTTGTCCGTGAGGAGAAGCTACAGGGAGTTAGATTTCAGCCATGTCAGGGAAAACGTTATAACTCCTAGCATAGTCTAGGCACATACTCAGTAATCATCTGGTGAGAGTGTTGCCGAGAGAATGCAACGTCATGGGGAGGAGCCAGACCAGGTCATCTTCATCAGGTCCTTTCCAACCTGACAGTCCTTGAAAAGGAAATACAAAAGAAATTCCCAGCTCAGCTATTACTCCCGCTGCCTGATTTCTATAGATTTCTAACTTAGGTCTGTGTGAATGTTCAGCCTCAAATGAAGAAAGCCCGTGCAGCCACCATACACCCTTGTCCATGTTCCTTCCCACATGGCTGCATTGCCTTCCAGTCAGCTCAGCAAATGTTTGCTTTCTGCAAGAGGCTTCCTCCTTCCTCCCTCAATTTAGACATTAGCTTCTTTGATAAATGCCTCGCCAGAGGTCACATCCAGAAACTTGATTAGGGCAGTGGGAGGGAGGGTGTGGGCTATATCATTGGGCCTGCAGCCAGGCAGAGATGTCTGCCTTCCACTGTGTTCACGGATATAAGCCTGCAGGCTCAGCCCTGAAAACCCAACAGAATCCAATAACAAGTACAATTTGGAAGTAACAGTGTACCATTTTTCATTTATGCTTATTATTGTTTGTAGCTATTTTCCTGAAATTGAAGCAGTTTCCAAGGGTAGGTTTCCATGGTTACTGAATAGCCATCCAGAGTGGCTCCCTGCAGATGTTTCTGAAATGGTCCCTTTTTCCTTCCTGGGGTGCCTTGCTGATTTGATGAAATTAGAGCAAGTCAGAGCCAGGCCTGCCCTCTTTTAAAGTTACAAGCAACCAGAGGGGCAGTCGGCTTCTGCGTGGGCAGCCCATCCCGTCTACAGGCTCTGTTCCTGCCAGCATCCCACACATATGCATAAAGAATAGCAAATGTTCAGCCTGGGGAAGATTTGCTAAGCGCTCATTTTCTAAAGACATTTGAACACTTTAGTGAGTCGATCTCAAGTGTTCACAGATCTAAGTGTCTTCCCTGTGCTGGCCTGAGGCTCAGGACATCTGGGATCTAATCCTGGCTCTGGCCCTGATCCACTTGGGGGACTTAGGAAAAGACACATTTAACTTGCATGCTCCTGGTGTCCCCTTTTGTACATAATAATCCTCGTTCCTGGGCCATAGTGTTGTTCTAATCAAATGAGGTGATGCATGTGAAAGTGTAAATATGTGCAGTGCAATCCCAGAGACGGCAAAGCACAGCATGGAGTATCTCACCCCCCTTCAGTCCCTCACCAGTGTCAGACATTGCTAAGCAGTCACAGCACCTTTTTCCCACTGAGCAAAGATGTGATCTTGGAATCTTTTTCAACGTGAAACAACATGATAGGAACTACTAGCTGTCATTCTAGGTCAGTTTCACATTTATGTAAGGGATTCATTGTAAAAATAGTAGAGGAAAGATGTCCATCAGTCATCTGAGCCTTTGTGAACTCTGGAGGTTGGTACAGCCTTAGATAATTACCAAGAGAGGAATGTGGAAGGTATCCCTGCTGTGGAGTCAGGGCAGGCCCCCAGGGAGGACACTCTGGCCTTACCATGCCACTGTGACTTTATGAGGACGTTGGCCTCTGATCAGTACAAGGGGAAGGAGAGCCTTCCCTCCCCTGAGGGCACAGCCACCCACAAGCCTGGGCTGGAGCGAGCCCTCTGAGGTCGTGGGTGAGTCCCACTCCCTGAGGTCTGGAAAGTGGTCGGTGGAGGTATTCTTAGTGTGCTGTGTGGGTGCTGGGTTTGGCCCTGTAGTCCTTGGAGTGGGATTGGCAAGTGCCAAGAGGCTGAAGAAAGCCCACTGGGAGTTGAAGACTTTGCTCTTAGGGGCTGGGGACCCCATGTTTCTAAGAATATAAGTTTTGGCCAAGAGCAGATTCTCTACTCTCCCTGTCCCCCTGTCGGTGCCCTAGATGCAATAAGGGATGTTTCTGTGGTTCTAGCCCTGCTCTGGGTTCAGCTTAGGGTTTTCTACCCAGACCAGGCAGGAAGGAGATGCCACCTTGGCAGTTCTCTGCTAGGCAAGAGAACCAGCGGAATTTGTCCCAAGTTTGTCCATCAGGCTCTGGTCCTGCTGGCTGCCGTCTGTGCCAGGCTCAAGGATGGCCAGGGGCCTCCGGGAAACTGGCAAGTGTAGAAAGAAAAAGAAGTGTGCTCTCTGCAGTGGAAATGAAATCACAGGAGCAGGTCCTGACAGTCTGCCAGTGTGGTCCCAGACTTCTCTCCAGTAGCTGGAAATCCCACTCAGCTGGGGTATTCAGAACTGAATTCACTGGCAGAAAATTCTAGCCAAGAAGGGGAAGACTGAACTTTGCCTGCCTGCCAATGGGGAAACGTGAGAAGGAAGGCAGAGGCCCTCCCAGAATGCGCAGGAGTCGCTGGTTGACACTGCTCTTCAGAGAGGGCTTCAAGGCTTGCCCAGGAAGGGACCCCCGGCAGCCTGCACTCCTCTTGGAGCTTATCTCTGCTCTGCCACCTCCCTGGATCCCCTCTGCACCAGGCACTTCCAAGGGCAGAAGAGGTACCTGAGGAAACCAGGGAGTCCCAACAGTGACTGGTGGAATGGTTGGGTCATTGAGAGCCCTCCCAGGAAGGGGGTTCCTTTGAAGTCACCTGACCTTCATGGTGGGAGGGTCATTGGTTGGTCATGAAGCTGAGATTAGAGCACCTCAGGGAATGACTGGCTTGACTTGGTTTCCCAGTGTAAGGAAGGAAAAAACAATTTTCCCTCTACCTTTCTGAGTTCTTAGCTGGGACCTTGGTAACAGGAGACAGATTAACAAGGAAAAACAAACAGAACTTTATTAACATGTATAAAATGTATTCATGGGAGATACTCAGGGAAAACGAGAAAAGCTTAAAGAAGTAGCTTAGAGGCCCAGCTCAGTGGCTCACGCCTGTAATCCCAGCAGTTTGGGAGGCCGAGGCGGGCGGATCACGAGGTCAGGAGATCGAGACCATCCTGGCTAACACGGTGAAACCCCATCTCTACTAAAAATACAAAAAATTAGCCGGGCGTGGTGGTGGGCGCCTGTAGTCCCAGCTACTCGGGAATCTGAGGCAGGAGAATGGCGTGAACCTGGGAGGCGGAGCTTGCAATGAGCCAAGATCACGCCACTGCACTCCAGCCTGGGTGACAGAGCGAGACTCCGTCTCAAAAAGGAAAAAAATGAGGTAGCTTAGAACTGTGGCTTACATAGCATTTTCAACCAAGAGCATACAATTTAAAAGAAGCAATGAGACAAAGAAAAAGGACTTGGAGTCTCTGGGGATGGCAAATTGTGGGAAGACAAATCAATGGGAAACTAATGGTAGACAAAGGCCAGTTAGCAGCGCTTGTTATGTAGATTCCTTTGTGCCATCTCCAGGCTGATAAGGTTCTAACGTTGTCTTCTGTGATCAACCTTTGTCCTTCCTGGTTGAGAGGGGAGGAGGAACACCCTTATAAATTTATATCCTGCTTTTAGGCAAATAGGGGGAGGGCA
The DNA here is from genome assembly GCF_000001405.40 of Homo sapiens. NCBI lineage: Eukaryota > Metazoa > Chordata > Mammalia > Primates > Hominidae > Homo > Homo sapiens. The sequence continues at coordinate 47,065,616 of NC_000002.12, forward strand.
GAGAGCTTTTCTTTTCTCTGCTTCTTCTCAGTTGCCTTCAGCTCAAAACAGTCCTTACGCCCAAGTGACATATTTGGGGGTGGCATGTTCTGCTATCCTTCAGCAGCCCCTGAAGAAGGTCCTAGCCCTGGCCACAGAGCCACCCACTCTCCCTGCCCTCAGCTTGGCTAAGGAGAGTGTGGACACTTTGGTGCAGCTTGTCTGCACTGCAAGAGACAACTTGACACCCTCAAGCATGAGTGGACAAGCGAGGTGTCTGGGTGGCACTCTGCCCTCTTCTCCCAGGGGCAGACTCTGGAGAGGAGGAGTTTCCTGGTCCCTCCCCTTCCCCAGCCCCTCCCCTCCTCATGCTTTCTTCTTGGTGAGGGAGCTCCAGGCTCTCCAGAACCTCTCCCTGTCAGGCACCCCAGCAGTAGTGGGGAGATGGCTCTGCATGAGCTTTGGCTAATTTGGTAATTCCTGGGATGCAGTTACTGAAGCATTCCTGGCATGTGACCCAGCTTCTTCTCTCCCCAAATGCCCCTGGAAAGACAGGAAGACAGTGTTGTTATCTGCATTCCTCTTGATGACAGAGTGACGATGAATGATTTCCCTTTATTGGTTCCCTCTTGCTGCCAGTGTGGAGCAGGCCGCCTCATTCTTTAAGTGGGTTTGCAGGATCAAGAGCGTGGGTATGGCCTCAGAGCCTCTCATCCCTCACCCCAGGCTGTGGCATGAGGGGGCACATCTTAAATCCCCAGAAGCTCCCTACTGCCACCCCTGGTACCTCCCAAGGCGGGACCTGAGTCACTGAGGGCCAGAGCTCTGCCCATCCAAGCCCAGAGCCTTTTTAGGTGCTCTGGGACTCTAACAAGAAGGCTCTGGTCTCTAAGGCCAAAAGGATGAACTCTCTGGCCACACAGAGCTTCACCCATCACCCCCTCCGCCTGCTGGCTGGCCCTCTCCCCCATCATGGAGGGTTGGACCAGATATGAGAGGTGACAAACCTAAGACAAGCAGCCCTGCGTTATGGGGGCGCTTGAGGGTTACTTTCCTCACTGGGTGTCTCAGTCCATTTTGTGTTGCTGTAACAGAATATCTGAGGCTGGGTAATTTATTATTATATTTTGTTTTTATTTTTTGTAGAGACAAGGTCTCACTATGTTGCCCAGGTTAGTCTTGAACTCCTGGGCTCAAGGAATCCTTCCGCCTCAGCCTCCAAAAGTGCTGGGATTACAGGCATGAGCCACCATGTGTGGCCTTTTTAAAAAATATATTTTTTATAGTAATTTACAATAAGCAGAAACTTTTTATTTGGCTCACAGTTCTGGAGGCTGAGAAGTCAAAGATCGAGGGGCACATCTGGCGAGGGCCTTCTTGCTGCCTCATCCCATGGCGGAAGGTGGAGGGGCAAGAGAGTGTGAGAGAAGGGGAAGCCGAACTCATCCTTTTACCAGGAACCCCCTCCCAAGATAACAGCATCAATCCATTCAGGAGGGCAAAGCCCGCCTGACCTCATCACCTCTTAAAGGTCTCACACTTCAATTCTGCTGATTGAGGCTTAAGTTGCTAACACATGAATTTTGGGGGACACATTCAATCCATAGCACTGGCTCAGTTTTTTCTGCTATCAAATTGGGATGATAATCTAGACTCTCTTGTGACTTCAAGGAGCAGTTTTAGGGCTCAGGTGAACTGAAAGCTGTGAAAAGATAAGTCAACGTTGGGCATTTTTATCACTATATTCACATAGATGACTTGGTGGCACGTGGCCTGAGCCTGAGCCCCACCTGGGACCAGGCTGGTTTCTGTTGGACCATTCTTAGTGTGGGATGAGGGTCTTTGGCCCACATTTCCTTGTGATGCCAGCAGGGTGCTGAGAAGACAGGGAGGGAGTGCCTGGCAGAGACAGGGACCTCCAAGATGCCTTCGAGGTTCTCCTACGGTTGGTTGGCTGGGATGGTTTTTAAAATGAGTATCAGAGCTGGCTCTGGAGGAGGCACCTGCAGGTTGGAGCAGGGCCTTCAAGTTCATCTGACCTGGACCTGAGTCCCACTTTGCCTTCACTCACTGACCAGGTTCTGTAACCTCTCAGAACTTCAGTGTTCTCATCTGTAAAACGAGGCTTGCTATACCAAGCACCTAGGGCTGTTGTTAGAATTAGGTTAAATAATTCCATAAGTTAGTGGCCCAGTCATTGGGATTATTTTTATGTTTTTCACTTTGAAGCATAGCTGCCGGGCCATGTTCAGATGCTCTTGGTTCTCGGGGGGGAGTGGAAACCTGGTGCCAAGCCCCAAAGACTCATTGCAGTAAAGCCACTCCGTCCTCTCTGAGTCCACAGGGGAAGCTGGCCAAGGTCACAGACCCTAGCTGCCTTGTGGACAGGACAAGAGTGCACACAGTGCAAGGCCCAGCCTGACCTTAGCTACGGGGAGGGCAGCCTGCTTTGCGGGGGAGAATGAGCTGAGGGACGAGGGAGATACCTTGGGTAATCTGTGCCCGTTGGGGCAGAGGCTCTGTGGTGGCAGGCTCCGGGGAGGCCCTGACCTACCGCCATGCCGGTTCAGCATCTGTTTTCTGACTTGAAGGAGGAAGGATGTGCCGAGCAGCTGAGGAATGACACTCAGTGCCTGGCATTTTGGAGGTGCCCTGACACTGGGTGGGGCTCAGTGCACAAACAGCAGGGTACCGGGTTCCTGGGGCCAGTGGCCTCTGCTGCTTATGCCCCATGTCTCAGGGTCCAGGACGCACCACCAGCTCTAGGCTTCTTTCTCTGTGTTCATTTCCGGAGCTGTGGCAGGTGGCTTAGAGGGGTCTAGGCCATGAGAGGACATGGAATCTTGCTTCTGCTTGGCAGGAAAGTTCAATAGGAGCGTCTTGGCTCTGTGACCTCTGATGAGATGATTTTATTGTGAGCTTTCTGTTCACCCCTCGCCAGTGCTGCCTGAGGTCACATTCCCTGATGGGAAAGTAGAGGAGACGAAAGTAGAGGGTTCTGCAGGCCCATGGTGTGGGGGGTATGAGGGTGTGTCCCCCAGCACCTGCTCAGTGGGGATCAGAGGCCCCTCCCTACCCACCTTATCCCTGGGCTGGCACAGCCCCACACACACACCCTGAGCCCTGGCTCAGGACTCTGGGAAAACCTTAAGCTGATATAGGCTCCTGAAGTCCATCACCAACCCTGATGAGGAAGCCTGTCATAGATTCAGATCAGAATGATACTTGAGCACTGCTGGCTTAATTAAGCTCCAGAATCAATTTTTTCAAAAAAAAAAAAAAAAAAAAAAAAAGAAAGACTCACCCTACATGGAGAGAGAAGGTAATGCGGCCCTTTCTCCCTGTCCAGCAGCCCCCTCCCCAAACTGTCCTTTACTGTGCCTTTGGCTGTACCTCCTGCCCAGAGAGGGGACCTTCTGTGACTGGGCCCCCTTCTCACTCCCCATCACGGGGACTCACTTCTAGAACCCGGGATCCAGAGGCCTAGCCACAGCCTCTTGACTGACCTGGAGGGCTGGGCCAGGCAGTGCTCCAGGATGGGTAGAGGCCCCTACAGACCTAGAACCTGATACCAGCCCAGGAAGGGGAGGAGAAAAGGCCCAGCCACTGGCCAGAGGAGACGGCTGGCAAGGAAGTCAATTTCTTGGAGGTTCGTCAGGCTGCAGAGTCCCCCAGGATGTGACCCATCGGGCCCCTGGCCGCTGGTCCCTGCCCCTCTGAAAACAGACAACCCTTAGCCCCAGCTGAAGAGGCCTACTGGTGTTCTTCTACATCTCACTTGTAAAGGACCCCAGAAGAGAAAGGGACAGGTACTCACTACCCCAGGAGACCCCCACCTAGGTTGGGCTCCTTGTGAGTCTGGGCTCTTCTCAGCAGGAGCCTCTTCTTTTGAGGCCCAGGGGGCTCTGGGGTGAACACATCCCACCCCAGCACTGGGTGGGGCTGGAAGGGTTTGCTCCCCTCCCCACATCAGGGAAGTAGGACCCTGTGGCTTTGGAGCTGCCCTGGCTCCAGGAGGCCTGTGGTGATGGGAGTGGGAGGTTTTCAGCCTGGAGAGGCGCCTCCCTCCCTCCCGTTCCAGGTCTGGTTGGACAGGTTGAGGCTGACACACCTGAGAGAATCCGGAATGCCAGAGAGCCTGGAGCTGGGCTGGAATGCCAGCCTCCCTGGAAGGGTGTGTCTATGTTCCAGGGTGGCGTTAGGGAGGGCCCTTTCTGTAGAGCAGGCTCCTCCCAGCAGCCCTGGTGTCCCCAAACGCAGGCTCCAGGGACCAGAAGGCTCCTGCAGCTTCCAGCTGATTCCTGGCTTCCCAGCTGGAAAGGCTGTTACAGAATCCCAGGAATGTGCCCTGAGCTCAGAAAGAAAATTCCCAAAATAACTTCTATAAATACTTGAGGGCAGGGGTGGGGAGGGAGGGCTCAGCCTGGCCCACAGCTGGCCTAGCGCCAAGGCTGCTTCCCAGGGCAGGCCCCCCTCAAAGGAAGAAGAAGCATGCACACCCCTAGACCTTTGTGCTGCTCTGCCCTTGGAGGGCATCATCAGGCACTGAACTTATGGGCTGGGATGGTGTGCAGTGGAATTCTGAAAAGGCAAGGCCCTTTTCCCCTCATCCCCTCCCAGGCCACAGCCCCTGGCCACACACTGTGCCTCTGCAGATGACCTGGGTCCCACAGGGAGGCTCCCCACTGAGTGTGAGCCCAGACCCTAGCAAGACCTTAGGCCCCTTAGGTTCTGCACCTGCGTGGCCGTAAGAGGCAGGGCTTGCCAAGCTCCACGTGGGCAGCATCCCTGATCGGAGGTCCACATCTGTGTGTGTGTGGGTGTCTCTGGGTTCCCTGGCTCTGCATTTGGGCTACATCCTGAGCTCTGAGCCTTGTTGAGCTGCTGTCCTTTGGGGAATAACAAAGCAGGCAGGAGGCTGGGGCGCTGTCCCTCTCAGCCTGGGGAGGGGCAGGACAGGGATCACATCCATGAGCCCCACAGTAACTAAGCGTGACCTTGAGGCGGTTGTGTGGTCAGGAGGAGCTCCGCCCTCAGGGAAGGCTTCCTGGGAGAGCAGAGTCTCGAGCACTTGAGATGTGGCCACACATCCCCACTCCCTGAGATCCAGGAAGGGAGAGAAGGAGGGTCCTGAGGTGGGAATTTCTGGGGACTTCCCCCAGAGCCCTGCACCTCCCTGGAATCATGTCTGTGGCTATAACCAGCCCAAAGCGCCCCCTTGGAGGTACGATGTCTGATCACCATAAACAACTTGGACATCACTTTCGAATCCCTGTGGGCTGGCAGCACAGCCATGGCATCTCCCAAGGGACGGTCAAAAACTGGAAGCCTCTCAGCAGATCTGGTCTCCTCTCTCAGCGTGGGGCACATCCTCACCAGGATGAGGGATGGGGGATTCACTTGGGACATTTGGATGAAATTGAGATGTCAGTTCTTGTTCCCACCATCTCCCAGGAGGCCTGTTCTCTGGGAGGGTCGGGGTGCCAGGAGGATTGTCTGCAGGTCCTAGGTGCAGCGCTGGGCTCAGGGCAGAGTAGGTGAGACCTCGCATCTTCCTGGGGCTGTGTCTTGCCCAGTTGTCAGGCAGCAAACAGCGCTGAGTTGCTACCAAACATGAACTCGGCTGGTGTCAGGGGCAGGTGGCAGAAGATCCTGTTACAGGCCCTGGGCCTCTGGGCCCCAGCCTGACCCCAGCCTGGTGTCTCCTTTCAGGTTCTAAGGTCAACATCCCAGGGTGGGGGGACATGAGCCAACCCACCCTAGCCTACAGTCCTCCCCCACAGAGAGCCATGCCCTCTCCCAGCTTCTAGAGAGATCAGTCACTCCACCCGCTCCCCACCTGGAAGGACCCTCTGCTCATCTTGAAGGCGCTGCTGTTTGCTGTCTGCCCCCGCGGTGATTTTTCAAGTTGATCATTGCAGAATCCTCACAAGAGCCCCGCGAGGAAGGACTGTTTCATTGCTTTGGTTTACAGATGAGGAAACCACAGCTCAGAGAAAGTTGGCCATTTGCCCGTGGTCACAGCACTTGTCAGTGGCAGAGCTGGGATTCCAACCTGGCCAGGGCTTCCGGCCAGCAAGCCCTGAGCTTTTTCCTCCCTACAGACACACACAGGAAGTTACTGCAAACCTCCGAAACTGAGAATACACACACACACACCAGCCTGCAGACACATCTGGCCCCTTCCCAAACACCCACATACTTCTTGATATCAGGGGTTTTCAGACTTGTTTTTAGCAGTTGAGCCCATTTTTCAAACAGAATCCCATGTGGAAGCTCAATATAGAAAACTTAACGTGTGGAAGCCACTCCGGCCCTGGCCCTCTCTGGGAGGCCTTGCCGGCCTTTCCCTTCTGTCCTGTGTGGCTCCCTCCTGGGCAGAACTCACAGGGCTCAAACCCTCCATTTTTGGTGCTTAATTTTGTGTCTGGCGGCCCGTCGGCTGGCCTCCTTCCCTCCTCCCTGTGGGCCGTGTTCCATTGTGAGCTGCTGGGGTCTGGCCCTTGGGTCTGGTGTGGGTGGAACAGCTAGGCCTGGTGCCCTGCTGGCCAGCCTGGCCACTACCCTTGGTCCCAGGCAGCCCTGAGTCAGCACCGCTCCCATCTGGCGAGAGCGTAAGACCCTGCCTGAGGCTCCACCCCGCCTGCAGCCACCCTGTCCTCCCCTGGCCTCTGCACGCCTCATCCGTGTGTGTGGTTCCTTGCTACGGCTTTGCCCAGGGCTGACAGAGGCGCTGTGAGGACAGCCTCTTCCTCCCCCGCCCCCTGGCCGCAAGATCTCCAGCCAGCGCCTCTGGAGAGGGAGAGGCCTTTCCTAGGGCTTCCTGAGCGCCATCTTTCACTCCCACCGAACTGGTTGTGTTCCAAGCTCTCCGAGGACTTGATGAAACCAGGCATGCGCATCTTCCCCAGCGCGTCTCCATAGCAACAGAGGGCCTAACTCTGGGGAGCTCGCTGAGGAGGAAAATGTTCCAGCTAAAAATGTACATGGCCGTCAGTGGGCGGGCACCGGAGAGGGGGCTCCAGGCACATAGAAGGCAGCTCCCCACCCCCACTGCGGCCCCCGCCTGTCCAGGAAGTCGGTGGTGGGCTTTACCTCCCGTCTTGGAACAAGAGAAGGGCCCCCCGTGCTGTCATCTCATGCCACCCTCAGGGCTGAAACAGGGATCAGTGGGACGGCATGAAGCAACCTTTGTGGGACCTGAGGCTGAAAGGGGGCCCTGCCCTCTCCCTCCACTCACTACCCTGTCCACCCTACCCACTTCCCAGTGTGGGTAGAAGAGGATGTAGAGGGGACAAGGTGCCAGTTTCACTTCCCAGCCTCTTCTTATGACTATTCCTGTTAGTTCCTCTATCTCTTTGGTAACAGGGTTGTTTGAGCCAAACAGCAGGGCCAAGCTTCCCTGTGCGTGACCCAGACCCCCCAGGCCTTTCATCTTTCAGCCAATCCAGCCCGTTCACCCAGCACCCCATCCCCCGCCATCTGACTCTCCTCCCATGACCCTCTCCTGAGGAGCCACCGCACACGCACACGTTTGAGCTTTTCCTCCCTGGTGGCAGTGGTGAAGGCCTGTAATGCGTCCTCCTCCGTCTCTCTGCGTCCCTGGAGTGAAGGGCAGCTCTGGGCAGCAGGAAGGACTGAGACGCATGGCCCCACTGAGTGAGAACACACTCCTGCCAGACACTTCTCAGAGCTTTACACCTCCTGACTCCTTTCAACCTCACCGCGCTCTCGAGAGAGATGCTGTGATTTTTCCCATTTACAGATGAGGAAACTGAGGGCCAGAGAGCTGGGATTTGCCTAGGATCCCCCAAACAGTGTGACACAGCCAGGTCTGTTGACTTGAAAGCCAGTTCCTCGGGACCGGCAGGAACAGAGCTCCTGCAGTGGGTTTCCCAGGAGGCTGGGGTTAAAGCAGGGCTTGGGCAGGGCCAGGTAGGATTTGTATGGGGAAAGGCACAGTCACTTAACAGTGCCCAAGCCAGAGACGCGGGAATCCTCTCGAGCTGATGGCTGCTGCCACCCGTGCACCTGTGCTTGGCCCAGTTGCCAAGATGCCTGTGCCATGGGACACCCCTACTCACCCTGCCCTGTGCTTCGTCCACAGGGTCTGATGCTGAGTCGGCTGGGCCACAAGAGCTTGGCCCAGAAGGTGCTTCGTGATGCCGTGGAGAGGCAGAGTACGTGCCACGAGGCGTGGCAGGGCCTGGGCGAGGTGCTGCAGGCCCAGGGCCAGAACGAGGCTGCCGTTGACTGCTTCCTCACCGCCCTTGAGCTGGAGGCCAGCAGCCCTGTACTGCCCTTCTCCATCATCCCCAGAGAGCTCTGACGACGCTGCAGCCGCAGGGAGGGAGGGGCTGGCCAGAGGGAGAGGCAGCAGGGAACGTGGGTCAGGGTGGGGCAACAGTGGCATCAGGTGCGGGGCCTCAGGGAAATACATCTTTAGTGAACGCCTCTGCAGCTGCAGCCCTCGTTCTCTTGGCTGGGCCAAGAGGGCCTTCCTGGATTTCTTTGTTGGTGCCTTGGGAAACAGTCTGACTTGAACCCTAAGTGCCTTTGGAGAGTTTTGTGGTGACCAGACTTGCTCCCCAAGAGCTGGGCAGCGGGGAGCCTCACAGCTGTCCTTCACCCTCACCCATGCCTCTGGCTTGGAGTCTGGGTGGGGGGTTCTCACTCCCCACTCTCAGCACAGTACAGACTTCTGGATCTCTCTCAGGTCTTGCCCAGGGCGGTCACAATGTGAAGAAACTGCGGGCAAGTGGGAAGACTATGAGATTTCTGGGTTCCCTTCTCAGACTTGGAGTTAGTAGATGATTCCTGCATTGCCCCTGCTTGCCCTCTGAGACCAGCTGGGCCCCACCTTGCTCTTTCCCCCTGCTACCAAGTGCCTTTGGGGTCTGACCAGGGGTACTGAGCACCGGCCCTAACACTTCCATCTCCACCCACCCCATCTCCCTGGCGATGTGCTCCAGCCCAAGCAGCCTCCGTAGGCTTTAGATCCTGTGGTTGCTAGATCCAGTCCTTTCTAATACCCTGAGTCAACACATTACTCCTGCAGGTCTTAGGCTACAATGCAGGTCCCTTGAGGGCCACCAACATGGAGGTAGGCAGTTTCTAGGACTGTCCCCAGTACATCTCACCACCCACAGCCCTTTTTTTGCCTTGATTCGAGCCTCACCCTGGCCTTTTGGCTTCCCCTGCCTGAGAGAGACCTGAGGAGGGGACAGAGCCCAGCCCCTCTCCTGTGGCTGAGCAGGCCTCTGTGTCCATGACACCTGTCTTCCGGGCCTGGGGGCTGTGGGTGTATGTCCTCCCTACTGGCTTCCCCGGCCCCTGCTGCATGATGCTCTTGGAACTCTTCTCCAAGGAGTCAGTCCCCCAGGCCTATCAGGGGATCCTTTTGTATCTGCACTTTGGGTTTTAGTTTCAAAGCTCCATCAGGTACAGCTTGCATTTCAGGATGTGTGGAAAGCTCGGGTGAGGGCTGCCCTGGTTCATCATAGCTCCACCTTCCTCGGAAGGAGTGGGCTGTTGGAGACCCCCCATCCATGGCACACTAGCTCAGCACTGCATTTCCCGAGATGATTCCCAAGACAGCTGGTGCCTCCTGGCTTTCCTGTGCCAGGCCAAGGGGCACCACAGAGGACCCTGGATCCTTTGCCTCTTCTTGGTTGAAGGATCTCTATGTATGTGTGTATATAAATATAGTTTTTTATCTATATATATAAAATAGAGATCTATTTTTTTTCTGGAATTCTGTTAGAAAAGTAAAGAAAAAGCAAATGCTGTTGGTTTATCTCAGGGTGCCCAAAGTGGTTATAGTCAATTTTTGGTACTAGGAAAGGCACCCAATGCATTTCCTGACTTTTAAGCATTTCCTTGTTGGAAGCAGCAGAGGGCCAGGCCAAGTTGCTGACAGTGACTTTGCAGGTTGAATAAAGAAACCCTTGGAGGGGAAGCAGGCTTGTCTGAAGCAGCATGTATATTCACTGGGCATGTAGCTCCCACACCAGCCTTGAGCCAGGCCCTGGACAGGAGGGGCTGTTGCAGGATGAGGGAGGCCAGAGAAGGCATCGAAGCCAAGACCTGGGCCCACCTGGGGAGGGATGTGGGAAAGGAAGGATGGGAGGGAGGACCCTCTGGGAAAATGTGGATTTGAGCTGGTGAGAGTGTTGCTAAGGCTGGGCTAAAGCCTGGAGAGGGTAGGAGGAGGCAAGAGGGGTCCAGGCAGGGCTGATCCTGGCCTCTGACCTGTCCAGGGCGACCCCTGAAGCCCCTGCTGCCTCTGGGCATTGCTGGGAGAGGCCAAGGCAGGACTCACGTCTGAACAGAGATCCCCTCGGGCATTGCTGATGGGCCACCTTCAGCTGCAGGGAAGAAGCCTAGGAGAGGAGGCATGGGAGGGACCTGGGCCTTGTTCAGATTGGCCACCTCTGCTGAGAAGTCCATACCAGTACACCCCTAATAAGTTATGCCACATACCAACGTACTGTGGATATTATAACCTGCATTAAAACAACTCTAAAGAACGCTGCTCATTTACACAGAAGCTCTGTTTCTTCCTGTACCCCAGGGGGTCACCATAGCACCCCCAAGGCTGCAGCCACCTCATTTTGAAGACAGCTGCCCTGAGGCTTCCCCTCAAACCCAGGGCTGTTCTTGGCCGTCTGGACTCTTCCCTCTTGCCGCGCCTCCCGGCGGCCTGGCCTCCCCCAGTGCCCACCCTCCGCGCCACGCTCAGCCAGACATTGCTGTCCCCATAAGGAAGGGCTTTGCTTGCAGCCTTTGGGTGCCCAGCTTCTCTTGCTGTGGCCTTATTTTAAGGTAACACATTTACAAGCTTGAGTGATTGAACACTTGGTATCAAACTTCTTGTCATGTACCCTAACCCCCAGCTGATGGCCTCCTTGGGCGAGAAGTACAGGCCACCTTAGGTGGCAGGGGGTGTCTGCCAGCCTGGGGGAGAGGCTTAGAAACTCATCCTGCCGGGAGGGGAATGGAGGGAATGTGGAAGGAGGGAAGGCTCTGCCTTCCTCTTCTGACGGGAACAGGGTTTCCCAAGCTGACCTTAAGTTGGTCGAATGTTGGAGAGTCACGCAGCGGTGGAGACCTGCTCAGGGCCCCAGGCACTGCCTTACCCCATTTGCCCATCTGCAGGCCCTGTGCTCACAAAGAAACCCTCACTGGAGAGTGAGGCACCTGGCTCCTGTGTCTAAACACACCATGCTGGGACCAGGGTTAGAGTCTGGGGACAGACCTCAGACTGCCTCTCACCCCCTCAGACTTCCACCCACGTGCCACTTTCCAGGACACAGCTCCCACTTGTGCACTTACATATGAATAGTGTTTCCTGCAGGCACAAATATGAATGGCATTTCAGCCGCCACCACCCAGACTCCTTTCTGGTACCAAAGTGCTCATTGTTGCACTCCTATCCCCCACCCAGCACTCAGATGTCGTCACTGTGCAAATATTTCTTGGGCTTGGGAAGCCTCTGACTAACCAAACCTCCCCATCCGCCTAGACTTTGATGATGACCCACGGGCAGGGAGCCTCATGCCTAAGTGGCCTGTGAAACTGACCCATGAGGTACTGATCCAAAGGATCCTGAGAGGTCAGGGAGTTCCTGACTCGAAAGGATCCCCCCACCACCCGTCCCCTGCCAGAAACTTCTTAGAATTTTCATCAAGCTCTTTCAGTTGCAAAGAACAGAGACACCCTGAAGGTAACTCAAAAGATAAGAGGGAGCTCACTGGAGCCCTAGGGCAGGAAATGGAGTGCCCAGGCCTGGGGCCAAAGCAGCCACACACCGTGAAGGAGACAGCAGGGTGACACTGCAGTCACCAGTCTGAGCTTGAAGGTGCAGCTCTACCACTACGAGCTGTGTGGCCTTGAGCAAGTTTCTTAATCTCTCTTCAGCCGTTTCTTCATCTGTACAATAAGAATGGTGGTATAGTGCCTGCTCTGTGGATTATGATTAAGTGATCCTAGAACAGTGCCTGGCCCATAGTAATTGCTCAATACACATCAGCAATTATCACTCAATACACGTGAGCAATTATCTTCTCTGCCTTTGCTGGCTCCACCCTCCTCTTCCCGCTACTGACTTCACGGAGAGGTGCTGCTCCCCTAGAACCATATTCAACACTGCCCTGGCCCTCCAGCCCCACTCCTGACTGACCTACCACCTACAGCACTTTGGCCACTCCCCTCCTAATGGCTAAATCTTGAACGAGAGGATCTGATTGGTCCCACTCATATTTCCATGGGTCACTAGGCAGCCCGCAGACTGATTTTCCTTGGATAGGTGCCTTCTCTTGATCCAATCAGCTATGACCAGGAGCCATGGGCCTCAGGACACATACGGCTGCTTTTGCAGCTGGAGTGCTAAGTGGGCAATGCCCTGGGCCCTTCTGGTCCCCTGCCTGTGTCAGCCCATCACGCCATGCCATGTCCTTTCTGGGCAATGGGTACAATGCAGGTCCCTCTAGAGAGGGCAGACAACAGAACACAGCCCCTTAAACACCCTCCTTTCTCCTTCGCATCATCATCACCTTAGGGTCCATCCATGGAGGGGCTCCTGTCCTGCTTCTGGTCTTGGAATGAAGATGACAATGGGAATAGTAACATGCCTCCTGCACTGTACTGCTAATACGATGCTTCACTTACCAGTGAACTCTCTTCTAATCACTCCTTTGATTGGGAACCTCTCCAATCGACAACCTTGGGAGGTGGGTTTTGTCCCCAAGAAAGGTGAAGAGATCACGGGGCCTCCACTCTCAGTGACTTGGTACAGGGCAGGGCCTGGGAGCACAGGGCCTTGCCCTTGGAAGACACTGTGTAGTGCCGCCTCACCCATTCTGGGCAGAGGCAGGAGCCTCCCCAAATCGCCGGAGCAGAAGGACCCCTCTGGGATCCATGGAAATTCGCATCACCAGGAGTCCTCTACGGGAGTGCCCAGGAGAGGAAGATACATGGGTCCAGGGGCCTCTTGGGTGCCCGGAACCCCCACTTGCCAGCCCCGCCCCACCACCAGCTTCGCCCCACTGGCTGCAGAGGAATGACAGTGCTCTGCGATGCCTACTACCCCAGCTCCTCTGCAGTGGGAGTAGAGGACCCTTAAGCAGCGGTCACACAAGAGGCTGGACATTGCCCCAAATAGGGTGTTCAGAAGATGCCCGAAAGCATGGGCAGCCATGGGAACTGCGTTGGGTCGTGGGGCCCCACGATCCTAACCACTCGCTGATGGCATCGTGGCTGGGTTCCAGAACCAGTATGTCCCCCATGGGCTGGCCCACAGCCTCAGAGATGCTGACACCCCCACATAGGGGCCCCCAACACAGGTGGGGGCTGTCATTGTTCTCTTGTTCTTGTTCCCGCTCACCCTCAGTCTCTCACTCTCTTAACTGTCTCTGGAATTTGGCAAGAAGTCCTTGTGGACTTCTTTAAAAACACGTATCATTGTTTCTTGAACCATTTGAGAACAGGTTGCATAAATGGTGCCCTGTTCCCCTTAATACTTCAGTGTGTGTTTACCAAGAACAAAGGTCATCCCTGTATCTAACCACAGCAGAGTTAACAAATAGGACATTCAACACTGCCACTGTGCTCTTATCTAATCCACCACCCCTATTTCAGGTTAGGCACTAGTTTTCCTTAGAGTGTTCTTCTCCAGCTCAGGGTCACACCCTCCATTTTACAGCCAGCTCCTTCTGCTCCTCTAATCTGGAAGAGCTCCTCCTCCTCTCCCTTTGCCTTTTGTGATGCTGACATTGCCGAAGGCTGCAGTGGCCTGGCCTCTGCAGTGTGACAGTGAGGTAGGCAGAGGGAAGCGGGGGCGGGGGGGCAGCAGGGGGGGCCAGGGGGAGCAGAGGCTAGAAAGCAGCTGAAGCCAAGGGGCTGAGAGAATGGAGAATCATTGATTGGTAGGAGCTAGAAGATAAAAGCAAAACTGAAGGGCAGGTGAATCTCTGTGCAGGCAGAGCTCTGGAAACAAAAGAAATGGCCACCTACTTGCAAGGTGCATAGAGATGATGGAAACACTGGAGCTCCATTCCGTCCTGAATGAGCTTTCCAACTCCTGCGGCCTAACTGCGGGCAAGAGTCCCATCTGCCTCCTCTCCTTATACGGTGGCCCCCATGAAGACTGGAGGGACCCTGAGTGTGAGTGTGTCTGTTCCTGGCAGCCCTGCACATCCCCAGAGAGAGGCTCACTCTGCTTCCCTGCACCATCAGACAAGCGGAAGCGGGACATGTTGCAGAACTTCACCGATTGCTTTTGTCTGTGGCACCCACACCCACTCAGAGAGCACATGTGCCAAGCTGGGAATGGGGCAGGCATGGGAGACTTCCTGAAGAGCAGCAGCTCTGACCCCTGAGGTGGGGCCCATCCCCACGTGAAGGTCAGGAGCACAGACGGTCTCCCCAAGGGTGCACACAGCTGAGCAGTCTCCTGCCACCCTGACTGTGATCTCTCATTTCAGCCTGGGCCCAGAAGGAAGAGGCCATTGCAAGCTTCCTCTCTCTTGTCTGTGCCAGGCCTGAGCCATCTCAGGAGCACACAGCTCACTCCCCAGCCCCCACGCAAGGGCCAGGGCTCAGTGGCTGTAGTGGTGGCATCCTGCCCAGCACACACACTCCCCCCCTAAGAACACCCACGCCAAGGGTACAGGGCCTGGTGCAAGCTGGGCTGAGCCCACAGAGGCCCCTCCTGTCCTGGGGGAGCTAGGAGAAGGGCTGGGTGCTCTCTCCCATGCAGAGAACTTTCTGAGCTGGGAGCCCCACCCTTCTAGGTGCTTGTCTTCTTTCCTTTCTCTTCTTTCTTCCTTCCTTCCTTCCTTCCTTCACTTGTTTCTCTCCCTTTCCTTTCCTTCCCTTTCCTTTCTTCTCTCTCCCTCTCTTTCTTTCTTTCTTCTTTTTTTTTTTTTTGGAGACAGAGTCTCGCCCTGTCTCCCAGGCTGGAGTGCAATGGCGTGATCTCAGCTCATTGCAACCTCTACCTCCTGGGTTCAAGTGATTCTCCTGCCTCTGCCTCCCGAGTAGCTGGGAGCCACCCTCCACCATGCCTGGCTAATTTTTTGTATTTTTAGTAGAGACAGGATTTCACTATTTTGGCCAGGCTAGTCTCGAACTCCCGACCTCAAGTGATCCGCCGGCCTCAGCCTCCCAAAGTGTTGGGATTACAGGCATGAGCCACTGCACCCAGCCTTTCCTCTTTTCTTTTCCAGTCCATCAGGCCTCCTGTGGCCTCAAAGAGCCATGCCTCCCATGCCCACCCCACACCCTGCAAGACGCCTTTCCAGAATGCCCACTCCTTGCTTGTGCCTTGTCCTTTAAGATCCTTCCCACGCCTTCTAGAAGTCCTCTGCCAACTGCCTCCCACCTTACGGGGCCCTTATGCTTTGGCAGAACACCCAGAGGCCAGCACAGCCCTGTGGGTTCTGCTTCTTGGGTTGGACCCCCACATTCCACATACCCGGGCTCAGCCACACGTGTGGGTGCCCCCATGAATGGAACGCCAAGCTGGGTCCCAGGAGGCGCCCCTGTGGCTGGGAGGCTTGAGGTACAAATGTGGAGTGAGGCCGCCATGTCCCCACCCACAGGCTGACCTTGGCCTTCTCTCTCTGCCCAGATGGACTTGCCCAAGCCATGCACCATCCCAGCTCTGTACCCTGGTGGTGTCTGGGAGGGGACTTTACACAGAAGCACAGCCCTCCTGAGCCTATTGTGGCTGTTCAAGGGCCTGTAATTGGTCCCAAAGTCATTATATTTTCTTAATAAAGTTCTACATATGTTTAATCCTATTCTATAAATTACTTTATAAATATGCATCTTTACATTAGGATCTTCTGGGACACACGGGCCATTGAACACAATTTTCAGAACTTTCATATTCATGTCTATGAAGATATTTCAGATAAAGCACTTTAAAAAGTCTTGAATAATGTGGCCACCAGAGATTTTATCTGGAGCCATAAGTACCATTTATAAAACAGGAGAGTTCTTCCCATCGCTGACCCCATTCTCCATAATGCAACTTTTAACTAGATTGCTTTTTAAGTGATCTACAAAGAGCGTGTTGTAACATCTAACATGAGCAACCATAAAATCAAACCTCTGGGGATGATTTATAAATCAGTTCTAAATTTCTTTACTACTTTTTTTTTTTTAATTATTTCATCAGATGATTTCCATCAGCATCCAACACCAGCAATGACTGAGGTTATTCAGGCCAAGAGATCTTCCCTAAATAGTATTTTGTGACTCAAAATAATCCAAAGAGCCTCCCCACACTTCAAGGTGACTTTCTACAAGGCTTCTATTTCCTGATAGATCATTGTGAGGGATCCAGAGAAAGGTTAGAAAGAGAAAGGTTAGAAAGGTAGTGTGGTAGGCTGAAATGTCCCCCCAAAAGTGTCCATGTTCTAACCCCCAGAACCTGTGAATATGTTACCTTACAGGGTAAAAGGGATTTGAAAATGTGATTGAATTACGAATCTTGAGATGAGGCCAGGCGAGGTGGCTCACGCCTGTAATCCCAGCACTTTGGAAGGCCAAGGCGGGTGGATCACTTGAGGTCAGGAGTTTGAGACCAGCCTGGCCAACATGGTGAAAACCCATCTCTAGTAAAAATACAAAAAATCAGCCAGGCGTGGTGGTGCCCACCTGTAATCCCAGCTACTTGGGAGGCTGAGGCAGGAGAATCACTTGAACCTGGGAGGTAGAGGTCTCAGTGAGCTGAAATCGCGCCACTGCACTCCAGCCTGGGTGACAAGAGTGAGACTCCATCTCAAAAATAAATAAATAAATAAATAAATAAATAAGAATCTTGAGATGAGGAGGTTATCCTGGATTATCCAGTGGGCCCAATATAACTACAACAGTCCTTATATAAGGCAGGCAGGAGGGTCAGAGTCAACAGGGGGAGATGTGATGACGGAAATGAGAGTGGAGCGATCGGAGGAAGGGCTGCAAGGAAAGAAATGCAAGTGGTCTCGAGAAGCAGAAGACAAGGAAGCCAACTCTCAGAGCTTCCAGAAGGAACCAGCCCTGTCAAAATCCTCACTTTGGCCAAATAAGAATGATTTTGGATTTCTGACCTCTAGACCTGTAAGGTAATAAAATTGTGTTGTTTTGAGCAACAAAGTCTGTGGTCATTTGTTACAGCAGCCACAAGAAATTCACACAGAGGGTTGAGTGAATGAGCTACCCCAGCACAGATGGGCACAAGGGCTCAGGGAGGCCTTTGTCAACCTGCGCTTTGGGGTATTCTGCAAGTCCAGCTCCCATGCCCAGCCCAGGAGGGGCTGAGGATTAGAAGCCTGAATAGGCGTGATCCTGCCTGGTATATTTCCAAGTGTCCACTCTGACGCTGTTCAATCGGGAAAGCTCCAGCAACTTCCCTCCTCCTTGATGGCGCTCAGTGACCATGCAGGGCCTTGGAGCCCTGGAACTTCAGAGCAGGGAAGAGGGGGGCAGCGGCCAGCCTTCATCAAGCCCTGCACTCCACCTGTGACCAGCACAGCTCCCAGCACATTGCCTTGCTGTCCCCCACGGCCTCCTCCCAGGCTGCTAGGCTGCAACGGGGTGAGGTGAATAGAATGCTTGTCAGTACCTGCCTCTGCCCCCACTCAGCCCACTCTGGTGACCAAAGACGCAGTGTCATAGCCTGAGTTAACTTCCTGCAGTCACCCTGTCTGCCTACAGTTTTCAGGAACTAAAGCACACTCCCACCAAAGCAGTCACGGTGCTAGCTTGCTCCCATGCTAGTTAGACCCCTTGGAGCCCCTACAACTGTCTAGAAGGATGGCACCTTTTTCTGGGCTCAAATATGGGCAAGGCTGTTGTTAACAAGACAATTGAGGGGTATGTACTGGGAGGCCTTCCCCTACAAGTCCATCCCCAGGAGCCCCTTCTCTTGCCACTCCGTCCTCCCTCCTCCCATCACCCATCTCCTGCTCCTTCCTTCCTCATGCCCCCACCACCTCCCAGCCTCCCATGGTTCCAGCCTTGGCCCCTCCTGCTCTCCAGAGTTGCCTTTTCTCTGAGGAGGCTGCAAATAAGCCCAGCCAGGGTCTGGGGCTTGGGCACTGGCCCCCAAAGCCCACCCAGCCCTGCTAAGAGGAGGGTGGGACGGGCAGGCCATGAGGCCCTGAATCCAGAGCCCAACCCCTTCCCTTTGAGCCTGGCAGGTTCTATGCGCCTGCAGCCCTGCCCTTGGCCAAAACCAAGGGGTCTGTAGGGACCCCAGCCAAGAATCAGACCAGCAAAAGCACATGGGTTCAGGCCCTTGCTTGTCCTTCTACCCAGAACAACTGTCACCTGGTCATGGTCAGGCACTAGCTTTCCCCAGAAAATCATGTAGGAGTGCAGTTGGCCGGCACCCCAGGGATCAGGAAGCTGAGATCAGCGAGAAGGAGGAGGGTCAGGGGCAAGGAACCCTATCTGGGCAAAAGCCCAGAGCAGGAAGAAGCATCTGCTGGGGGAAACGGAAGCAGCCCAGATGGCCCTGCAGAATCTTCTCCATGGGTTCCACCTCCAGGGGAAGTCTCTGCAGGCCCCCACCCTCTTCCTGCAAGCTGGTATAAACGCTTTCCCCTTATGATTCCGACAGGGTCCTCATTCTCTCCTGGGATGCCAGGGAGCTGCCCTCCACCCCAGTTACACGCACCTCACACGGGCCCCCGCAGCCGTGCCTGCAGCAAAGGTCTGGGCCCTTCTGACCACAGCTCGTGGCCCAGGCGCAGACCCCTGACCCAAGCTGGCCAACTGGATTCTCTCTCCTAGGAATTGGAGACTTGAACCAAGGAGGTGCCGGCTCTATTCTTTTAGAATGTTGACTCAGAAAGTGATATGAGGAGAAGCTGAGGTCGCCGCATTTGATCCTCTACATATAAAGAGGCAGTGAAAGTCAGCCTCCAGAGGGAGAAAAAAGCAGGCCTGAGAGAGGCGGAGGGGAGACCCTGAGGCCTGAGAGAGAGGAGGAAGGTAGACCAAGAGGCCTGAGAGAGGCGGAGGGCAGACCATGAGGCCTGAGAGAGGCGGAGGGCAGACCATGAGGCCTGAGAGAGGCAGAGGGGAGACCATGAGGCCTGAGAGAGGCGGAGGGCAGACCATGAGGCCTGAGAGAGGCAGAGGGGAGACCATGAGGCCTGAGAGGGTGAGAGAGTGAGAGCAAGAACACATACACACACACACACACACACACACACACACAGAGAGAGAGAGACAGAGAGAGAGAGAGACCTGAGAGAGGCAGAGGGGAGACCATGAGGCCTGAGAGACAGGAGGGAGACCATGAGGCCTGAGAGAGGCAGAGGGGAGACCATGAGGCCTGAGAGAGGCAGAGGGGAGACCATGAGGCCTGAGAGAGAGGAGGGAGACCATGAGGCCTGAGAGAGTGAGAGCAAGACACACACACACACACACACAGACACAGAGTGAGAGAGAGAGAGAGAGAGAGAGAGAGAGAGAGAGATGGTTCTTGCCAGCCCCTGGTTTACACTTTTGTCGATGAGATGCCTCTAAATCCTTACAATCTGACCCCCTTCTTCCCCTTGCTAGTTTGAGGGGTTTCTCTAACCTTTCTATCAATGAGCCTTGGCTAAGATACACGTGGCCATCTCCCGCCTCTATCTCATTCTAGAACAGCATCTCAGTGCCAGGTGCTGCCTGAGATGTTGCTTCCTAGAGAAAACACCCTCCATCAGAATGTCCAGCCATTACTTTCGATCATGCAGGGGACTTTAGCCCACTTGGAGAATAAAATTGGAAACTATCTTCCCTGCAGCCATCTTCTCATCAAAGGGGGACAGGAGACACTATCCTGAGACATCAGTCTGATCTTCCAAGTGTCTGTTTTCTGCTCCAAAGGAATGTAATTGTAGGGCGTTTATTCCACAAATGTGAATACATTCCAGGAGATGATGGCCTTCCCTTTCGCCCCTCAACAACCATTTTACAAGGGCCTGTAAGTCTAGGGCTTTGTTGCAGCCAAAAAGAGACATTCCCTTTGTTTGGAGCCCAATTCACAGGGCAGTTGTGGGAGGAGGGTAATGTGTGTGTGGGAGGAAGAGCGGGATTCTCGGGGGAACCAAAGCGGGGACCTAGAGAAGCCAGCATCATAGCAGTTAATGGGGAGGGGCTGGGCTATTTACTAAAATATAACAAAATGTAAGCATTTTATTAGCTCTTCATTTTATTAGCTTTTTAAAAAGACCCTTTGCAATGATTTATTAACCACTCTGGAATCTCCCTAGCCTTTGCTGAGACACCACTGTCATGCATAGGATCTGCCTAGCTAGAGCCCCTTGGGCAGAAAGCATGTGGTCCCAGCCTTCTGAGGACCCTCATCCCCTCCCACACCCTCACTTGCACCCTCCACTGTCATTGGTCCAGACTGCCTCTGTTCCCCTCCAGCAAATGTTTATTCCTGCCCTGGGCCTTTGCCCAGATAGGCTTCCCCACCCCTGACTCTTTCCTCTGCTGATCACAGCCTCCTGATACCTGGGGTGCCGGCCAATCTACCCTCCTCCGTGCGGGCCACCCCTTACCTCCCAGGCTCAGGCCACACTGCCTTCTCCTTCCTCTGAATGCCTGCGGCCTTCCTTGTCACAATGGCTCCTCTGTGCACCTGGTGCAATGATTTGGCAGCTTCCTGAAACTACAGCTCGTCTTCCTGTTGGAACTGCCATCCACGTGAGGGCAGCCCCTTAGCTTCAAACACAGGGCAACTGGCAGGAGATCCTTGGCACAGCTTGTATGGCCTTCCCCCAGCCGGCACTATCCCACACTCCATTTCCGGCACAACCCTCCCCAAACTCAGTCACGTGCCTCATTCATCTTTGTTTCAAGACTCCACTCTCCAACCCCAGCTCAGCACCTTGCACATAGCAGATACTCAAAATGTTGTTGACTTGAAAACACAAATATTCATCAGGTTGAATCAATATTGTTCTTTTCAGGGGATTCAAAGAGAGAAAGAACCAGTTTTGGGGATGCTGTGACGCTCAGCTTGGCCTCTGATTAATGCTGACCGCCCACGGAAGTCTTCAAGAGGGCCATGAGGCCTTATAACCCTGATGCAGTTGAGTTCCAGCTAGAGAGAACAAGGCCACACAGAGCAGAGACCAGACATCTCAGGGCCTGTCTGAGAGCAGCCCGGGGCACAGTCTGTCCGAATCTGCTCTTTGGTAATAAGCATAGTGAACACATAATTTATTGCTCAGACCAGGACACTTTTGAGAGAGAACTGGTAATTATGCTGGGACTATCCCAGATAAGCAAGCAGGACAGTCACCTCAAGCAATCAATCATGTTTTGTGGCCAGACCCCTCCAAGGAATAGACAAAATACAGTTTTCTAAACATGAGAACGTACTAAACCTCAAAGTAGAGCTTGGTGCCAAGATCACTTTATTTTAAAAGCCAATTGTTGTTGTTGAAGAAAAGGCTATGCTCTTGGCCCATTTTGGCTATGGTCGGAGACTGCTTAGGGAATTGTCTTAAAGTTGTATATGCTCCTGGGCCTGGGGTTTTCTGAAAACAGAGCAGAAAACAGGGACTGATGAGACAGTGAAACCAAAACCCTGAGGCTCCTGTGCCTAGCCACTGGCTTGGATGTGGTGGACAAATTCCCCAAGGATGAAGACCAGGGCCACACCAGCCTGGGCTGAAGCCTGGCAGACCCTCGAATTGGAGCATGTCCTTGGAGCAGAGGCTGCTCCTGTTAGGGGCTCATCATGAGGCTGGAGGGGGGCTAACAGGCCAGGCCAAGCCAGGGGCCACCTAGAACCTGCTGGGAGAGGCGGGGTCACATGCCACCTGCATCTCAAGGCACACCTTCTCCCAAAGGGCACTTGGCCCAGGCAACTCCTATCCCGAGGAATGCCATCATCTTTCCCCCGGTGACCTCAGCCTAGCAAGAAGTGAGTGAAGAGAATTAATTCTGAACCTGATTGGTCTAACTCAAAAGCCCAAATCGCCTCTCAAACTCGGGTTGGGTTTTAGTTATTGACCCAGAGTTATTAAAGTAAGGTGTTTCTCAACCAGGGTCCATGGACCCCAGGGTCAGAAGTGTTCTCAAGGGATCCACGAGTTCTAATTTTTAAAAGTCATGTTTTTGTTTTTATAAAATGCTTGAACAAATATTATTATTTATTTATATATTTTTTTGAGACAGAGTCTCGCCCTGTTGCTAGGCTGGAGTGTAGTGCGCGCTATCTCGGCTCACTGCAATCTCTGCCTCCCGGGTTCAAGCGATTCTCCTGCCTCAGCCTCCCAAGTAGCTGGGATTACAGGTGCCCGCCACCACCACACCCAGCTAAATTTTTTTGTATTTTTAGTAGAGATGGGGTTTCACCATGTTGCCCAGGTTGGTCTTGATCTCCTGATCTCGTGATCCGCCCACCTCCGCCTCCTGAAGTGTTGGGATTACAGGTGTGAGCCACAGCACCCAGCCGGGGTTTTTTGTTTTTGTTTGTTTGTTTGTTTTTGGTTTTTTTTTGAGATACGGTCTCACTCTGTCATCCAGCATGGAGTGCAGTGGCAGGACCTCAGCTCACTGCAACCTCCACCTCCTGGGCTTAAGCGATTCTCATGCCTCAGCCACCTGAGTAGCTGGGATTACAGGGGTGCACCACCACACCTGGCCCTATTTTACCAATTATTTAAACAAAGCTTCTCTTCTGCAGTGATAAAATACAAATAAATGCCATTTTCATAGACTAAGACTTCAATTTCTTAGGTCGGTGTCTTCCCATGCTGGTGGCACATGCACATATTCTTGAAGTCCGAAGGCATTTGAGACACCAGTGTAATGGTTAAGATCAAGGGTTTTAGAGTCCAACAAGCCTGAGTTCCAGTCCTAGTCCCACAACCAACAGCTCAGTGGGAGCCTGGGCATGGGCTTCCCATACCTTACCCATCAAACGGGGCAGAGTACCTGCCTCTAGGGGGCTATGAGGCTCACTGGTGTCTCTCTAAGACAAAGAGGCTTGGACAGGCCAGCAGTTAGCTACCACCACTATTATTTTTTACTATTATCACCTACTTGTCATTTCCACCCTGCCCTGCAGTTTCTTATCTCTTCAGGAAACAGCAAGAGTGGAGCAGAGCAGTCAGTCCAGAGCACATGAGATCAGCTGCCTGCAGAAACCGCTTTAAATGACAGGATGTTTCCCTTGCCAAAAGCAGAGGAGCAGCCTGGAAATCTAATCAAGTCCTAGCCAAACGTCAAAGGAAGCTGAAGCCTTTATTATTGCTATTAATGAGGGTTCAAAGTGCATGTGGAGTCCTGGGAGGCCAGGGCAGAGAAAAGAAGGTTCAGGGGGCCTGCATCTCACAAGGCCACCCCTCGGGAGGCTGCTGGTTGGGGTTCAGCCACCTTGAGAACATCAAGCTCAGTTCCCCTCCCCTGATTTCACTGCCACCAACAACCTTCTGGTTGTCTTCAGCTTCCATGAAAATTTTCTATAAGGGAGAGACTCCACCAATCAGTGCTCCAGTCACCACGCCCGTATGGTGAATGCTTAGAAGTTAACACTACATCTTCTGTTGCCTGGGAGTTTGGTTAGCATGACTCAGCGTTCCTGAGAATGCCTGACCCCGTGGGCTCCGACAAACATGTTTCTGGATCATGGTGATGCCACTAAGGTGTGTGGATCCCCCAGCCTCCTGCTGTCAGTCTGTCTGCAATTTCACTGGCAGGGCCTCCCCATTATCACTCTAGATAAAGGCTGTGCTACCTTACTCTGCTGCCCAGCAGCTCTGGGGCAGAGATTCTGCAGGCCATGGCCTGGGATATAGGCTAAGGAGGGCTACGGGAGGTGATTTGCAGCCCAGGCAGTGGCAGTACTAGTCCTCTCCTACCCACCGCTCCAACTTCTCCTTCTAGCCCCTTGACTCCCCTGGGTGGGCCCATTTTCTTACAGGCAGAATTTGTATTTCTGTTTCCCCAGCCATCTCAAATGAGTCTACATACCAGCAAGTCTTGGGGACTTTCAGACCGTATTGCAGACTGAAAGCAACAAAGCTATGGGAATTAAAACTGTCTTTTGACATTAAAAAAAAAAAATCCACTGTTGGTAAACTTCACATTATGCTTTTATAATCTTTCCTGGTCTTCTCTAGGTTTGGAGGAGTCCTGTATGCTCCCAGGATCCACTTTCTTTGTATCTCTCCATGGACTTGAGCCTCTTCCCTGTCTGTCCTGAGTTTTTGGGGGTGGGGTGATCGCTAATGCCTTAATGGTCCCATTTGGGTCAATAAAAATGTTTCTGCTTCAAATTTTGCTTCCTTGGGCTCCCAGAAGCCACACACACAGAGAACAGCCATTCTGGCTGGCAGGAGGCAGCCACTGCAGGTACCCCCAACAAAGCATCTAGTTGGTAACATTGATGGCTGATTAATGTGCTGCTTCCAACTGGCCCCATAATTCAGCCACAGATTTTGGGCCTGGAGTCACTCTGAACCTGAAGTTGGTTGAGAACATCCAGGTATTTGAGGATTTCACTCCTGATTGCCTTGACAGGCAACTGTATCTACCAGAACTGTACACACATGATCATTCCCCCATCTCACCACCACCCCGCACCTCCTACACACATAGAAACAGAAAACCTACCACCATAACCATACCCCTAGGGGTGGGGGGCGATCTGTCTTTCCGAATACTTACTGAACAGCTGGGCAAGAATCGAGGGACTCTGGATTGAAAACAAGAAGTGACAGAGCTTGTTGGAGGCATTTTCACATTATAATGACCTGGACCAGGGCCTTCATGCTATTGAACATTTAAAAAATTGCTTCATTATTATTGTACATTTGATATATTTTAAGGCTTTATTTGCCTTCTACAAATAAACATATGAATCACTGTGATATAGTAGAAAAATCCCATATTTGGTCTCGAGAGATCTCTTTAAGGTGTGAGCTGGGACAAGTCATTGTGAAACGGGAGTAACTCCTGCCTCACCTTCCTTGTGCACGATGGTGAGGAGTGAAGGAACGTTAGGTGAGCAGTACCTGCCTCCCTTCTCCCTGCCAGGGTCCCTGATGCCCCCAGGCTCCCAGCCCACACTCAGGTCCCCCGTTCCCTCACAGCAGCATGCATGCCTCATGCCGTACTTCTCCCTCTGACTGTTAAAGGTGACTTGCTGCTCCAAGCTGTTAGCTTTATAAAAATGCTTATTCTTTCATATAAATGTCATATATGTTATCTCAGTCCAAAAAAGTATTCATAGCAATTCACTGATATAAGCACAATGCTATGAGATAAACATAAATAGGTGAACACAATTTTAAAAAGACAATCACTCCAGTAGGAAAATTAGCAACAGGCCATTCATGAAGAGGATATACAAACGTTCAATGAGCAAACTTTGAGGAAGGAGGGCTTTAACCTCATTTATAACCAAATACATTCTAATTTAAAAAACAAACTTCCTTTTTTTCCCACGGGGTGAGGGGAAGGGGGTTCTAAAAATTAAAACAGGTTAAGAAAGAACAGAGAGAGGAAGGAAGAAAGGGAGGGAGAAAAGGAAGGAAAGAAGGAAGGGAAGGGAGGGAGGGAGGGAGGGAGGGGAAGGAAGGAGAGAGGGAAAGAAGGAAGCCAAAGCTTTAACAACAAGCACAAGCACTCCTTATGATGCTGGCAGAAGCATAAATTCGCTCAGCCTTTCCAGAGTGCAATCTGGCAAGATATGAAACAGCTTAAAACATATATGCCTATCCAGAGAGGGAGAAAGAAGAAAGGAGAGTGGTTATTGGTTGTTGCAGGAAACCAGGAGACAAATGATGAGTCTTCAGCCTAGAATGTGGCAGGGAAAATGGGAATAGCCCAAACACCACACTGGATAATGCTAACATGATGTTCATCTTTTTTTTCCCCTAGTAATTCGCTTTTTTCCCCCCTCCATTTTCAAATAGCTAGGGTTCCTTGCCTCAGGAGTGGGACAGGGCAAAAAACAGAAATAAGTGTTTTTCTAGCATGATGTCTTAGATCTGTTTCTAAATAATGCAGGAGTTAGGGGAAGTGGGTGGGAGTATTAACCCAAAACACTGGCCTAAAATTGAACATTGTTGAATTGTTGACTAGGTATATGAGGTTTCAATACAGTATTCTAAGTTGTATATGTTTTTCAAGTTTTCACAAAACGGAGTTTAAGATGACATATATTTATTATTTTGACCCAGCAATTCCAGTTTTAGGCATTCACCCTAAGAAAACAATTGAGAATGTGTGCAAATATTTAGCCACAAAGACTGTAACATTGTTTCCAAAAGTGAAAACTGGGAAATAAACTAAATAATGGATGATATGTGCCTGGTTCAATAAATTACAACGCTTCCATCCAGCAGTCCAGTGTTGATGAGTTTTTATAGACGTAACAACTACTCCCAAATGTCATTAAGTCAAAAATGCAAGCTGAACAAATGTGCATTAAAAAAACTTGGAATGAAATTATCTCAGAATGTTCATAAACAGTAGTTTTCTTGGGGTAGTGGTGTGTTGAATAAAAAGCAAACAAAAAATTTTTTTTGCTTATATGCATTTTCTAATTTTTCTACAATGAACACAAGTACTCCTAAAACAAGAAAAAAAGATACTTAATGTATAGATAAATGACTATGGAAATTAGGTAAAGAAGAAAAGAGGCCAGGCATGGTGGCTCACGCCTGTAATCCCAGCATTTTGGGAGGCCAAGGCTGGTGGATCACTTGAGGTCAGGAGTTCAAGACCAGCCTGGGCAACATGGTGAGACCTTGTCTCTAAAAAATATAAAAATTAGCCAGTTGTGGGGGTGTGTTCCTGTGGTCCCAGCTACTTGGGAGGCTGAGGTGAGAGGATCACCTGAGCCACAGAGGTCAAGGCTGCAGTGAGCCATGATCATGTCACCGCACTCCAGCCTGGGAAACAGAATGAGACCCAAGAAAAGAAAAGGGGAGGGGAGGGAGAAAGGGAGGGGAGGGAGAAGGGGAGGGGAGGGAGAAGGGGAGGGGAGGGAGAAGGGGAGGGGAGAGGAGGAGAAAGGGAGCAGAGGGGAGAGGAGGAGAAAGGGAGGGGAGGGTAGAGGAGAGAGAGCCAGCAGTAAGGTCATAATAGGGACATGTATCTGTAAGATCCTTATAATAGGTAAGGCTGGCCACAAATGAGCACCACAGTTTTCGCAGAAGAAGCACTGCACTGCAGACCCTCCACGGTTCTGTTTTTTTTTTTTTGAGACAGTCTCACTCTGTCACCCAGGCTGGAGTGCAGTCACGCCATCTCGGCTCACTGCAAGCTCCGCCTCCTGGGTTCAAGCGATTCTTCTGCATCAGCCTCTCAAGTAGCTAGGACTACAGGTGCGTGCCACCAAGCCTGGCTAATGTTTGTATTTTTAGTAGAGATGGGGTTTCACCATATTGGCCAGGCTGGTCTCGAACTCCTGACCTCATGATCTGCCCGCCTCAGCCTCTCAAAGTGCTGGGATTACAGGTGTGAGACACCGCACCCGGCCCTTCCACAGGATTTAAAGCAAGGCTTTCCCATTCTCTCTGGCAGGTGGCACAGCCATGTAATTGGGGCTGCCATTCTCAATTACTCCACCATGAATGGAGTCTGTTATTATCAGCCAAGCACACATCTGATAATCAAGGGATAGATGCCCCTCATCATTTTTACAACTCATGGCAGAGAGATGAAAACAGTCATGTTTTCAAACTGATGTATACGTGTGACAGAGGTTGCTGTCAGGGTGAGGCTCTCTGTGTGGTGTGAATTCTGTACTCACATTGAAGAAATCTAAGCCCTAATAAACACAAAGAAGCAAAACGCCAAGAAAATCTGCACAGGAACAGTTTGTGCAGGAGCCTCTCAGTTTGGCCATAAAGATGCAGTGCTCTGAAGCCAGATGAGTAGCTGGGGCAAGAGATGATGCTGAGTGTGCGACCATTGATTCCACACCTATGATGGCCATCTGCAGAATGGCTAAGGAGCGACCTGCCCCTTTTCCCCAGGCCTAATGCGGCTTTGCTTTCTAAAGCTTCCTGGTCTCAAGCTGCCTGGGAGTCCAGGCATGAAGGCTGATGAAGCATGATGCATGGCCATCCCATCCAGCAGTTTCCTTGCATGGACTTGGTCATCTGAATCACAGGGACTAAGATGTGCTGCAGAAAGAAGTTACTGAACGCTATTCCACATGTGGCAGATGGGATCTTTAAGAGGGAGCACTGAGGAAGTGGATATAAGCCCAAGTTCATATTCCAAAGCCACAGGCATGCTGCGGCAAAGCCGTGACTATTCTGAGACTGCTCATGGCCGGGCCCTGCAATGGCCGGGCAACAGCTCTAGCAGAGTCCCCACTGCTGCCCCATCCGAGGACGGCTTGAGTGGACAGATGGCTCGGGATGTGCCATTTCTGAACCCAGTTCAATAGGAGGGTGTTTAAAACAAGAGGGACATTTGAACCATGTTCTCCTCTTCCTTAAAGCTGAGCACTCTGCTCTCTCCTTTACTGGGGATCCTCAAGTGTGATCTAGACCTTGGGTCTCACATTGTGTATGATACGTGTGCAGAGGGAGGCCTCGGATTCACCAAGCAGCACTAAGCATCTCTTCCACAAATCAAATGGGCCATTTCTTAAACCTTGCTTTTGTCAGGGTCATGCTTTGGCAACTGTGGGTTTACCAAAGCTAAGCCTTTCAAAGACCACTGACAAAAATTCTGTCTCCAGGGGAGAACAGAATAGTCACCTTCCTGGAGTCCTAGAACTTGATGTCAAAAGAAACAACAGGGAACCTTTACAGTATCTATTCCTCAGCTCTGGTACATGATTACATCTCAACCCTCCTGATGAGAATATCATTCTCTTCCCTTTGAAGAAGCCCTATTTAATTGTGCTTTTATTTGAGGGCAACTTTAACCAACGGGAGCTGTAAGGATTATTACACAGATGAATAAAATACTCTCTTTGGCCTCTGGGGAGTTTGGAGTCCAGTGAGGGATATAGGCAGAACCAAACAGAAACACCACAAAAGAATAAACGGAGATAGGAGGGGCTGGGGTGGTGCTGAGCAAGAGCTGAGCTATCTGCCTGGCTTTCAGATGCCAAACCAGGCTCTGGTGTAACAGGGCTGTCTTGTTAAGTGTGATCCCAGTGGGTTACGGGATGTCGCCAAGGCCAGGAGCTTTCATCTTGCTGCAAAAGACTCAGACTTTCCTGGAGAGCTCCTAGGTCTCTGTCATACCGCGAAGAAGCCTGGCTTATTGGTTCCAACTTCTGATGGGTCATAATGCTGTATAACATTACAGGCCTTTGGTAAGCCTGACATTTCCTGCCTGCACACACTCCTCCCCAGGGCTGGGAGGCTGGGACTGGTTAATCTGTATCATCAATACACTCCTCTGGAGTGAAGACGTGTATCACTCTGGGGCAGCCCAGGGCAGCCAAATGCCAGATGCCTCCTAGAGAACGTGAGAGTAGATGAAACTGTCCCAAGTTGTTAGGCATCAAATTCTATACCCCCCAATCATAAGTCCTGTGAATTTCCATTGTGTTGACATGGCTTCCATGCTGAATACTGTCTCTCCCCAGTTTTTAAGGTCTTATGAATTTGGAGTTCCCGGTACCTCAGTATGGGACCTGATTTGGAAATAGGGTTGTTGCAGATGTAATTATTTAAGCTGCA
The DNA here is from genome assembly GCF_000001405.40 of Homo sapiens. Lineage (NCBI taxonomy): Eukaryota > Metazoa > Chordata > Mammalia > Primates > Hominidae > Homo > Homo sapiens. The sequence goes on from NC_000002.12 coordinate 47,095,261, forward strand.
GTCATTAGGGTGGGGCCTCGTCCAACATGGCTGGTGTCCTTTATTAAAAGGGGAAATTTGGATACAGAGACATGCTCACAGGGAAAACACCATGTGAAAACAAAGGCATGGAACTCTAAACCGAGGAAGACCAAGGAATGCCAGCAAGCCACCACGAGCTGCGAATGAGGCATGAACAGATTGTCCCTCACAGCACTCAGAAGGAACCCACACTGCCAACACCTTGGGCTGGGACTTCCAGTCTCCAGAACTGTGAGACAACACATTTTTCTTGTACTGGGCACAACAAATACCCAGTCTGTGGTACTTTGTTATGGCAGCCCTAGCACATGAATACATCAGTGTTCAGCTCATGTCTTTATTCAGCCAATATACATTGTTCCAGGCCATGGGCTGGAAGCTGGGAATACAGTGATATATGACTGTCTCCTAACAGCTGCTCTCTCTTCATTTCTTAGTGTTAGAACAATTTTTAACTGGGCTCATGTCTACCCAGAATAAGGATTCACTTTCCCAGCCTCCCTGGCAGCTAGGTGTGGCTGCAGGACTAATCCTGCGCCAACAGGATGGAGGTGGCAAAGGTGCATGCAAATTCCAAGGGGAAGCCTTCAGGAGAGGGCATATTGTGTTTCTTCCCCACGCTCCTTCCTGCCCACTGGGCCCCTGTTCCCTACTCTCTGGGACCATGAGGATGGAAGCCATGCTCAGCAGAACAGCCCATAGGAGGAGTCTGATGCAGTAGAGTTACCACAAAAGCCCTAAACTGCCGACTGCAGAGACTGTATACAAGAGAGAAATCAATTCCTATCTTGCTTATAACATTGTTATTTAAGGTCTGTGTTACTGGCAGCAGAACTTAGTCCTCATCGACCAAGTAGGCGTGGATTTCCTATGCTCATCAGCCTCACATCCTAGCAAGGAAGGCATACCTTACCAAAAATAAATAAATCAATCAATCACAGTGTGGGGAGTATCACACAAAGGGATGTATAGGATGCTATGGAGAGCACCTCAGAGAGTAAACCCATCTGGTCCAAGGGGTCCGAGACGCCTCTCAAGGAAGTACATTTGAGGCTGGTGGAAGGGTTTGTGGGAAGCTGTGTTGGGAAAGCTAGGCCAAAATGGGCAGGGCCTCGAGGACAAGCCTAGAGAGAAGGATGTTATTCACTTTAACCTTGCTGGGACAAATTCACTGCATTGCAAAAACAAAATAAAAAGTGTTAACTGGACTGTGCTGATTTAATTAGTAGAAAAGACCAAAGAACAGATGATTAGTGGTCGCCGAGATATCTTCATCTGTGTGCAAGTTAACAGTAGGAATTCTCTTCCATTCAACTTTCTGAACCATGAATGTCCCAGGGGGTTAGGGACTGCTGCTGGGTTGAATGTGTCAAACCTCATTAAAACCAAGCTTAAAAAGTCAAATCCACAAATATTCACTGAAACCTGCTGTGAGCAAGGTATTTAGGCCAGAGATTCTGGCAGATGTTAAAGACATTTCGTCTAGGATCATTGACTTCAGGGTGCCTACAATCTAGTTGTGAAGACAAGGACAAAAATCTAGTGAAAATCCCAATATACGAATTAAGGAACCACCACCACCACAGCAACCAAAAAGCAAACTGTCACAGAATAGAATTCAATATGAAATGAGTGAGTATACCAACTCGGAGGGCTTATGGTGAGTTCACAGTGAGGGGAGGCCACGGGGAGAGGCAAGTGATATGAGGAAGCTCCAGGGAAGAGGCATCTGGAGTAACCCCTTGAAGATAGGGAGGACACAGGTGGACAGGGAGGGAGGGATATGAGGGGCAAAGGCACGGAGCAAGCAGGTAGAGACTGGCGGAGTGCACTCAGATTCATGTGCAAAAGGGATTTTTAATCATTACTATGTTACAAAATTTAATTTTAAGTTGTTAAGACAAATGAGATCATGTAAACTCATGAGGAAAATAAACCATAGAGCAAATCCTTTAATATGAGATATGACTCAATCTTACTCCATAGTAACCAACTTGAATTTGCTAAACTTACTTTAAAAAAATCATCCTTCCCCAGAAAGCGCACACGTTCTATTTCCCAGGTGAAGAATCTCTGTGCTCTGCTATGGTCTGGATGCTGATGTCCCCCCAAAATTCGTATGTTGGAACCTAATGGCCCCTGTGATAGTGTTAAGATGTGGGGCCTTTGGGAGGTGATTATGTCATTAGGGCTTCTTCCTCAGGGATGGGACTCCTGCGCTTATAAAAGAGGCCTGAGGAAGCTTGTCTGCCTTCCTCAGACAGGAAGGATGCTGCTTTCTAGCTGCATCCTCTTATGGTGGAAGCTTCTGCCCTTCGCCACGTGCAGATACAGCTAGAAGCACCATCTATGAGGAAGGGGCCCTCATCAGACACCAACCTTGATCTTGGACTTCCTGGCCTCCAGAACTGTGAACAATACATTTCTATGGTTTATAAATTACCCAGTCTAAGGTATTTTGTTACAGCAGCAGGAATGGACTAAGTGGACCAAGAAACATGTGGTGTGTATTCACAGATGTCTGCATAGGCTCCTGTCAAAAAATGCACTGAGGGGCTGGATGCAGTGGCTCACGCCTGTAATCCCAGCACTTTTGGAGGCCCACGTGGGTAGATCTCTTGAGGCCAGGAGTTTGAGACCAGCCTGACCAACATGGTGAAACCCCATCTCTTAAAAAAAAAAAAAAAAAAATGCACTGAGGGACCTGAAATTCAACTTTCTCAGGTTAACACCTTTTTGCTTTTCACGTGTGTATGAACATGAGAATGGTTTTTACAGTCTGATGGCAGATGTAAACATCTAAATGTCACCATGTATTTCCAGTTTCTGCAAGCCTTCATTCTGAATTCTCGTTTACAGACAGGAGCAGATTAAAGCCCTTTGGGTGCTGGTCTTCCAGGCCTCCTCTCTAGCCTGACCCAAAACGGGTTCACCAGGCAGCCTTCACTGCTGCGCACTGACAGCTCCCCACAGACCGGAGAGCCAGAGTGCTGCCCCTCCCTGCAGCCATCTCTACTTCACAGCATTCTTTCATACACCTACTTTCATTTCATCCTCATGCCAGCCTGGTGCAGGAGGTGCTAATATCTCTATTTAACAGATGAGAAAGTGAGGCTCAGCGGGGTTAGAAACCAGTGATTTAGCGTTTCAGCTGTGGGAGCCAGAACCAGTTACTGGCCTTGCTTCTCAGGGCTGGAAAGTATCAGTAGTTAGTTCTAAGCTGTTTTTCTTTAAAATCGTAAAGCTAAAGGGAGTCTAGAAAGAGCACACAATCCACTCCCATTTATCTTAGCACAAACAGCTTTCAGTTGATATATTGAAAAGAGAAAGGGTCAGAAAAAAATTATGACCCCAAATATCTATATATATCCATGCATTAAATACAAGTAATAAGCAGCATAAACTGAAATTACTACATGGGGTGGTAAAAATGATCTCCCCAAATTTGGTGTGTGTGACACACTGCTCAAAAGAGGAAAAAAAAAAAAAAGCCCCTCAGCAAGGAGGACAGAATCCTGTGTGGAGGTGGGTACAGAGAAAAGCTACAGCCACCTCTCTGGGCACTCAAGAGGTGGTGTGTGGCAGGGCCTATGCAACTCAGGAAATTCTAGAATTCTGTCAACATTGGTCTACAGGTTCCCAAGACAAGGGGGTCATATACGCTGGTGGATGGGGTAGAAGCAAACCTGTTAGGGGCCAAAAGTTATTCACATTTGCAAAATTAGTAATTGGCGATACCTCTGAAGTCTACCTTGGTACTGTTTATTTCTGCAAAGAGAGAAAATATGACGGTCTGGGTTTCTAGTTAGGCTGTCACATGGGAGGGGCAACACCAAGTGATCACAAACCTGCCCCACCTCAAGGTGCAGCTTTCACAGGAACACACATGCCAAGGACGCCCAGGTAATTCAGACTGGCTGTAGGTGTTCACTGCCTCATCCTCTGTTTTCTTAGGAGGCCGCAGGAGCAGAAGGCAACCCACAATGGTTTGAAATCTGAGGCAGTTCTGGCCTCAAACTTGGACAGGGCTGGCAACTGCCCTGAACCCTCTCCTCCCACTTCCCCAGGCTGCTGCCCCAGGTGTGAGAGCTGCCCTGACAACGCAAATGGCTAAAGCCTCAGCACCGGCAGGAGCAGGACTAGGAAGTTCTCTTACATCTCCCAGATGCTTTGCTAACAGTAGGAGAAGCAACTTCAGACAAGTGAGGCACCAAAGGAATGAAGGGCATTGAGAAGAATGGAAATCTGGAAGGCCATCTTTCTATTTTTGAGAGGTGACAGCGTGCTGGCAGTCCTCAGAGCCCTCGCTCGCTCTCGGCGCCTCCTCTGCCTGGGCTCCCACTTTGGCGGCACTTGAGGAGCCCTTCAGCCCACCGCTGCACTGTGGGAGCCCCTTTCTGGGCTGGCCAAGGCCAGAGCCGGCTCCCTCAGCTTGCAGAGAGGTGTGGAGGGAGAGGCGCGAGTGGGAACCGGGGCTGCGCGTGGCGCTTGCGGGCCAGCTGGAGTTCCGGGTGGGCATGGGCTTGGTGGGCCCCACACTCAGAGCAGCTGGTGGGCCCTGCTGGCCCCGGGCAATGAGGGGCTTAGCACCCAGGCCAGCAGCTGCGGAGGGTGTACTGGGTCCCCCAGCAGTGCCAGCCCACCAGTGCTGTGCTCAGTTTCTCGCTGGGTCTTAGCTGCCTTCCCAAGGGGCAGGGCTCGGGACCTGCAGCCCACCATGCCTGAGCCTCCCACCCCTTCCATGGGCTCCTGTACAGCCCCAGCCTCCCTGATGAGTGCCGCCCCCTGCTCCAAGGTGCCCAGTCCCATCGACCACCCAAGGGCTGAGGAGTGCGGGCACATGGTGCGGGACTGGCAGGCAGCTCCACCTGCAGCCCTGGTGTGGGATCCACTGGGTGAAGCCAGCTGGGCTCCTGAGTCTGGTGGGGACGTGGAGAACCTTTATGTCTAGCTCAGGGATTGTAAATACACCAATCAGCACTCTGTATCTAGCTCAAGGTTTGTAAACACACCAATCAGCACCCTGTGTCTAGCTCAGGGTTTGTGAATGCACCAATCCACACTCTGTATCTAGCTACTCTGGTGGGGCCTTGGAGAACCTTTGTGTCAACACTCTGTATCTAGTTAATCTAGTGGGGACTTAGAGAACCTTTATGTCTAGCTCAGGGATTGTAAACACACCAATCAGCGCCCTGTCAAAACAGACCACTCGGCTCTACCAATCAGCAGGATGTGGGTGGGGCCAGATAAGAGAAAAAAAGCAGGCTCCCCGAGCCAGCAGTGGCAACCCACTCGAGTCCCCTTCCACACTGTGGAAGCTTTGTTCTTTCGCTCTTTGCAATAAATCTTGCTACTGCTCACTCTTTGGGTCCACACTGCTTTTATGAGCTGTAACACTCACCGCGAAGGTCTGCAGCTTCACTCCTGAGGCCAGCGAGACCATGAGCCCACTGGGAGGAATGAACAACTCCAGACACGCCACCTTAAGAGCTGTAACACTCACCACGAAAGTCTGCAGCTTCACTCCTGAGCCAGTGATACCACGAACCCACAAGAAGGAAGAAACTCCGAACACATCCGAACATCAGAAGGAACAAACTCCAGACGCGCCACCTTAAGAGCTGTAACACTCACCACGAGGGTCCGCGGCTTCATTCTTGAACTCAGTGAGACCAAGAACCCACCAATTCTGGACACATTTTGGCGACCCAGATGGGACATTTGCCTATCACCAAGCGGTGAGACAATCGCCAAGCGGTGAGACCATCGCCGAGCAATGAGACCATCACCTATCGCCAAGCAGTGAGTACCATCGGACCCCTTTAGCTTGCTATTCTGTCCTATTTTTCCTTAGAATTCAGGGGCTAAATACCGGGCACCTGTCAGCCAGCTAAAAGTGACTAGTGCGGACACCGGACTAAAAACATGGGTGTCAGGCTTTCTGGGAGGGGGCTCTCTAACAACCCCCGACTCTTCAGAGTTGGGATCATTGGTTTGCCTAGAACCAGCTTCTGCTTTTCCTGTACTTCTGGGCTGAGCCGAGGGTTGACAGAGAGGAAAGCCATGCAGCTCCAGGGTCCCGACAACAAGTTGGTTGACCCTGCGGCCATGAGCAGAACTCTAAAAGCATGTCACCCAAGCGAGACTCACCCATCTATCCTATCTATCCTGACCCTTGCCCCCTGGGTCCTAAGGCCTGCCACACAAACTTCCTCTCACCTCTCTTCTCTGAGGTTAGTCCCGCTTCTAAAAATTGCTACCTGTCTCTGGTGCTTTTTTAGTTTCTCCTATAAGAATGATTTCTACTATAAACTCCAGGACTCTGTTACCTTCTTTAGGCACCCGGGTTCACCAATCAGAAAGACATAATTTTTGCCCAAAGCCCCATCATAGTGGGGACTACCTGGAATTTTAGGATCCCTCCTCAGACTAACAGGCCTAACAAAAGCTATTCCTGAAGCTAGGATATGGGGAGCCTCAGAAATTGTATCCTTCCTATTCATGAGCAAAGGTGTCACTCTTCCAACCCTGAAGATCCCTTCCCTCCCTCAGGGTATGGCCCTCCACTTCATTTTTGGGGCATAACATCTTTATAGGAAAGGGGTAAAGTCCCAACACTAACAGGAGAATGCTTAGGACTCTAACAGGTTTTCGAGAATGTGTCGGTAAGGGCCACTAAATCCGATTTTTCTCGGTCGGTCCTCCCTGTGGTCTAGGAGGACAGGCAAGGGTGCAGGTTTTCGAGAATGCGTAGGTAAGGACCACTAAATCCAACCTTCTTTGGTCCTCCATGTGGTCTGGGAGGAAAACTAGTGTTTCTGCTGCTGCGTCGGTGAGCCCAACTATTCCGATCAGCAGGGTCCGGGGACCGTTGCAGGTTCTTGGGCAGGGGTTGTTTCTGCTGCTGCGTCAGTGAGCGCAACTATTCCAATCAGCAGGGTCCAGGGACCATTGCAGGTTCTCGAGCAGGGGAAGAAACAAAATAAACCAAAACTGCGGGCGGTTTTGTCTTTCAGATGGGAAACATTCAGGCATCAACAGGCCCACCCTTGAAATGCATCCTAAGCCTTTGGGACCAATTTGACCCATAAACCCTGAAAAAGAGGCAGCTCATTATTTTCTGCACTACGGCTTGGCCCCAGTATTCTCTCTCTGATGGGGAAAAATGGTCATCTGAGGGAAGTACAAATTACAATACTATCCTGCAGCTTGACCTTTTCTGTAAGAGGCAAGGCAAATGGAGTGAAATACCTTATGTCCGAGCTTTCTTTTCATTGAGAGAGAATACACAACTATGCAAAGCTTGCAATTTACATCCCACAGGAGGACCCCTCAGCTTACCCCCATATCCTAGCCTCCCTATAGCTCCCCTTCCTATTAATGATAATCCTTTTCTAATCTCCCCTGCCCAGAAGGAAGTAAGCAAAGAAATCTCCAAAGGACCATAAAAAACCCCGGGCTATCGGTTATGTCCCCTTCAAGCTGTAGGGGGAGGGGAATTTGGCCCAACCCGGGTACATGTCCCCTTCTCCCTCTCTGATTTAAAGCAGATCAAGGCAGACCTGGGGAGGTTTTCAGATGATCCTGATAGGTACATAGATCCTATGTACCTATCAGGTCCTACAGGGTCTAGGGCAAACCTTTGACCTCACTTGGAGAGATGTCATGCTACTGTTAGATCAAACCCTGGCCTGTAATGAAAAGAATGCAGCTTTAGCTGCAGCCCGAGAGTTTGGAGATACCTGGTATCTTAGTCAAGTAAATGACAGAATGACAGCCGACGAAAGGGACAAATTCCCTACTGGTCAGCAAGCCATCCCCAGTATGGATCCCCACTGGGACCTTGACTCATATCATGGGGACTGGAGTCGTAAACATCTGTTGACCTGTGTTCTAGAAGGACTAAGGAGAACTAGAAAAAAGCCCATGAATTATTCAATGATGTCCACCGTAACTCAGGGAAAGGAGGAAAATCCTTCTGCCTTCCTCGAGCAGCTACGAGAGGCCTTAAGAAAATATACTCCCCTGTCACCCAAATCACTCGAGGGTCAATTGATTCTAAAAGATAAGTTTATTACCCAATCAGCCGCAGATATCAGGAGAAAGCTCCAAAAGCAAGCCCTGGGCCCTGAACAAATTCTAGAGATATTATTAAACCTGGCAACCTTGGTGTTCTATAAGAGGGACCAAGAGGAACAGGCCCAAAAGGAAAAGCGAGATCAGAGAAAGGCCACAGCCTTAGTCATGGCCCTCAGACAGACAAACCTTGGTGGTTCAGAGAGGACAGAAAATGGAGCAGGCCAATCACCTGGTAGGGCTTGTTATCAGTGTGGTTTACTGGGACACTTTAAAAAAGATTGTCCAATGAGAAACAAACTGCCCCCTCGTCCATGTCCACTATGCCGAGGCAATCACTGGAAGGTGCACTGCCCAGAGGATGAAGGTTCCCTGGGTCAGAAGCCCCTAACCAGATGATCCAACAACAGGACTGAGGGTGCCCGGGGCAAGTGCCAGCTCATGTCATCACCCTCACTGAGCCCCGGGTATGTTTAACTATTGAGGGCCAGGAAATTGACTTCCTCCTGGACACTGGCACAGCCTTCTCAGTGTTAATCTCCTGTCCTGGACGACTATCCTCAAGATCCATTACCATCTGAGGAATCCTGGGACAGTCTGTAACCAGGTATTTCTCCCACCTCCTCAGTTGTAATTGGGAGACTTTGCTCTTTTCACATGCCTTTCTTGTTATGCCTGAAAGTCCCACACCCTTATTAGGGAGAGATATATTAGCCAAGGCTGGAGCTATTATCTACATGAATATGGGGAACAAGTTACCCATTTGTTGTCCCCTACTTAAAGAGGGAATCAACCCTGAAGTCTGGGCATTGGAAGGACAATTTGGAAGGGCAAAAAATGCCCACCCAGTCCAAATCAGGTTAAAAGATCCCACCACTTTTCCTTATCAAAAGCAATATCCCCTAAGGCATGAAGCTCATAAAGGATTACGGAATACTGTTAAACATTTGAAAGCTCACGGCTTAGTAAGGAAATGCAGCAGTCCCTGCAACACCCCAATTCTGGGAGTAAAAAAACCAAACGGTCAGTGGAGACTAGTGCAAGATCTTAGACTCATTAATGAGGCAGAAATTCCACTATATCCAGTTGTACCCAACCCCTATATCCTGCTCTCTCATATACCAGAGGAAGCAGAATGGTTCATGGTTCTGGACCTCAAGGATGCCTTCTTCTGTATTCCCCTGCATTCTGACTCCCAGTTCCTCTTTGCCTTTGAGGATCCCGCAGACCACATGTCCCAACTTACGTGGACAGTCTTGCCCCAGGGGTTTAGGGATAGCCCTCATCTGTTTGATCAGGCACTGGCCCAAGATCTAGGCCACTTCTCAAGTCCAGGCACTCTGGTCCTTCAATATGTGGATGATTTACTTTTGGCTACCAGTTTGGAAGCCTCATGCCAGCAGGCTACTCTAGATCTCTTGAACTTTCTAGCTAATCAAGGGTACAAGGTGTCTAGGTCGAAGGCCCAGCTTTGCCTACAGCAGGTCAAATATCTAGGCCGAATCTTAGCCAGAGGGGCCAGGGCCCTCAGCAAGGAACAAATACAGCCTATACTGGCTTATCCTTGCCCTAAGACGTTAAAACAGTTGAGGGGGTTCCTTGGAATTACCAGCTTTTGCCAACTATGGATCCCCGGATACAGTGAGATAGCCAGACCCCTCTATACTCCAATCAAGGAAACCCAGAGGGCAAATGCTCATCTAGTAGAATGGCAACCAGAGGCAGAAACAGCCTTCAAAACCTTAAAGCAGGCCCTAGTACAAGCTCCAGCTTTAAGCCTTCCCACAGGACAGAACTTCTCTTTATACGTCACAGAGAGAGCCGGGATAGCTCTTGGAGTCCTTACTCAGACTCATGGGACAACCCCACAACCGGTGGCATACCTAAGTAAGGAAACTGATGTAGTAGCAAAAGGCTGGCCTCGCTGTTTAAGGGTAGTTGCAGCAGTGGCCGTCTTAGTGTCAGAGGCTATCAAAATAATACAAGGAAAGGATCTCACTGTCTGGACTACTCATGATGTAAATGGCATACTAGGTGCCAAAGGAAGTTTATGGCTATCAGACAACTGCCTACTTAGATACCAGGCGCTACTCCTTGAGGGACTGGTGCTTCAAATACACACCTGCGTGGCCCTCAACCCTGCCACTTTTCTCCCAGAGGATGGGGAACCAATCGAACATGACTGCCAACAAATTATAGTCCAGACTTACGCTGCCTGAGATGATCTCTTAGAAGTCCCCTTAACTAATCCTGACCTTAACCTATATACTGATGGAAGTTCATTTGTGGAGAATGGGATACGAAGGGCAGGTTATGCCATAGTTAGTGATGTAACCATACTTGAAAGCAAGCCTCTTCCCCCAGGGACCAGTGCCCAGTTAGCAGAACTAGTGGCACTTACCTGAGCCTTAAAACTGGGAAAGGGAAAAAGAATAAATGTGTATACAGATAGCAAGTATGCTTATCTAATCCTACATGTCCATGCTGCAATATGGAAAGAGAAGGAGTTCCTAATCTCTGGGGAAACCCCCATTAAATACCACAAGGAAATTATAGAGTTATTGCATGCAATGCAAAAATACAAAGAGGTGGGAATCTTACACTGACAAAGCCATCCAAATGGGAAGGAGAGGGGAGAACAGCAGCATAAGCGGCTGGCAGAGGTAGGGAAAGACCAGCAAGAAGGAAAGAGAGAAAAAGAAAGAGAAAGAAAGAGAGGAAGAACCAAAGAGGGAGTCAGAGAGAAAGAGAAAGAGACAAAGGAGAAGTCAAAGAGAAAAAAAGAGAGATGGAAGTAGTAAAGAAAAAACACTGTATCCCATTCCTTTAAAAGCCAGGGTAAATTTCTGTCTACCCAGCCAAGGCATATTTTTCTATGTGGAACATTGACCTATATCTGCCTCCCCACTAACTGGACAGGCACCTGCACCTTAGTCTTTCTAAGTCCCAACATTAACATTGCCCCAGGAAATCAGACCTTATCAGTACCCCTCAAAGCTCAAGTCCGTCAGCGCAGAGCCATACAACTAATACCCCTATTTATAGGGTTAGGAATGGCTGCTGCTACAGGAACCGGAATAGCTGGTTTATCAACTTCATTATCCTACTACCACACACTCTCAAAGGATTTCTCAGACAGTTTGCAAGAAATAATGAAATCTATCCTTACTTTACAATCCCAAATAGACTCTTTGGCAGCAGTGACTCTCCAAAACCGCTGAGGCCTAGACCTCCTCACTGCTGAAAAAGGAGGACTCTGCACCTTCTTAGGGGAAGAGTGTTGTTTTTACACTAACCAGTCAAGGATAGTATGAGATACCGCCCGGCGTTTACAGGAAAACGCTTCTGAAATCAGACAATGCCTTTCAAATTCTTATGCCAACCTCCGGAGTTGGGCAACATGGCTTCTCCCCTTTCTAGGTCCCTTGGCAGCCATCTTGCTGTTACTAGCCTTTGGGCCCTGTATTTTTAAACTTCTTATCAAATTTGTTTCCTCTAGAATCGAGGCCATCAAGCTACAGATGGTTTTACAAATGGAACCCCAAATGAGTTAAACTAACAACTTCTACCGAGGACCCCTGGACCGACCCACTGGCACTTCCACTGGCCTAGAGACCTCCCCTCTGGAGGACACTACAACTGCAGGGCCCCTTCATCGCCCCTCTCCAGCAGGAAGTAGCTAGAACGGTCATTGGCCAAATTCCCAACAGCAGTTGGGGTGTCCTGTTTAGAGGGGGGATTGAGAGGTGACAGCGTGCTGGCAGTCCTCAGAGCTCTCTCTCGCTTTCAGCACCTCCTCTGCCTGGGCTCCCACTTTGGCGGCACTTAAGGAGCCCTTCAGCCCACCGCTGCACTGTGGGAGCCCCTTTCTGGGCTGGCCAAGGCCAGAGCCGGCTCCCTCAGCTTGCAGGGAGGTGTGGAGGGAGACGCGCAAGTGGGAACCGGGGCTGCGCGTGGTGCTTGCGGGCCAGCTGGAGTTCCGGGTGGGCATGGGCTTGGTGGGCCCCGCACTCGGAGCAGCTGGCCGGCCCTGCCGGCCCCGGGCAACGAGGGGCTTAGCACCCGGGCCAGCGGCTGCAGAGGGTGTACTGGGTCCCCCAGCAGTGCCAGCCCACCAGTGCTGCGCTCGGTTTCTCACCGGGTCTTAGCTGCCTTCCCAAGGGGCAGGGCTCAGGACCTGCAGCCCGCCATGCCTGAGCCTCCCACCCCCTGTATGGGCTCCTGTGCAGCCCCAGCCTCCCTGATGAGTGCCGCCCCCTGCTCCATGGCACCCAGTCCCATCGACACCCAAGGGCTGAGGAGTGCGGGCACATGGTGCGGGACTGGCAGGCAGCTCCACCTGCAGCCCTGGTGCGGGATCCACTGGGTGAAGCCAGCTGGGCTCCTGAGTCTGGTGGGGACGTGGAGAACCTTTATGTCTAGCTCAGGGATTGTAAATACACCAATCAGCACTCTATCTAGCTCAAGGTTTGTAAACACACCAATTAGCACCCTGTGTCTAGCTCAGGGTTTGTGAATGCATCAATCCACACTCTGTATCTAGCTACTCTGGTGGGGCCTTGGAGAACCTTTATGTCTAGCTCAGGGATTGTAAATACACCAATCGGCACTCTGTATCTAGCTCAAGGTTTGTAAATACACCAATCAGCACCCTGTGTCTAGCTCAGGGTTTGTGAATGCACCAATCCACACTCTGTATCTAGCTACTCTGGTGGGGCCTTGGAGAACCTTTGTGTCAACACTCTGTATCTAGTTAATCTAGTGGGGACTTAGAGAACCTTTATGTCTAGCTCAGGGATTGTAAACACACCAATCAGCGCCCTGTCAAAACAGACCACTCGGCTCTACCAATCAGCAGGATGTGGGTGGGGCCAGATAAGAGAAAAAAAGCAGGCTCCCCGAGCCAGCAGTGGCAACCCACTCGAGTCCCCTTCCACACTGTGGAAGCTTTGTTCTTTCGCTCTTTGCAATAAATCTTGCTACTGCTCACTCTTTGGGTCCATACTGCTTTTATGAGCTGTAACACTCACCGCGAAGGTATGCAGCTTCACTCCTGAGCCAGCGAGACCACGAACCCACGACAAGGAAGAAACTCCGAACATATCCGAACATCAGAAGGAACAAACTCCAGACGCGCCACCTTAAGAGCTGTAACACTCACTGCGAGTGTCCACGGCTTCATTCTTGAAGTCAGTGAGACCAAGAACCCACCAATTCCGGACACATTTTCATGCCTCTGTCCTGGAGATTCCTTTCACTTAAGATAGCATGAGCACCCTCTTTTTGCAGTCCAGGTAGTAGGTAGGTGTTGTCCCGCTTCCTGGCATTCTTTCCCTAGTCTCTGTTTAACTAAGGTCACTCCCTCAGTGTGGGTAGGGCAGAGCACCTCACACCGCACATAGAGATGGGTAGGGGACCTAGACTGACCAGAGGATCCCCTGTTCCTGATTACAGTGATTGGCCCAGGGGCAGGCACCTGACCCTAACTGGCCAATCAGAGGAGCCTGCCTTTTCACATTCCCTGCTAAATGGGCAGGGTGCGGCCCTGGGGCAGCCATTTTGCCTAGCCCAAGGGATAGCACGTGCAAAGTAGGAGAGAGATGAAGATAAAACAGTACCTAACGTGCCAAGGTTATAGGCACCAGTACATTCCACCCCACCTTTATGTTTTTATTTTTTGCTTAAGCTAATTTGGAAGGTTTCTGTCAATCACAACTGAAAAAATTCTAACCAATACATTCACTCTTCTGTTTCCAGTCAAGAAATTGTTATAAGAAAGTACAGGAAATTCTTCACGCTCACAGCTGGATGGCAATACATGACTCGGCTGATGTTAACGCTGTTGGAAAAGCAGCACAGATTTTTTAAGAAGAAAAATTGCCAGGATAAACATCATTTTCTTGAAAATTCAGGCACAGGCCAGGCGCAGTGGCTTATGCCTGTAATCCCCACACTTTGGGAGGCAGAGGTGGGCAGATCACCTGAACTCAGGAGTTCAAGACCAGCCTGGCCAACATGGTGAAACCCCATCTCTACTAAAAATACAAAAATTAGCTGGGCATGGTGGCAGACGCCTGTAATCCCAGCTACTGGGGAAGCTGAGGCTGGAGAATCACTTGAACCTGGGAAGCGGAGATTGCAGTGAGCCGAGATCCTGCCACTGGACTCCAGCCTGGGTGATAGTGAGACTATGTATCAGAAAAAAAAAAAAAAAAAAAATTCTAGCACATCTATAAGCTATATTTGAAATGTTATATTTTTCCCAAAATGTTACCCACAAGTAAAACATATTTGAGGAGGTTGAGACTGGGACCTACTTAAATTATCTTAGCTTCCAAATTCCATTCAAGCAGAAATCAATTTTCTGGTTTACTCAGCCAGACTGTGTTTATTAATTCTTTTTCTGTTCCCCTTGGAATTTCAAACTATCAGCTTAGTTTTTAATTGAATTCATTCCTTAAATGCTAAAACAGTTGGAATGATTCCGCAGCGTTTCACAATGCTGGTTTGAGGGCATAGTCTATGCCACAGGTCTGATACTTTCGAACTTTTAAAGGTGACTGAAACAGATCATGTAACGACCATTTGTATCTGTACAGACTCCTGGTTGTCTAATCCTTTCCTTATTCTTTATAGGCCTGTCAGGTTTTAAGAAATACAGAAACGAAATATTTCTGACATCAAAGAAACCCACTTTTTTTTGTTCCCACTATCAGGAAAGATGTGTGTGTCTCATTTTTTCACTATATATACAACTAAGAGAAACAATAACTGCAAAGAATCTGCTTAGTAAATCACTAGAGACCCCAAACATCATACGAATGACTGAGTCCTAATTAAGTAGCAGAAAGTGGGACTATTTTTATTTAATAACAAAGTGTTTTCATCTTAACCATATTGATGGCTCTTTTCCTCAAACACTGCCTGTTTTCTGCTTTTAAAAATTATATTTTGGGCTGGGCACGGTGGCTCACGCCTGTAATCCCAGCACTTTGGGAGGCCAAGGTGGGCAGATCACTCGAGGTCAGGAGTTTGAGACCAGCCTGGCCAGCATGGCAAAACCCCATCTCCACTAAACATGCAAAAATTAGCCAGGCCTGGTGGCGGGCACCTGTAATCCCAGCTACTTGGGAGACTGAGGCAGGAGAATTGCTTGAACCCAGAATGCAAAGATTGCAGTGAGCCAAGATGGCACCACTGCACTCCAGCCTGGGCGACACTGCAAGACTCCATCACAAACAAACAAAATTATATTTTGAAATACTGTGAAACCAATTGAAGAGAAAGAAATATAAGCAATCACCTTTAGTCACTGTGTCTCAGCATAGCCATTAAAAGAATTTTAATGCATTTCCTATTTTTCATACACATGATTTTTCTGACATTAATCACAATACATATCTCAATTTGATCCTGCATTTTTCACTACACATTAGATCATAAACATTTCTGGTGCTATTTTAATAATTTTCCCAATCATTGTTTAAAATGGCTGCCAAATATTTTTTGGGTGGATACATAATATTCTTTTAAAATGATTTCCCCTCTGCTATTAAATTGTTGCTACTGTTATCTTGCTACTACAAATTATACCTTTTAAAAAAATTAAAACTCTTATAGCCACATTTGAGCAAATTATCCCTTGATCATATCTTTGTATAGGTGAATATTTCTGTATTTAAGATAATTACTTTAGGAGGGTTTTCTTAAAGTAGAATTTATGGGTGAAAAGGCAGTTTTTATACCTTAATACATACTGCCAAACTCCTTTCAAAGAGTTGTATTAATGTATACTCCCACCAGCAATAGACAAGAAAAGCACTGAGTCTGTATAGTCTCAATGCCAAGTAGATGTTGGTGGTGGTGGGGAGGGGTGGTCTTTAGAAAAAGAAAATCTTCTCACTCTTCTTTATTCTAATGGGATTAATAAGTAGTCATCAAAAAGTAGCCCATATATGTTCAAAGAAGTAGTGCAGAGTATCTGATATCCTTAATGCCCACATTTTGAAACACATTCAGGAGGGAATAAAATCATGCAGTTTTAAGGTGGATCAAGAGACTTATTTAGGTCACTTATGAAAGCAATAAAATCAATTAAAGGGGAGGAGTGAAGGGAGGAGAAACTACAAATGAAAGTTTTGCTTTGTCCAGTTCTCTTGGATGAAAATGATTAGGATTTGTTCCTCTTTAAACCATGCTGTTGTGAGTGAAGCACACATTTTGGTCTTGCAATTTGTGAGGCTTGGTCCTTATCAAGGAGCTAAAAGTGAATGGTGTCTGGTAGAAGTTTTCAACACAATGTTTCTCTGTGGGTAAAAAAAAAATGGCCCTTTTTACTTATGGTAGAATATGTCCTCTGGCGTCTACCCCAAAAGGCACATGTAGATACTCTCCTCACAGACTTTCCTATGGACAAAAAAATGATGCTGATCCATCACCAATGACTCAGTTATTTCGAAAATAACGTAAATAGCCAATAAGTATACAACTTTACATTGGTAATGTGAAGATTAAAAATCATTTTCCAACCAAATTCCTTACCAGTTGTTTCTCCACCTACACTGGGGGACAAAATATAATTCACCTGAATCCCTGACACAAAGAAGGCTGCATGTTTTGTTTTGTTTTTAACAAGTGAGAATAGCTCCTCTATATCAAGAGGCCTTCGGGCACATAAGATCCTAGAGCATTTCTAAATTCAAACTTAATGTACTTTTGATAACTAAAAAACTAAGTAGTAATCTGATATGCCTTCATATGGTCATTATTCATTTTTTCATAGGTTAACCTTTGAGATTTTGTTGTTGTTGTTTTGTTGTTTGTTTTTGAGACGGAGTCTTGCTCTGTCACCCAGGCTGGGGTGCAGTGGCATGATCTCCGCTCACTGCAAACTCTGCCTCTCAGGTTCAAGCTATTCTTGGGCTTCATTCTCCCAAGTAGCTGGGATTACAGGTGTGCACCACCACACCCAGCTAATTTTTGTTTTTTTTTTTAGTAGAGATGCAGTTTCACCATGTTGGCCAAGCTGGTCTCAAACTCCTGACCTCAAGTGATCTGCCCACCTCGGCCTCCCAAAGTGCTGGATTACAGGCGTGAGCCACTGTGCCTGGCCTAACCTTTGAGATTGTATGTATAAGTGACTAAAGTATTTCAGCGAGCTCATTTTCACTGATCATGTTAAGAAAGGAAAGATGGGTGCCTGTTTGTATCTTTTATAACTAGCCTCATTCTCAAAAGTATTTGAAGAGACTAGGTGAATGTCTATAGGTATCTACTATATTGCACCAGATCTACAGCTCAGATTTCTGGTGATTGTAGGTTTCACATATATCAACATTGAGGCAGCCTATTCTAAGTCAACAGGGCTCAAATGACACTACCACCTTAGAATGCAAAACACATTTCAGAAGAATTAGAGAATTAAAACTTTTTTGAAAATCAAAAGTACCAGCCTGGGCAACATAGTGAGATCCTGTCTCTACCAAAAAAATTATCCAGGCATGATGACACACACCTATTAGTTACTCAGGAAGCTGAGGTGGGAGGATTGCTTGAGCCCGGGAGGTGGAGCCTGCAGTGAGCCAAGATTATGTCACTGCGCTCCAGCCTGGGCGACAGAGCAAGACTATCTCAAAAAAAAAAAAAAAAAAAAAAAATCACAAGTAAAAATTAGAAGAAATTAAAGTGAATATGTCTCTGGAGGGAATTTTTTAAGTAGTAGAAGAAATAAATAAGGGAAAGATACATAGATCTCATTCATTAATTCAACACATTTTTTCAGCACTATATGAGGTAGTGGGCATTGATAAATAAGGCAGACAACAGTCCCTTCTTTCATGGGACTTACATTCCAGAAGATGATGACGAACTACCTCATTTGATGACACAGACGTTTTAGATTTTAAACTTCTGTATAAATAAAATACAAGCAAAAGGAAAAATCCCTGAAAAACTTCAACAAATATAAGTGCTAATATCTCTTAACTATATAGAGTTTAAACAAATCAACAGAAAAGAATACTAAAACTCCACCCAACAGATAACTGGGCAAAGACCATAACCAGAAAGTGTACAGGAAGGGCCACAAGTAACTGGTTAATAAACACTAATTAGAATGCATAGCCATAAATCAATCAAACATATTAAAACAACTAATATGTTAAAAAACATATTAAAACAACAGTCATATTAAAACAAATCAAACATATTAAAAGAACATTTTTAAACTATCAAATTAATGAATATTTTAAAAATAACGATAAACAAGACATACAAATTTGGTGAAATGAGTATGCTCTTGATTGCTGAAGTTCTGTCAAAATTTATCAACAACCTGTACATAATCTTTAGTAAATCCCATTTGTGACAATCCTTAAAAAGTGATGCCCAAATTTAGGCCGGGCGCAGTGGCTCATGCCTGTAATCCCAGCATTTTGGGAGGCCGAGGCAGGTGGATCACGAGGTCAAGAGATCAAGACCATCCTGGCCAACATGGTGAAACCCCGTCTCTACTAAAAATACAAAAAATTAGCCAGGTGTGG
Source organism: Homo sapiens (assembly GCF_000001405.40). Lineage (NCBI taxonomy): Eukaryota > Metazoa > Chordata > Mammalia > Primates > Hominidae > Homo > Homo sapiens. The sequence continues at coordinate 47,113,899 of NC_000002.12, forward strand.
TGGCGGGCGCCTGTAGTCCCAGCTACTAGGGAGGCTGAGGCAGGAGAATGGCGTGAACCCAGGAGGCAGAGCTTGCAGTGAGCCGAGATCACTGCACTCCAGCCTGGGCGACAAAGTGAGACTTGTCTCAAAAAAAAAAACAAAAACAAAAACAAAAGTGATGCCCAAATTTAGAAAAGACTATGCATTGGGCTGAGTGTGGTGGCTCATGCCTGTAATCCTAGCACTTAGGGAGGCAGAGGCAGGAGGATAGCTTAAGCCCAGGTGTTCAAGACCTGTTTGGACAACATAGCAAGACCCCATTTTCAAAAAAACATAAAAATAAGCCAGGTGTGGTGGCTCATACCTGTAATCCCAGCACTTTGGAAGTCTGAGGTGGGCAGATCGCTTGAGGCCCGGAGTTCGAGACCAGCCTGGCCAACATGGTGAAATCCCATCTCTACTGAAAATACAAAAAAATTAGCCAGGCATGGTGGCAGGCGCCTATAATCTCAGCTACTCGGGATGTTGAGGCAAGAGAATAACTTGAACCCAGGAGGCAGAGGTTGCAGTGAGTCGAGATCACATGACTGCACTCCCGCCTGGGTGACACAGCAAGACTCTATCTCAAAAATAAAAATAAAATAATAAAAATAAAAGACTATGCATCGTCTTATCACAGCATTTGTTTTTTATCTGAGCATTGAGTACCAATATTCTTGCATGACAAAGTTGTGTATGTAATCAAAAGTTATAACACAAATTATCCAATGAACTGACCACTTATAAAATTATATTCTATTCAAATATCCCTTCCTGCAGACAGGTTCATGTCTTTGTGAGTCAGTTTCACTCCCTCATTCTTAAACGATCATCCAACAATACATTTTTTTATTTTTATTTTTTTTAAGACAGAGTCTTGCTCTGTCACCCAGGCTGGAGTGCAGTGGTACGATCTTGGCTCACTGAAACCTCCATCTTCCGGGTTCAAGCAATTCTCCTGCCTCAGCATCCTAAGTAGCTGGGACTACAGGCATGCTCCACCATGCCCAGCTAATTTTGGCATTTTTAGTAGAGACAGGGTCTCACCATGTTGCCCAGGCTGGTCTCGAACTCCTGATCTCAAGTGACCCACCTGCCTTGGCCTCCCAAAGTGCTGCGATTACAAGCATAAGCCACCATGCCTGGCCTATTTCTTTTCTTCTACAGCCTTTTGTTTTACCTGGAGTCAATTAGTGCCTCATTTTTTTTCACTTGCACATTTTGCTACATATATTTTCTTCATTTTTCCCCATCATATCAGCTGTTCTTGTGCCCCTTTTTCTTTTGAAACATTCCTTCTAGAGTTTCCTATTTTCTTTTTCTATTATATTGATTGGTTTCTCTTTCAGCTTGCTGCACAGTGGTCAACCTGGGACATTTCCTCACTACTCCTCTCCCAGATTGTATCTACTTTCTCCTGGGTCCCATGCCTTCCTCTTTCTGGATCTGCTCCTTTGTTTTGCTGTATTTATCACCAGCGGCATCTTTTAAAATGGTATTTGGGAGGTAATTTTTATGAGTTTTTGCATGTTGAAAGTCTTTGTTTTCACAATTCATTGTTAGTTTGGCTAAATATAGAATCCTAAGTTGAAAATAATGTTCCTGTTCTCATCTTTCTGAGGATGCTAATTGTATTTTTAAAAAATCTTCCCCTTCTATTCCCAGAGTTCTGTTTTCAACCAGGTTTCCATCCTTCTGTCTGTTTATCTCCATCTCTTGTTCACATTAAAGGCTTTTTTTTTTTTTTTTTTGAGACAGAGTCTCGCTGTGTCACCCAGGCTGGAGTGCAATGACGCGATCTCGGCTCACTGCAACCTCTGCCTCCTGGGTTCAAGCGATTCTTCTGTCTCAGCCTTCCTAGTTGCTGGGATTACAGGCGCACGCTGCCATGCACGACTAATTTTTTGTATTTTTATTAGAGACAGGGTTTCACCGTGTTCCCCAGGCTGGTCTTGAACTCCTGAGCTCAGGCAATCCACCTGCCTCGGGCTTCCAAATTGCTAGGATGACAGGCGTGAGCCACCAGGCCCGACCTAAAGGATTTTCTTACTTGCATGGTAGAAACTGTGGGTATGTGGCTAGGATATGTTGAGATCAGACAAGTGAATGGCAAACCCAGTCTTTTTCCTAGGGTTCCCTAAGTGTTGGGATATAGTGTTCTTTCCTCTGGGCTCATTGAGTTTTTCCAGAGGATAAACTCCACCAATCTTTTGCCCAAGGGGCCTATGTCCAGTGGCTGGCCTATGCTATGGTTTGAATGCGTCCCCTCCAAAATTCAGGCATTGTCAACGTGATAGTATTCAGAGGTGTGGACTTTAAGAGGTGATTAGGCCCCTAGGGCTCCCTGCAGATCTAAGGAATAGAAGGATATTCAAATTGCACAAAATAGCGGTTTATCCCACATAAACAGGAGCTCCATTTATTTAACATTCATTGTTGTAGAGTTTCTCTGAAACTATTCTATTTCACATTTATGTCAAAATTGCTCATCTTATAAGAATCGACAGACTTACGTATTTTACTAGTTAAACATCTGTGAAAATTCCCAACATAGCAACTCTGTAAATTTTATTTTTTCTTATTTTGTAGACGGTTTTACGGAATTGTCTTAAGGCTACTGTCTAAAAGCATAGCACACGTGTTCCATGCACTGAAAGAACAGTTAATAAGGACATAAGTGGGACACTGTCTCACATTTCTCCCTCTTTTCGGTTCCTTTTCTTTCTCTCAGATACCCTAATTCTTGTCTCATTTATGTTCCTGGGAGCATGGCGGAGAAGGGGAGAGAATCTGATAGGTCACTAATGCCTTAGTATGAACTTGATCAATATTTTCCTCATTTTGGGAGCTTATGCATTTAGAAGAGGACATGTGAAAAGGCAAAATCCTCCACAAAACATTTCTCAACAGTTAAATCAAGGGTGGTATATGTCAACTCTTGGGCTCTCATATCCTACCTGTGGAGTTTCAGGCATTGCTGCAGTGAGTGAGAAAGATATAAATACAAATTTCCCTTCCTGGGCCCCTCAACTAATGAATACCTTATGGAAAGGCTCTTGGACCCAAAAGCTGAGAGGACACCTAGCGCTTTGGTTTATTTGATTTTTGCTTAGGATGTAGGCTCCGAGAAATGGGTATGGGTGCCCCTTGCCTTAACCAAGCTTTCTCTTCACCCATGCCCTCTTCTCCTTCCTCTACCTAGGGTCGGGCACTTGCTGGGAAGCTTATCAAGCAAATGTATTGCTAAGTTTTGGAGGTGGCTGTTGGAACAAAGAAGATGCATGTGGTTTTTTGTTTTTGTTTTTTTGAGAAGGACTTTCGCTCTTGTTGCCCAGGCCAGAGTGCAATGGCACTATCTCAGCTCACTGCAACCTCCTCCTTCTGGGTTCAAGTGATTCTCCTGCCTCACCCTCCCGAGTAGCTGGGATTAGAGGCATGCACCACCACACCTGGCTAATTTTGTAATTTTAGTAGAGATGGGGTTTCTCCATGTTGGTCAGGCTGGTCTTGAACTCCTGACCTCAGGTGATCTGCCTGCCTCGGCCTCCTAAAGTGCTGGGATAACAGGCATGAGCCACCATGCCCGGCCCAACAGATAATGTTAAATTGAGTCATCAGTGTCTAATTTGGGGCGCCATGTTTCAAGTTCCCACATTAGCCAGACACACACCTTGTGAATCACAGACTCTCATTTAATATGTATAAGTTTGTGTGTGCTTGCGTGTATACACATTGGTTGGATAACTGACCTTAGACTATCCCTGCCCTGTTGAAGCACAAAGAGAGCATTGATAAAATGTCTCACTTGCCTTTGTATCAACAATGCCTACTTGGCATAGGGTGTCACACACATAAGCATCCAAAATGATTTCTGGAACAGATGAAAGAACTTGCATATGAACTCATTCTACTGCAAAGGGGTCAAGTGGGGAAACCTGGCCTCATGATCAAGCCTCAGTTATCAGGGGGAAGTTGTCACTTTAGAGATAGTACAACATATATATATATATATTTTTTTTTTAATAGAGATGAGGTCTTGCTCTGTTGCCCAGGCTGGTCTTGAACTCTTGGTCTCAAGGGGTCCTCCCACCTTGGCCTCCCAGCATGTTGGGATTATATGGTTAAGCCACTGCACCTGGTCTGACAGCACAATATTGACTACTTGGCTTTAGGTTTTAAGCGAGTTGCTTACGTCAGGGTCCCCAACCCCCAGGCTTCATAGGAGGAGGTGAGGGGTGGGCGAGCAAGGGAGTGAAGTTTCATCTGTATTTATAGCCACTCCCCATCACTCGCATTGCTGCCTGAGCTCCAGCTCCTATCAGATCAGCGGCAGCATTAGATTCTCATAGGAGCAGGAACCCTATTGTGAACCGCACATGCAAGGGATCTAGGTTGTGCACTCCTTATGAGAATCTAATGCCTGATGATCTGTCACTGTCTCCCATCACCCCCAGATGGGACTGTCTAGTTGCAGGAAAACAAGCTCAGGGCTCCCTCTGATTCTACATTATGGTGAGTTGTATAATTATTTCATTATATATTACAATGTAATGATAATAGAAATAAGGTGCACAATAATGTAATGCACTTGAATCATCCCGAAACCATTCCCCACTCCAACCCTGGTCCATGGAAAAACTGTCTTCTGTGAAACCAGTCCCTGGTGCCAAAAAGGTTGGGGACCGCTGCACTAAGTGGTAAGACAGCTCAAAGCCCAGCTTTTGAGGTCACCAAAAAACTAAGCCCTGACTCTATCTCTTAATAGTTGTGTGACCTTGAGCAATTAATGGCCACTTCCTGACCTGTCAAATAGAGATGATAAATTAATACTATCTCCCCAAGTTATGAGGATTACATGAGACAGTCTATGTCAGTCACTGAACATTGCACCTGGCACCAGAAGACACTAAACGGGTGGTAGTCAAGATCATTATCAAAGTTAACCCTACTACATGCTGTAGTTGATTTATAAAGTTTCTTCCAGTTTTAACAATCCTTCACACTTCCATAACTATGAAGCTAATTTTTAGAACAATTAAACTGAATGATAAAATCAACCAAATGAGTTTTCGTATAAAAGCTGAATGGCACATTATAATGTCCTAAGGATTACAGCATTTATCACACGAAGGTTTGAGACATTGTTCTCTCAGCAAACATTGCTTCTTTACCACACCCACACTGCACGCCACCATCTCCCACTGCTGGGATCAAAAGAGTTTCCTCTCTGCAGTTCACAAGTTTGTGGATCTAAACCAAATCCATAAGTCTGCTCTGGGAATGCATGTTTAAGACAGACATGAATCACAGCCCTGGGCTGTTACTTTGCCTTGGAACATTTTCCATAAAAGTATTCTTTTTACTTTTTCAAAGGACAGGATGTTCCAAATCAGTGAATCACTTTTATTTATAAAATGGAATGGATGAGGTGATATCAGTAAAAGTGGCAGAGTAAGCATCTCCCAAAATCTCCTCCATAAAAGCAATAGAACAATGGCAGAAATGGTCACAATCAACTACCTTCTGCTATTTCACATACCAAGTAGATTGTCCTGCCTGAATTATTTTTCAGTTGTTCTGTACTAATAGTAAACAAATCATTATTAACTCACAGCCTTCATTTAAAAGCATGCATTTCAAAGGAAATACAATATCATGCAGTGGAGAAAAAACTTGGTGTCCTAACTGCTTGCTTCCAAAGCCAACTGAACACATGCATTTATCTCCATTCTTTTCCCATCAAATAAAAAAAGACGTAACTATTGTAGAACAGACTAGGGGCTGCTCACCCAGTGCAGTAAGACCAGATACCTAAAGTGAGGTTTGTAGTAGAAAACGGGAAGGCATTTATTTGCAGGGCACCAAGCAAGGAGGGCCAGACAGCTAATGTTTAAGTCCTGACCTCCGCAGTGGCTTGCAGGTAAGAATTTTTAAGGGTAGGGCTAAATGTGGGGAAAGCAGACATTACAGGCAAAATTGTAAATTATATATGGAGGTTATACATTGGTTTTATTTAGCCTAAAAGGGTGACATTGCATGAACCAAGGGCTTACAGGTCATAGGTACATTTAAAGATTTTCTGATTTGCAGTTGGATAAAAAAGAGGCTTGGTTTAAAAATTGGGGGCCAGGCCAGGGGCGGTGGCTCATGCCTGTAATCCCAGCCCTTTGGGAGGCTAACGTGGGTGGATCACTTAAGGTCAGGAGGTCAAGATCAGCTTGGGCAATATGTTGAAACCCCTTCTCTACTAAAAATACAAAAATTAGCTGGGCGTGGTGGCCCACACCTGTAATCCCAGCTACTAGGGAGGCTGAGGCAGGAGAATCACTTGAACCCGGGAGGTGGAGGTTGCAGTGAGCCGAGATTGTGCCGCTGCACTCCAACGTGGGCGACAGAGTGAGACTCTGTCTCAAAAACAAAAACAAAAAACAAACAAACTGGGGACCAGCAGAAAAGAATGTTAGCTCTGGCTTGTGGGTGTGACTTTTTCCAGGTCCCACCTGAAAGAAATTTAGGATAAGAATGTGGTCCCAGCTATTCAGGAGGCTGAAGCAGGAGAATGGCGTGAACCTGGGAGGTGGAGCTTGCAGTGAGCTGAGATCACGCCACTGCACTCCAGCCTGGGCGAAAGAGCAAGACTCCGTCTCAAAAAAAAAAAAGAATGTGGTTAGAGTTTAGTCCCAGTTCCCCCTTATTTGACATCTATGGACCTGGCACATTCATTTGGTGGGGGTCCGGGTTTCAGTCATATGTTAAGAGGTCATAGGGGTAGCAAACATCCTGTGATTTTAGTGTTCTTGGCTATTGTTTTTGGCTACTGTTATCTTTTTTTTATTAAGTTATTTACTTCTCAGGGCTAGCTATCAATAGGTATCTGAAAAAATTTTTGAAGGAATTTAAAATATAAAAAACATTTATGTTTGGTGGGGCATCCAGGTCCCTAAGAGGGGGTTCCTGTTCTATCTCACCCTACCCCCGCAACACACAACTATACATACACATACACAAAGAGCCAAGAGAGAGACAGCAGTCAACATGAGAGAATGACATATTTTTGGAAGATGTGAAGCAGTTTGGAGGAATAGTAGCTGACCTGGCAGTGTAGAGAAGGCAGAAGCGTAAATCCTTGCAGAGGACTTGCGAAGGAGAAGCAAGCTGATTTGCTCCACAGAACACAAGAAAAGCTGGGGAATTTAAGGCATCAGGCACCTGTGCGGTGGGGGTGGGGGTAGATCTGAAAGCAGAAGGTCTGGTTGAATATTTTTACTTCAGGTCCGTCTCCCCTCACCCCTAGCTGTCAGGCAACTCCCCTTCCCATATCCCTACAGGAGACAGGGAGTTTAGTTCTGAGGGGACTGCACCACAGATCTGGACTCAGGAGCCCCAAGCACTGTGAGGATGTGGGCCTTTACTGAAAACTGGAATTAAGTGAACTTCTACACACTGAATGATGAGACCACAGGCCCCTCCCTCCACTCAGCTCCCAGAACACTGACAGCTGGCTTAAACCCCAGGCAGGAAGCTGATGAGTCGTTTTGAATCAACTGACATATCCTAGAAAAAAGACCTACAGATACGGATATTTATGGGCTATCAAAGGAAAAGCCAGGTCCTTATCCCACCCATCCAGTATGAAACCCACCTGGAGATAATCCCCACCTGTATTCATTCACTATGACTGCTATAACAAATTACTACAAATTCAGTGTCTTAAACAAACAAATTTATTCTCTCATAGTTCTAGGGTCTGAAGTCTGAGTCAGTTTCACTGGGCTAAAATTATATGTCAGCAGGGCCATGCTCCCTCCAGAGGATCTAAGGGAGAAGCTGTTCCTTACCTCTTTCAGCTTCTAGTGGCTGCCAGCATTTCTTGACTTGTGGCTGCACCACTGTAATCTTTGCTTCTATATTTGAATTGCCCTCTCCTCGTGTGTGTGTGTGTGTGTGTGTGTGTGTGTGTGTGTGTGTGTAATCTCATTCTTCCCCACCCTGGAGTACAGGATAATCTCCCCATCCCAAAATCCTTAGCCACATCTGCAAAATCTCTGCCATGTAAGGTAACATCCATAGATTCCAGGCATTAGGGCATAGACATATCTTTGGGGGCTATAATTTAGCCTTCTATACCACCCACATACAGAGAGCTTTCAATCAGCCTTTTAGTCTCTCACACACTTAAATGTTAGTGAGATCAAAAGATTTTTCACCTTGTAATCTGAATTTATTTATGAATTGTCTATTTATGTCCTTTATCTGTTTTACTTTTCTGTTGTTTTTCCTATAGATTGTTATGATAATTTTATAGATAATGCTATTAATCCTTTATCTGTTAGGAATGTTGAAAATACTTTTCCTAGTCTACATTTGCCTGTTAACTTTGTTTGCAGTTTGTTTTCTGATATACAAAGCATTTTTAATGTTATATAATCAAATCTAGTATTTATTTTCCTTTGAAATTTCTTCCATTGCTATTATCTCAGAAAGTTTGCTTATCCTTAGATATATACTAATATATTTTCTCCTGGTTTAATGGCTTCAAAAGTATCAAATTTTTTAATCAATATGAAATTTATTTTAATGTGTGCTATGAAGTGAGAATCTAACACCTTTTCCAAGTTATTTAATAATAAGTTACCTAACATATCTTTTCCTTTCCCTACTGACTTGTCATACCATCTTTATCAAATATAAAAATCTTGTATTAATAAAAAAATCTTGTATTAATATATTCTAGGATCTGTTTCTGAGCTCTGTTCAGTTTTCTCAATTTTTTTTTTTGCAGATGTTTGCTATGCGGTCTTTTTTGATCCTGAGTTTGTAACTACAAATAAATTATAGTGCATCAAACTATCCCAAAACAATTTTATATTTTATTTCTGTTTTTTGTTTGTTTGTCTGTTTGTTTTGTTTTTGTTTTTGTTTTTGAGTCTGAGTCTCACTCTATTGCCCAGGCTGGAGAGCAGTGGTGTGATCTTGGCTCACTGCAACCTCCGCCTCCCGGATTCAAGCCATTCTCCTGCCTCAGCCTCCTGAGTAGCTGGGATTACAGGCGCATGCCACCACGCCCAGCTAATTTTTGTATTTTTAGTAGAGACGGGGTTTCACCATGTTGGCCAGGTTGGTCTCAAACTCCTGACCTCAAATGATGCGCCTGCCTCAGCCTTCCAAAGTGCTGGGATTACAGGCGTGAGCCACTGTGCCCAGCCAATTTTATATTTTCTTATTCTTTCAGATGATTTATATAATTATTTATTTTTTTGACATCCTACTGACTAGCTATTTATCTAAAAGAGTTCATTTTTTATCATAACTCATGGTCATGCATTTGGAAATATTTAGAAATAGAAAAGCATTTTCATATCTTTAAAAGGAAAGAAACAGAGAGGTGCTTCCTTTTTGTTAATACCATGATCTATTGAATATCTCTAGCGATTTAATTAATTAATTCACCAAATACTATGTGCCAGTCACTTGCCTAGGTGCTAGGTATACAGGAAAGAAATCCCTGCCTTCATAAGCTTACGTTCTAGTGAGGGGGAAAGATAAAAACAGAGTAGATACATTTTAAAAGGTATTGTGTCTGACAGTTATGAATGCTATGAAGTAAAAAATAAACCAAGGAAGGGGACAGCAAATTTGAATAGGTGACTTGGGAAGACCTTCCTGAGAAAGTGGTATTTCAGTCAAGACCTAAAGAAAGTAAAGGAGCCGAACATTTTCTTCTACACTTTGCCACAAATTGGTTACTCATTTCTCGTATATCTTCAGATATACTTTATGTATATCTTAAATCAATTGCATTAGTCATTCAGAGCTTATCTACTATGATGAGCAAAATGTTAATCTTACTATAGCAAAAGGATTCATAGTATATTTTATTTTGAAAAATGTTTATGGCCACATAGTAGGTATATATATTTATGGAGTACATGAGATATTTTGATACAAGCATACAATGTGTAATAGTAACAGCAGGATAAATGGGGTATCCATCACCTCAAGCATTTATCATTTCTTTATGTTACAAACATGCCAATTATACTCTTATTTTTATTTTATTTATTTATTTATTTATTTTTTTGAGATGGAGTCTCACTCTGTTGCCCATTCTGGTGTGCAGTGGCGCGATCTCAGCTCACTGCAACCTCTGCCTCCCAGGTTCTAGCAATTCTCCTGCCTCAGCCTCCTGAGTAGCTGGGATTACAGGCGCATGCCACCACAGCTGGCTGATTTTTGTATTTTCAGTAGAGGTGGGGCTTCACCATGTTGGCCAGGCTGGTAGGCTGGTCTTGAACTCCTGACCTCAAATGATCCGCCTGCCTCCCAAAGTGCTGGGATTACAGGTGTGAGCCACCGTGCCCAGCCAATTTTTAAATGTACAATAAATTATTGTTGACTATAATCACCTGTTGTGCTATCAAATACTAGATCTTATCATTCTATCTAACTATATCTTTGTATCCATTAACCATCTCCACTTCCCCTTTCTCCATCCTCCACTACCCTTCTTAGTCTCTGGTATCCATCCTTCTACTCTCTATCTGCATGAGTTTGATTGTTTTATTAATAATTTTTAGCTCCTACAAATACATGAGAACATGCAAAGTTTGCCTTTCCGTGCATGGCTTATTTCACTTAACATAATGACCTCCAGTTCTGTTCATGTTATTGCAAATAGGAGGACCTCATTATTTCTTATGGCTGTGTAGTACTTTGTTGTGTATATGTACCACATTTTCTTTATCCATTCATCTGCTAATGTACACTAAGGTTGCTTCCAAATCTTGGTTATTGTGAACAGTGTGCTGCAACAAACACCAGATACCTCTTCAATATACTGATTTCTTTTCTTTTGGGTATATACCCAGCAGTGAGATTGCTGGATCATATGGTAGCTCTATGTTTACTTTCTTGAGGAACCTTTGTACTGTTCTTCGTGGTGGCTGTACTAATTTACATTCTCACCAACAGTGTACAAGGGTTCCCTTTTCTCCACATCCTCGCCAGCATTCACTATTGCCTGTATTTTGGATATAAGTCATTTAAACTGGGATGCAATGATATCTCATTGTAGTTTTGATTTGCATTTCTCTGATGATTAACGATGTTGAGCACCGTTTTATACACCTGTTGGCCATTTGTATGTCTTCTTTTGAGAAATGTCTATTCAGATCTTTTGCCTATTTTTTAAACAAATTATTAGATTTTTTTCCTATTGAGGTTGGGCATGGTGGCTCATGCCTGTAATTCCAGCACTTTGGGAGGCCAAGGTGGGCAGATCGCTTGAGCTCAGGAGTTCAAGACCAGCCTGGGCAACATGGCAAGAGCCCATTTCTACAAAAAAATACAAAAATTTGCTGGATGTGGTGGCATGCACCTGTAATCCCAGCTACTTGAGGGGCTGAGGGGAAGGATTGCTTACACTAGGGAGGTCGAGGCTGCAGTGAGCTGTGTTTGCATCACTGCACTTCAGCCTGGGTGAAAAAGCAAGACGCTGTCTCAAAAAAAAAGACCTTTTTCCTATTGAGTTGTTTGAGCTCTTTATATATTCTGGTTATTAATCCTTTGTCAGACGGATAGTTTGCAAATATTGTCCCCCATTATGTGGGTCGTCTCTTCACTTTGTTGATTGTTTCCTTTGTTGTGCAGAAACTTTTTAACTTGATGTGATCCCATTTACACATTTTTGCTTTGGTTGCCTGTGCTTGTGGGGTGTCACTCAAGAAATCTTTGCCCAGACCAATGTCCTGGAGTTTCCTCAATGTTTTGTTTTGATAATTTCATAGTTTGAGGTCTTAGATTTAATTTTTTTTTTTTTAACTAGAGACAGGGTCTCCCTATATTGCCCAGGCTGGTCTCGAATTCCTGGGCTCAAGGGATCCTCCTGCCTTGGCCTCCCAAAGTGCTAGGATTACAGACGTGAGCCACCATACCCAGCCAGATTTAAGTCTTTAATCCATTTTGATTTGATTTTTGTAAAATGGCAAGAGATAGGGTTCTAGTTTCATTCATCTTCATATGGATATCCAGTTTTCCTTGCACCATTTATTGAAGAGACTGTCCTTTCCCCAATGTGTATTCTTGGCACCTGTGTCAAAAATGAGTTCACTGTAGATATATGGATTTATTTCTGGGTTATCTATTCTGTTCCATTGGTCTCTATGTCTGTTTTTATGCTACTACCATACTGTTTTTGCTACAATAGCTCTGTAGTATAATTTGAAGTCAGGTAATATGATTCTTTCAGTTTTGTTCATTTTGCTCAGGATGACTTTGGCTATTCTGGGTCTTTTGTGGTTCCACGTTAAGTTTTAGGGTTCTTTCTTCTTTCTTTCCTTCCTCTTCTTTCTCTTCTTTCTCCTCTTCCTCCTCTTCCTCTTCTTCTTTCTTCTTTCTTCTTTCTCTCCTTCTCCTTCTTCTTCTTCAGACAGGGTCTTGTTCTGTTGCCCAGGCTGGACTGCAGTGGCACACACATGGCTCACTGCAGCCTTGACCTCCTGGGCTCGAGTGATCCTCCCACCTTAGCCTCGCTGAGTAACTGGGACCACAGGTGCATGCCATCATGCCCAGGTAATTTTTAAATTTTTTGTAGAGATGGAGTCTCTCTATGTTGCCTAGGCTGGTCTTGAACTGCTGGACTCAAGCAATCCTCCTGCCTCAGCCTCCCAAAGTGCTGAGATTATAGGCATGAGCCACTGCACCTGGCCTCAGATGATTTCTTGTTGCTCATTAATGTCCTTTCCTTTCAGAATTTGAAGAACTCCTTTTAGCGTTTCTTGTAGGACAGGTCTGGTGTTGAAATGCCTTAGCTTTGGTTGTCTGGGAAAGTATTTATCCTTCACATTTTAAGGATTTTTTACTGAATATACTATTCCAGGATAAGTTTTTTTCTTTCGGCACTTTAAATATGTCATGCCACTCACTCCTGGTCTATAAGGTTTCCACTGAGAAGTCTGCTGTCAGATGTATTGGTGCTCCATTGTATGTTATTTACTTCTTTCCTCTTGTGCTTTAGGATCCTTTCTTTGTGCTTGATTTTTGGGAGTTTGATTATTAATGTCTTGAGGTGGTCTTATTTGGGTTAAATATGCTTAGTGTTCTATAACCTTCTTGTACTTCAATATTTCTATTTTTCTCTAGGTTTGGAACGGTCCCTGTTATTATCCCTTTGAATAAACTTTCTACTTCAATCTCTCTCTCTATCTCTTTAAGGCCAATAACTCTTAGATTTGCCGTTTTGAGGCTATTTTATAGATTTTGTAAGCATGCTTCATTCTTTTTTCTTTTGTCTCCTTTGACTGTATTTTCAAATAGCTTGTCTTCAAGCTAATTCTTTTTTTTTTTTTTTTTTTTTTTTTTTTTTTTTTGAGACAGAGTCTTACTCTGTTGCCCAGGCTGGAGCGCAGCAGCACAATCTTGGCTCACTGCAAGCTCCGCCTCCCAGGTTCAAGCGATTCTCATGCCTCAGCCTCTCAAGTAGCAGGGATTACAGGTGTGCACCACCACACTCAGATGCTTTTTGTATTTTTAGTAGAGACAAGCTTTTGCCATGTTGGCCAGACTGGTCTTGAAGTCTTGGCCTCAAGCCGTCTGCCTGCCTCAGCCTCCCAAAGTGCTGGGATTACAGGCATGAGCCACTGCACCCCATCCAAGCTCACAAATTCTTTCTTCTGTTTGATCAGTTCTGCTATTGGGAGACTCTGATGTATTCTTCAGCATGTCAATTGAATTTTTCAGCTCCAGAGTATCTGCTTGATTTTTTAAAATTATTTTGATTTGTTTGCTAAATTTATCTGATAGAATTCTGAATTCATTCTCTGTGTCATCTTAAATTTTGTTGCACTTTGTCAAAACAGCTATTTTGAGGTGTCTGTCTGAAAGGTCACATATCTGTGTCACTCTGGGATTGATCACTCGTGCTTTATTTAATTCGATTGGTGAGGTTGTGTTTTACTAGATGGTCTTGATACCTGTATATGTTTGCCGATGTCTGGGCATTGTAGAGTTAGGTGTTTATTGTAGTCTTTGCAGCTGGTCTTGTTTGTACCTGTCCTTCTTGGGAAGGCTCTCCAAGTATTCAAAGGGAATTAAGTGCTGTAATCTGTCTTTGGTCACCGTAGCTGTGTCTGCATTAGAGGGCACCCCAAGCCTAGTAATTGCTGTGATTCTGGTAGACTTGTAGAGGTAATGCCTTGGTAGTCTTGGATAAGATCTGAGCGAGTTCCCTGGATTACCAGGCAGAGACTCTGGTTCTCTTCCCTTCCCTTCCCCCAAACAAACGAAGTCTCTCTTTGTGCTGAGATGCCTAAAGCTGAGGGACGGGTGACACAAGCACCTCTATGGCCAATATCCCTGGGACTGCACTGGGTCAGAGCCAGCATGGTACTGGGTCTCACCCAAGGGCTGCAGTAACTACCGCCTAGCTACTGCCCATGTTCACTCAAGGCCCAAAGGCTCTTCCCTTCAAGGCAGCATGCTGCCCCCTGGGCCAAGTGCAGATCAGAAATACCATCTGGGAGCCAGGGCCTGGAGTCAGGAAACTTAGGAATTTATTGGGTACTCTATACTACTGCAGCTAAGCTGGCACCCAAGCCAGAAGACAAAGTTTTTCCACTCGTCCCTCCCCTCTCCTCAAGCAGAAAGAATCTCTCTATGCCACTCAGGCCTGTAGCAAGTACTGCCTGGATACCACTAATGTTCACTCAAGGCTCTTCAGTCAGCTTGTGAGGAAGGCTGCCAGGCCTGGGTCTCTCCCTTCAGGGCAGTGGGCTCCCCTCTGGCCCAGTGGGAGTCCAGAAATGACATCCAGGAGCCAATGCCTGGAATTGGGAACCCCAGGAGCCTGCTTGGTGCTCCACTTCACTGTGGCCGAACTGGTACCCAAGCTGCAAGACAAAATCCCCTTTACTCCTCCCTCTCCTTTCCTCAAGCAGGAGTCTCTCTCTGTGACCACTGTAGCTGGGAAAGTGCTGGATCACACCTGAAGCAGCACAGCACTGGCTAAGGCCTGCAGTGAGTGTTGTCTGGCCACTGCTGGTGTTTATTCGAAGCCCAAGGGCTCTTTAGTCAGTAGGTGATGAATCTTGCCAGAACTGGGTCCTTCTCTTTAAGGCAGTGGATTCTCTTCCAGCCAGAGATGTGTCTAGAAATGTTGTCTGGGAGCTAGGGCCTGGTATGGGGGCCTCAGGACTCTGCCTGAGGTGCCCTATTCTGCTGTGGCTGAGCTGGTATCCAGATTCAAGACAAGTCCTCTTTACTCTCCCCTCTCCTCCTCTCAAGCAAAAGGAAGGCCTCTCTCTTGAAGCTGCAAGCTGTGCTGCCTGGGGCTGGGGGATGGCTGCTACAAGCACTCCTTTGGCTGCCCCAGCTGGTGTCTCACTAGGTCTTGTGTACCCTAAGTCCACTGCCTCTGAGCCCAGCAGAGCACCTGAACTTGCCCAGGAACTGCAGTCCTTGTGGCCGAGACTGCCTTTCAAGCTTATTTAGGACCTCAGAGCACTTCAGCCCACAGTGGTAGGGAGAGCTGGAACTCAGTATCGAACGGCTGGGATGGGCAATTCCTGGCTGGCTAGTGCTGGTCTAAATGCTCCCTCCATGGGCACTAGCTGAATTCTGTCCTGTGTTGCTTTCCCTGTTACAGGCAGCACGGTGTTCCCGTGCAAAGTCCCCCCGTCACGGCATTCCCTCTTCCCCAAGGGCAGATTCTCTCTTCATGCCACGTGGCTGCTGCCAGGGGATGGGGGAGGGTAGTGTCAGTAATTCAAGACTGTCTTTTCTACCCTACCCTCTTCAGTGCCTCTTTCCTTGATACAATGTTAAAACCTGGTATTGCGATCCCACACTTGCTTTTTGGTTCTTACAGAGGTGTTTTCTTGTGTGGATAATTGTGTGGATAATGGTGTTCCTGCTAGGGGGAACGATCACTGGAGGGTTCTATGTGGCCACCTTGCTCCACTCCAGAAAGCACAGCGTATTTTAAACATCAAATTCATCATGAGTTAACTGTCTACATTATACTTACGGGAATAAAATAGGTTGTTGGGAATCTTTGAACTGTTGAGCGAAATACACAGCTCCTATATTTCAAAATAAAAAAGAAAAGTGATTTTCTAAATCTATTTTTTAAAGATCTTTGTTAACTTATTCCCTACCTTTCATTAAATATTTTAAAATGTTAATTTGCATATGAGGTGCATAAATGAGGTTTAAAAGCCAGGAGTATTGGCGTGTAGGTATGTAAACAGAAAGGCAGCTTATTTAATAAGTATATAATTACCTGGAAGCATATTTGGGAACTGGTGCAGGAAGCACGTTGTATTGCCCCGGAGAAAGCTGAAGTGACTGCACAGAATGGACAAGGACACCAATAGATTAATAGAGGTTGTAAACTCACTTCGTTATCTGTCATTCGTAATCTTTTATTTTATGACCATACAACATTGGATAATTCCTTCTTTACTTTAATAGTGGAAAAGGAAAATGTACATTTCCAAAGGTGGAGCTTCAAAACATTTAACATAGATTCGGTCTTCATGGTGAATTTTATAGACAGCATACCTGAGATGCTGCATAGGAAAATGTCAAATTGATCACAGTTTTTCTTTTTATTTTTTTGAGATGGAGTCTCGCTCTGTCGCCCAGGCTGGAGTGCAGTGGCGTGATTTCCGCTCGCTGCAGCCTCCGCCTCCCCAGTTCAAGCAATTCTCTGCCTCACCCTCCCGAGTAGCTGGGATTAGAGGTGCACACCACCACGCCCAGCTAATTTTTGTATTTTTAGTAGAGACAGGGTTTCACCATGTTGGCCAGGCTGGTCTTGAACTCCTGGCCTCAAGTGATCCACCTGCCTCAGCCTCCCAAAGTACTGGGATTACAGGCATGAACTACCGTGCCCAGCCACATTTTTTTTTCTTTTTTTGAGATAGGTTCTCTGTTATCCAGGCTGGAGAATGATATGGCATGAACATAATTCACTGCAGCTTCAAACTCTTGGGCTCAAGTGCTCCTCCCACCTCCACATCCCAAGTAGCTGAGACTTCAGGTGTGTGCCACTGCACCCAGCTACTTTTTTATTTTTTGTAGAGACAGGATCTCACTATGTTGCCCGGGCTGGTCTTGAACTCCTGGGCTCAAGCAATCCTCCTGCCTCAGCCTCCCAAAGTGCTGGGATTACAGGTGTGAGCCACTGTACCTGACCTGATCACATCTTATTTTTATTTATTTATTTAGGGACAAAGTCTCACTCTGTTGCCCACGGTGGAGTGCAGTGGCGTGATCACAGCTCACTGAAGCCTCGACATCCCAGGCTCAAGTGATCCTCCCACCTCAGTCTCCCAAATAGCTGGGACCACAGATGCGCACCACCATACCTGGCTAATTTTCTTGGTCTTAATAGAGACAAACTCTCACTATGTTGCCCAAGCTGGTCTCAAACACCTGAGCTCAAGCAATCCACCCAGTTTGGCCTCCCAAAGTGCTGGGATTACAGATGTGAGTCACTATGTCCAGCCGTGATCACACTTTAAATATTCTAGATTCAACAAATCAATTCAGCCATTTAGTGAGCCTGCTCTGGGGTAAAGCGCAGCACTAGTACTAGGGAATACAGTGGTTAAGAGAGCTACGGTCCCTGACCAGCAGGAGTGAGAGGCACCTACAGAAACAATCCTAACATAAACCACTGTCATCAGTGCTAAAAGACAGATTGAAGATATGGGGGTAGGAAGAGATTAAATCCAACTGGGTGACCTCAAGATGACAAAGATGATGAGATTTGAGGGAGGCTTTTAAGAAAGGCAGGACTTCCTCAAGGAGCTCAAGCAAGGGTCTTCCAAGAAAGAGAGGCCTCACATCTAACACTATTTCCATCAGGAAATTGTTGCAAACAACCCGGGTGGCTCCATTGCCCCTGGGTCTAGGGACATTAGCCCACAGTTATGATATAAGAATGTCAGGAACTGGTTAAAATAGACAGGAGAGGCTTAATGCCTGTAATCCCAACACTTCGGGAAGCCGAGGCATGTGGATTGCTTGAGGTCAGAAGTTCAAGACCAGCCTGACCAACATGGCAAAACCCTGTCTCTACTAAACATACAATGATTAGCCAGGCGTGGTGGTGGGCACCTGTAATCCCAGCTACTTGGGAAGCTGAGGCACGAGAATCACTTGAACCTGGGAGGCGGGGGTTGCAGTGAGCCAAGATCGTGCCACTGGACTCCAGCCTGGGAAACAGAGCGAGACTCACTCTGAAAAAAAAAAAAAAATAGGAAGATATGTGAAGGAAGGTAGGGAAAGAAGGAAGGAGAATGAGAAGCCAGGAGGAGAAGATCATCCAGACATCCAGAGCTGGCAGGGAGGAGGGGAAGAGTTATATTATAAAATCCTAGGACCTGAAGTGAATAATCCCCTCCACTCCCTATTATTTTTATGTCAGATTTTAAGAAACAATACCGCTTTTGTTAAAAAGGCATCTACCTCCCAGCACTCGCTGGCACATGGAAGTTCACTACTATATTTCACCCTGCAGCTGTCTTTCCCATATTAGTACACAACTTTGATTGCAGAAGCAGCTTTTTGTGGATAGAGTGATGATAACAGTCAATACAAATTTAATGGTGAAATATATGCATTTTCCTGATGCACCTGTGCTGCTTGAGTGCTCACTTGACATCATAAACACCAAGGAAACAAAGGTATTCTTGTGTCATTCTTGTGTCTTATAGAAGCACAGAAACACAATTTGAACTGGGCATTCCTGGGGGCCAGCAATGTCCTATTTCCTGATTCTGATGACAATTACGTGGATGTTTGCTTTCTGTTTTTAAAATGTGCATATTTGCTTTATGCTTCTTTCTCTCTCTCTCTCGCACATACACAGATATAAACAGGAGACAAAAAAAGAAAACTGAAAAGGGGAAAAAACCTCTTAAAGCAGTCATTTATTTATCTATACTGAGCAATCCATGTAAGATTTCCATAATGAAGTGCTCATGGAAAAACTATTAGCATTACTCTGGAAAGGAATATTGGTTACCTGTAACATCTATATTTGTCCTACTATACTTGGCATTTACCATTCTTTGCTACTTAACGTAATTGAAAGGGGGCTTTTTTTTCATAAAGTGTTGAATAGTCAGCTGCTTTATGTAGGAGACTGTTTTCCTGTTCATTGCTAAACTTGGTTCCATTTTCCTTGGGTCTAATGGTATATATATGTGCATATATATATTTCTAACTCCAACATATGCTTCTCAGTTCTTTTTTTTTTTTGAGACAGGGCCTTGCTCTGTCACCCAGGCTGGAATGCAGTGGCGCAACCATAGCTCACTGCGCTTCAACCTCCCAGGCTCAAGCGATCCTCCTGCCTCAGCCTTCTGACTACCTGGGACTATAGGCATGTGCAACCACACCTAGCTATTTTTTAAAATTATTGTAGAGTTGAGATCTCACTATGTTGCCAGGGCTGGTCTCAAACTCTTGGGCTCAAGCGATCCTCCCACCACAGCTTCCCTAAGTGCTCAGATTATAGGTGTGAGCCAACATGCCTGGCCAGTTCTTCGTTTTTAAGGCTTAGAGAATCTAGGCAAGATGCCAGTAAAAATATCTGATTCTCACTAATTAATGTTTCAATCCATGCTGATTAGGCACTCAAATCTTTTTTTTTTTTTTTTTTTTTTTTGAGACTGAGTTTGGCTCTTGTCGCCCAGGCTGGAGTGCAATGGCGCAATCTCGGCTCACCACAACCTCTGCCTCCCGGGTTCAAGTGATTCTCCTGCCTCAGCCTCCTGAGTAGCTGGGATTACAGGCATGCACCACCACGTCTGGCTAATTTTGTATTTTTAGTAGAGACAGGGCTTCTCCATGTTGGTCACGCTGGTCTCAAATGCCCGACCTCAGGTGATCCACCCGCTTTGGCCTCCCAAAGTGCTGGGATTATAGACATGAGACACAGCGCCCGGCCAGGCACTCAAATCTTATGAGAGCTTGAATGTGGCAGGATGGTATTAGTATGGATATATAATTCAGTTATGTTGCACCAAACACCATCAATGTCAGAAAACTGAAATAATGTGAAAAAAGCCAACCCTACTTACTAAGCTCTTGGTGTGACTACATATACACATACATATACATATACATATACATATACTTGACTTTATTTAGAACAGTTTTAGGGTCATAGCAAAATTGCAAGGAAAGAGATTTCCATATACTCTTTGCTCCCACACATGCGTAACCTCCATTATCATCATGCCACACTAAAAAGGTACAGACGAACCTACACTGGCACATCATTATCACTCAAAGTCCATATGTTACATTAGACCTCACTCTTGGTGTTGTACTTTCAAGGGTTTTGATGAATGTGCAATGACATGTATCCACTATTATAGTATCACAGAGTGGTTTCACTGCCCTAAAAATCCTGTGTTCTCCCTAATTATCCCTCCCTCCCCTCAACCCCTGACAACCACTGATCTTTTTATAGTCTCCATAGTTTTGCCTTTTCCAGAATGTCATAGAGGTGGAATCATACCATATGCAGCCTTTTCAGATTGGCTTCTTTCACTTCGTGATATGCATTTATGTTTCCTCCATGTCTTGTTATGGCTTCATAGCTCATTTCTTTTTAGTGCTGAATAATATTCCATTGTCTGGATGTACCACAGTTTATTTATCCATTCATCTACTTAGCAACATCTTTGTTGCTTCCAAATGTGGGCAATTATGAATAAAGCTGCTATAAACATCCATGTGCAGGCTTTTGGGTGGGTGTAAGCTTTCAAGTCCTGTGGGTAAATACTATGGAGCACAACTGCTGGATCTTATGTAAGAGTATGTTTAGTTTTTTAAAAAACGGCCAAACTGTCTTCCAAAGTGGCTATACCATTTTGCATTCTCACTAGCAATGAATGAGAGTTCCTGTTGCTCCACATCCTTGCCAGCTTTGATGTTGTCAGTGTTCTGGATTGGGGCCATTTCATATTTGTGTAGTATCTCATTGTCTTAATTTGCATTTCCCTGATGACATATGATGTGAAACGTTTTTTCATATGCTTTTTTGACATCTGTATGTCTTCTTTGGAGAGGTGTATATTAAGGAGTTTGGCCAATTGTTTAATTGAGTTGTTTTCTTATTGCTGGGTTTTCAGAGTTCTTTGTATATTTTGGTCAACAGTTCTTTCTCAGATATATCTTTTGCAAATATATTCTCAGTTAGTCACTTGTCTTTTCATTCTCTTCAGTGTCTTT
The DNA here is from genome assembly GCF_000001405.40 of Homo sapiens. Classification (NCBI taxonomy): domain Eukaryota; kingdom Metazoa; phylum Chordata; class Mammalia; order Primates; family Hominidae; genus Homo; species Homo sapiens. The sequence continues at coordinate 47,135,169 of NC_000002.12, forward strand.
TGCTGAGCAGAAAATTTTAGTTCCAAAGAAATCCAATTTATTAATTATTTCTTTCATGGATCATGCTTTTGGTGTAGGATCTAAACTCAAAGTCGTCTAGATTTTCTTATGTTACCTTCTAGAAGTTGTATAGTCTTGCTTTTTACATTTAAGTTTTGTAATCAACTTTGAGTTCATTTTGTGAAGGGTTTAAGGTCTGTGTCTAGATTCTTTTCCTCTTTTTTATTTTTATTTTGGAGGAAGAGTCTCACTCTGTCACCCAGGCTGGAGTGCAGTGGGGTAATTTCAGCTCACTGCAACCTGCACCTCCCAGGTTCAAACGATTCTCCTGCTTCAGCCTCCCAAGTAGCTAGGATTACAGGCACCCGCCACCACGTCTGGCTAATTTTTATATTTTCAGTAGAGATGGGGTTTCACTATATTGGCCAGGCTGGTCTTGAACTCATGACCTCAAGTGATCCATCTGCCTCGGCCTCCCAAAGTGCTAGGATTACAGGCATGAACCACCACGCCCAGCCTCTTCTTTTTTGAATGTGGATATCCAGTTGTTCCAGCACCATTTGTTGAAAAAACTATCTTTTCTTTGTTGTATTGACTCTGCTCCTTTGTCAAAATTCAGTTGACTATATTTTTGTGTGTCTATTTCTGTATTCTCTATTCTGTTCCATTGATCTATTTGTCTATTCTTTGCCAATATAATACTCTCTAGATTACTGTAGCTTTTAAGTAGGCCTTGAAGTCAGGTAGTGTCAGTCCTCTAACTTTGCTATTCTCCTTCATCATTGTGTTGGCTATTCTAGGTTTTTGCCTTTCCATATATACTTTAGACTGTTTGTTGATAGCCACAAAATAACATTCTCTAATTATTATTGGGATTGCATGGAATTTAAAGATCAAATTGGGAAGAACTGACATCTTGACAATATTGATCTTCCTATCCACGGGAAATCTCTTCATTTATTGAGTTCTTCTTTGATTTCTTTCTTTTTTTTTTGAGACAGAGTTTCACTCTTGTTGCCCAGGCTGGAGGGAAATGGCGCAATCTCAGCTCACTGCAACCTCTGCCTCCCAGGTTCAAGCGATTGTCCTGCCTCAGCTTCCCGAGTAGCTGGGGTTATGGGCGCCTGCCACCATGCCCAGCTAATTTTTTGTATTTTTCAGTAGAGACGGGGTTTCACTATGTTGGCCAGGCTGGTCTCAAACTCCTGACCTCAGGTGATGCACCCGCTTTGGCCTCCCAAAGTGCTGGGATTACAGGCATGAGCCACCACGCCCAGCCAAGTTCTTCTTTGATTTCTTTCATCAGTTTGTTGTTTTCCTCATTTAGATCGTGTACATATTTTGTTAGATTTATACCTAAGTATGTCATCTTTCGGCGTCCTAATGTGAAGTCATTATATATGTGTGTGTTCTTGACCTTACCAGTAATATTTTATTTTATAATGCAAATAATCCTTCTATCATCATGAGTTTTGACACACGTAGTTTGAGAAGGAAGAGAAGTAAATTCATTTCATCTAATCTTACAATTTCTAGCCAAATGTTTGGTCAATGGAAGAGAGAGAAAGGCATGCTTTTTGAAAGCATGTGTTTTAAAATTCAAATTCCACTTTTTCATTGCTGGTATATATACCAGTATATAGAAAAGTAATCGACTTTTGTATATTAACCTTTATCCTGCAAACTTGCTATAATTTGTTACTAGTTTCAGGAATTTTTGTTGATTCTTTTGGATTTTCTACATAGGCAATCATGTTATCTGTGAACAAGGCAGTTCTTTTTCTTCCTTCCCAATCAGTATACCTTTTATTTCCTTTTGTTGTCTTGTTCCATTAGCTGTAACTTCCACTACAATGTTGAAAAGGAATGGTGAGAGAGGACATCCTTGCCTTTTTCCTGATCTTAGTGGGAAAGCTTCTAGTTTCTCACCATTAAGTATGATGCTAGCTGTAGGTTTTTTGTAGATACTCTTTATCAAATTGAGGAAGTTCCTATTTCTAGTTTACTGAGAATTATTTTCATAAATGGATGTTGAATTTTCTCAAATGCTTTTTCTGCATCTATTGACATGATTATGTGACTTTTCTTTTTTAGCTGTTGATGTGATAGATTATTTGATTTTTAAAATATTGAGCCAGCATTGCATACCTGGGATAAATCTCACTTGGTTGCGATGTATAATTTTTTAATACATTGTTAGACTTAATTTGCTATCATTTTGTTGAGGATTTTTACAACTATGTTCATGAGACATATTGGTCTGTAGTTTTCGTTTTTTGTAATGTCTTTGTCTGGTTTTGGTATTATGATGACACTGGCCTAATAGAATGAGTTAGGAGGTGTGTCCCCTGCCCTCTATCTTCTGAAAGGGATTAGTAAAGAATTGGCATAATTCCTTCCTTAAATATTTGATAGAATTCACCTGTGAACGCATCTGGGCCTAGCAATGTCTATTTTGAAAAGTTATAATCACTGATTCAATTTAATAGATATAGGCCTATTCAGACTCTATTTCTTTTCATGTCAGTTGTGGAAAATTCTGTCTTTCAAGTAATTGGTTCATTTTATCTAGGTAATCAAATTTGTGGAAATAGGGTTATTCAGAATATTCCTTTACTGTCCTTTTTAATGTCAATAGGATCTGTAGTGATGTCTCCTCTTTTGTGTCTAATATTAGTCATTTGTGTTTTCTCTCTTTTTTCTTAGTTAGCCTAGATAGATGCTTATCAATTTTATTATCTTTTCAAAGAATCAGCTCTGAGTTCCTTGATTTTCTCTATTGATTTTCTGTTTTCAATTTCATTGACTTCTGCTCTAATTTTTATTATTTCTTTTCTTTCACTTACTTTGGATTTAATTTACTCTTCTTTTTCTGGTTTCCTAAGGTGCAGACTTACATGATTAATTTTTGGTTTTTCTTCTTTTCTAATACATGCATTCAATACTATAAATTTCCCTCTAAGCATTGCTTTTGCTACATCCCACAAATTTTGTTAAATTTTGTTTTCACTTCCACTTAGTTCAAAGTATTTTAACATTTCTCTTCAGACATTTTTCTAACAACACAGATCCATGTGTTATTTAGAAGTGTGTTGTTTAATCTCCACATATTTTGGGGTTTTCTAGTTATCTTTGTGTTATTGATTTGTAGTTTAATTCAGTTTAATTCCATTGTGGTCTGAGAGCAGACATTGTATAATTTCTATTCCTTTAAATTTGTTAAGGTTTTTTTTTTTTTTTGGAGATGGAGTCTTACTCTGTCACCCAGGCTATAGTGCAGTGGTGTGATCTCGGCTCACTGCAACCTCCACCTCCTGGGTTCAAGTGAGTCTCCTGCCTCAGCCTCCCAAGTAGCTGGAATTACAGGCACCCGCCACCATGCCTGGTTAATTTGTTTTTTTAGATGGAGTCTTGCTCTGTTGCCAGGCTGGAGTGTAGTGCCATGATCTCAGCTCACTGCAACCTCTGACTCCCTGGTTCAAGAGATTCTCCTGTCTCAGCCTCCCAAGTAGCTGGGATTACAGGAACGTGCCACCACACCCAGCTAATTTTTGTATTTTTAGTAGAGACGGGGTTTCACCATGTTGGCCAGGATAGTCTCGATCTCTTGACCTTGTGATCTGCCTGCCTAGGCTTCCCAAAGTGCTGGGATTACAGGCATGAGCCACTGCACCTGGCCAATTATTTTGTATTTTTAGTAGAGACGGGGTTTCACCATGTTGGCCAGGCTGGTCTTGAACTCCTGACCTCAAGTGATCCACCTGCCTTGGCCTCCCAATGTGCTGGGATTACAGGTGTGAGCCACCGCTGCCAGCCCTGTTAAGGTATGTTTTATGGCTCAGAATGTGATCTCTCTTGGTGAATGTTCCATGTGAGCTGGAGGAAATGTGTATTCTGCTGTTTTTGGATGAGGCAGTCTATAGACATAAATTATATCCTGTTGATTAAATGGTGCTGTTGAGTTCAACTATGTACTGACTGATTTTCTGCCTGCTGTATTTGTCCATTTCTGATAGAGGGGTATTTATACTGAAGTCATCTATTTCTCCTTGCAGTTCTATTAGTTATTGCCTCACATATTTTGACGATCTGTTGTTAGGCACATACACATTGCCAAATATAATTATATCTTCTTGTAGAGTTGACTCCTTTATTAAGTAATGCCCCTCTTCATCCCTGATAACACTTATTGCTTTGATGTCTGCTCTGTTTGAAACTAATATAGCTTCTCCTGCTTTATTTTTTTTTTTTCAATTTGAGAGCAGGTACTGTTTATTAACTGACCAGATTAGAAAAATAATCATGGTAGACACCTTAGTTCATTCTTCTAATAAGCCTGTTGATCTGGTCCCCCCTGTTGCCAGCATCTCCACCTTCTACAAAATGGGTGGTCTTTTTCTTCATTCCATCTCATGGAAAGGATAATTTGAAGGGTCACAGGAAGTTATTTGCTTCTTTGAAGAATTTTCCAACAGTATAGATCTCACGAATCAGATCCTCCACGCAGATGATGCCATATTTACCAAGAGATCAAAAGTGGGTTTCTTGTAGACAACATACAAGATTATGCTCTGACAATTTTGATTAACTCCGACAATCTGTCTTTTAATTGGTGTAGTTAGACCAATTAGAGTTTGCATAGTATATCTTTCTCCACCCATTTACTTCTAAATCTCAGCCCACTGCACCCTCCGCCTCCTGGGTTCAAGCAATTCTCCTGCCTCAGCCGCCTAAGTAGCTGGGACTACAGGCGCCCACCATCACACCCGGCTAATTTTTGTATTTTTAGTAGAGATGGGGTTTCATTCTGTTGGCCAGGCTGGTCTCAAACTCCTGACCCTGTGATCCGCCCGCCTCAGCCTCCCGAAGTGCTGGGATTACAAGCGTGAGCCACAGCACCCAGCTGCAGTATCAGTCTTTTTCATGAGTCTCTACCTCTCTCTGGTATAGACTCATGAAAATCTGTGACCATCTGTACTGTGAATTTCACAAGATTTTCTCAGCTACCTCCTCACCCTTAGGTGGCACAGGATGACTAAAGCTGGCTGGAGTTGGGTATTGCCCTTCCCTCAGGTCAGTTAGGTCCTGATTGAATAGTTTCTCCTGAGGGCAGGCCTTGTTAGTAAGAGAGTGCCTGACATATTTCAAAATGGTTCCTTTTCCTCTCCTCTGCCAGCAGCAGGGGCAGGATTTCTCTCTGTAAGAACCTGGGAGAGCTCCTGCAGGTAAACCTCAAAACACGTGAGGCACCCCCTATGATTAGGTCCTCCTGGAGCTTTTAACTCTCAGATTTGCCAACACTTAGCCTCCAGCAATTCTTCAGTTGTAGTTCAGGTGTTCCTACCCCAGCCATGGTTCCTGCAGAAGTTGGTATTTTCTGCCCTGGTAAATTGTAATTCTCTGTATCCTCCTGGCCATCTCTCCAATTTTGGGGATAGTCTGCCCTGTGACCTCACTTCTCTTACAAGTCTAAAATAATTGTTGATTTTTCAGTTTGTTTAGCTTTTAACTTGTTGTTAGGATGGAACTTCAACTTCCAAGCTATTTACATGCAGAACTGGAAACTGGAAGTCAGCGTGACACCATTTTGAGAACCCAGACCCATAAATAGGTGGGTCAGAAGGCAACAGATTTCTAATAGGATTTCTACACCTTTAGAATCCCTATTAGAATAATCATAAGGTGAATGCAGCCAGAAGGCTGGCAGGTACCATATTTCCAGGTACTTTTTTTTTTTTCTTTTTAAGACAGGGTCTCACTCTATCGGGGAGGCGGTGGTGTGATCTCGGCTCACTGCACCCTCCACCTTCCAGATTCAAGCGACTGTCCCGCCTTAGCCTCCCGAGTAGCTGTGACTACAGGTGTGTACCACCACGGCCAGCTAATTTCTGTATTTTTAGTAGAGATGGGGTTTCACCATATTGGCTAGGCTGGTCTCGAACTCCTAACCTCAAGTGATCTGCCCCCCTCGGCCTCCCAAAGTGCTGGGATTACAGGCATGAGCCACCGCTCCCAGCCATTTCCAGGTCTTGATAGAAATTTCTTTAAGTGTCTCTTCTCTCTCAGAAGTAAAGCCTCTTGTGTCATATGGAAACATTACTGACTCACTGCTCAGATTTCTTTAAGGTCTGAGAAATAAACAACATGGGACTTTCTCAAAAAAAAAAAAAAAAGAAGAAAGAAAGAAAACATATCCAATGATACTAATGATATCCTTAATTTCACCAATATCTTGTAATTTTCACTGAGAACTACAAGTGAGTGTCATCCCTGAGATAAATTCTCTGTATCCAGCTTTCAAACTTCACTTTTGTTTGCCACACTCTTGACATATTTTAAGTGACAATCACTGCATTACTTTGCAGGGGCTCTTTGAGAAGTCCTGCCTCAAAAAAAAAAAAAAAATCTGCTAAATAAGCCGCTTGACTAACCACTTTGAGTGCTACTTTTTTTCATTTAAGTGAAGAATGAATTGTTTCATCTTTGCTACATTATGCTCTTTGTTATCCCCACATTTAACTCTTGGGTTCTCAGAGTGACTGGCACCCTTCCTATGGTTTATAGCTATATAGTAGTGCAACTGTTCAAAATCAACACACACTTCAGGTCTAAAATGAGTGTTCAGATCACTGCTGTTGTTTGTTGTTTTCTAAGTAAAATTTATCATTTTACCACTTTAGTGAACACACTGAACACCTGGGGGAGGGCTGTACATTCGGCGGGAGGATTCTCTGGGGATGCTGTGTGGCTACTGAAGGATCTAGGATGCCCCACTCTGATGTTCACCATTACTGCTGCAGTGTGGCTGGTCAGCCCTTCTGTGGGCACAAACTTTGGTTGATACCATGCTCAAGGAAAACCATCCTGTTGAAAATCCCTTCAGTAGTCATTTTACCATGGAGCATTCTGCAAATTAATCTATTTTCAGAGATATCCTCATCACAGCTATAAACACAGCTAGCAAAGATCAGTGAGTTAACTGCCAGATTTTTCAACCTCTCTCTCAACTAGTTCAAGGATGTATTTTGAACATATTCAAATGGATCCTTTGATTCATTCTCTAATTTAATGGGGCGCCTTTCTAGCCTGGCTACCTCTTTTTGACCAAAAAAAAAGATACAGGGGCAGGGAGGGAATAGAATTGCCAAATTTGTTTCATTTTCCATGAGCTCCATCTTCCAAGGCAATGCTAAAGCTAACCTTTAAATTGAAATTTCAAATTTCAAATTTCATTTGCTTAACTGTGATTTTCATTGAAATGTTCCCAACCTAGGAAATAAATAAGAGAATTTTTTTAAAATGGAACATTTTAAGAAAGAAAACAAGAGAACAAAAATGTTAGTTGGAAAAAATTTCGAGTTACTTACAAATGGGCATGATTGAAAGAGTATCATTTACACATTGAAAACAATATCAACAGAAAGAAAAAAATTAATAGTCTCCTTGCTCCCTATCTAACCTCTACTTTCCAAATGGAAACCACTGTTGGTGATTATGAAAGTATTTCTCAGGGGAAAAAAGTATGCATTTAACATCACATATATGTACATTTGTTTTCATGTATACAAATGGGATTATACTCTAAATATTGACTTGTACCTTCATTTTTTTTCATGTAGTAACAACTTAGAGATGCTTCCATATCAACACATATAGATTTATCTCATCTTTTTTTTTTTTTTTTTTTTTTTTGAGACAGAGTTTTGCTCTTGTTGCGCAGGCTGGAGTGCAGTGGCGCGATCTTGGCTCACAGCAACCTCCACCTCCTGGGTTCATCTCCTGCCTTAGCCTCCCGAGTAGCTGGGATTACAGGCGCCTGCCACCACACATGGCTAATTTTTTTGTATTTTTAGTAGAGATGGGATTTCACTATTTTGGCCAGGCTGGTCTTAGGTGATCTGCCTGCCTCGGCCTCCCAAACTGCTGGGATTACAGGCGTAAGCCACCGCACCCGGCCAACCTCAACATTTGTAATGGTTGCACAGTATGTCATTTGTATGGGTGTATCATTTTCTAACTGGCATTGCTGAGTTTAAGGCTATGTGCATTTAGAATGTTGCTAGGTTGCCAAATTGCCCTCCAAAATATTTGCACCAGTTTGTATTCATATAAACAACGTGTGAGAGTATCTGTTTGTGTATCTCCTTTGCCAATATTGGGTATCAATGTACAGTACTTATATAGTTGATCACCTGATAGGCGAAAATTGTGCCTCACTATTATTCCTCTGTAATTATTTATTAGTTGAAGCCAAGCATCACTTTCTTTTTTAGTAATTGGTGTGTCTCTTTGTGAATTGCCAGCTCATGCCCTTTGCTCATTTTTTTTTTTTTTTGAGACAGATTCTCGCTCTGTCGCCCAGGCTGGAGTGCAGTGATGTGATCTTGGCTCACTGCAAGCTCCGCCTCCTGGGTTCACGCCATTCTCCTGCCTCAGCCTCCCGAATAGCTGGGACTATAGGCGTGCGCCACCACGCCCGGCTAATTTTTTTTTGTATTTTTAGTAGAGTCAGGGTTTCACCGTGTTAGCCATGATGGTCTCGATCTCCTGACCTCATGATCCGCCTGCCTCGGCCTCCCAAAGTGCTGGGATTACAGGTGTGAGCCACCGTGTCTGGCCACCCTTTGCTCATTTTTAACCGGAATATTTATTACAATTGGATTGTAAAAGACCATGACTCATTTTCACCATTTGATACAGGTGATAAAGCCAGTTAGTGATCAGCACTTTCTGGAAACTCCCTTGCATCTTCACAGTGGTAATACTCTACATTTTTTTGCATTGACTGACCTTGTTCAGTAATGATTCACTGGCTACAGGCTGAGACAGCATCACCATCTTCTCCCTGTCCCACTAACTGTAGATAGATTCTGGAACCATGTTCTGACTGGCACAGTTTAAACTGACTTCAGGTTGTCCTGAAGTTACCCTAGCATGTTGATTTCAAGCTTATACTTTAAAATCCTCCATTTAAGTCACTAGATCCATGTTTCTAGTTGAAAATATAAATGATGCATTTCAAATGGTAATGGACTTCTACTCTGCAAGGTAGACTTGCAGAATAGGACAACCTTTCTCTAGGACTTTGGACAATGCATCTCGAAAGACACAGACTTCAACATATCCTTTCCTTAACAATTCCACTCTATGACTAACCACAGGGGATGGCTGAATATATTAGGATATGTCCATATACAAGAAAACTATGCAGCTATTAAAAATGTTGTATAGACTGGACATGGTGGCTCACACTTGTCATCTCAGCACTTGGGGAGGCTGAGGCAGGAGGAGGACTGCTTGAGTCCAGGAGTTTAAAACCAGCCTGGGTAACATAGTAAGACCCTGACTCTAGAAAATAAATAAATGAACAAATGTATAAATACACAAAAATAAATGATGTGTAAAGAATACATGAAAAAGATTAATAATATATTTCTAAAAAGAAGAAATTCTGGTTTCTGCAAATGACATGCTAGGTTATTTATTCGGGCGATTAACCTTCCCACTGCTGACCACTAGAAATGAAAGATAAAATATTAAAAAAAAACAAACAAAAGAGTTTTTTTGTTTTTTGTTTTTTGAGATGAAGTCTTGCTCTGTCGCCCAGGCTGGAGTGCAGTGGCGCAACCTCGGCTCACTGCAACCTCCGCCTCCCAGGTTCAAACGATTCTCCTGCCTCAGCCTCCCAAGTAGCTGGGACTACAGGTGCGTGCCACCATGCCTGGCTAATTTTTTGTATTTTCAGTAGAGATGGGGTTTCACTGTGTTAGCCAGGAAGGTCTTGATCTCTTGACCTCGTGATCCGCCCGCCTTGGCCTCCCAAAGTGCTGGGATTACAGGCGTGAGCCACCGTGCCCAGCCACAGAAGAGTTTTTAAAAAGATATGGAATTGCCAACAATATAGTAGGAAATTACATGATCCTAAACTAAAAGACAGCAAGAAGCCAAGGAGGTAAGTGGCTTAATTTTGTCTAGAGAATGTTTGCTGGTCCAGACTAAATTCAACAGAACACAGCTGAGTTTAAAGGAACTTCAGAGCCCTGGAAGAATCCAGGGGTCAAAGTCTGGGCCTATTCATGATAAAGGGAGGAAGGAGTCTAATGGAAGATACCCACTGGAATTTGAGACCCTAGAAAGGTACTTCCTGAAAGTAAACTCTCCCACCTCACTCCACTGCCAAGGGGACTGCAGAGAGTTGCCTAAGCAAGAACTGAGAGGGAGAAGAAACCCGTCCCTGAGAGATTATAACCATGGGCTGTCCCTTTCATGAATTCCAGCCCAAATTCACAATGCTAGGGTGATCCAAGAAGACATAAACACTGCATTTTGAGTTGTACCAGACTGGTGGCTCCCCTATATATTAACAGAAGCCAAAGCAAACCTTAGGCCTTGGGGAATTCACAAAAATACATTTTCAAGAGTAACGAGCAATACACAGTTAAAGACAATCACATACACATAAGAAAACAAAATGAGTAAGGCCCAGTCAGATTTCAGGTATTTGAGTAATCATTAATTCATTCACAGGTTCAACCAATATTAATCATCAGACACTGTTCTAGACAGAGATATAATAATGAGCAAAACAGATAAATATTCATGTCCTCATGAAGTTCCATTCATGGGAGAAGGCACATTAACAAATAATCAATGTAAAGTGCAAGTAAATTATATAGTACACTTGATAGCTATAGATGCCAAGAAAAAAATATAAGAGCCAGGTAGGGAAGATCTGAAGCGTTGAATAGTAAATTTAAATGGGGCTCATTGAGAACATGACACTTGAACAAAGACTTGAAGAAGGATAGAGAGTAGGCCATCCAGATATCTTGGATAAGAGTATCCCAGAAAAAGGGTACAGTGAAAATACCTTGAGGTAGGAGTGTGAGTGCTAAGTTCAAGATACAGCCAAAAGGACAAGTGGGTCAGGAAGAGAGTGACAGGGAGTAGTAAGACAAAGTCAAGAATGAAGCCAGTTCACAATATCCCTGCTGGCCTTGAGAAAAGCCACTCAGAGATCACACTCACTATCATACCGCTTTAACCTAGTGGTTCTGAACCAGGAGCACGGCAACGTCTGGAGACATTTTTGGTTGTTACAACTGGAAAAGTAGATTGCTAATGATACTTAATGAGTAGAGGCCAGGTGCTACAATGCACAGAACAGCCCCCCGCCCCACCCAACCACAACAAAGATTTATCCTGCCCAAAACGTCAGCAGTGCCAAGCTTGACAAAACCAGGATTAGACATACAGATGTATAAATCAAAAAGGGAATTGGCCGCAATGGCTCACTCCTGTAATCTCAGCACTTTGGGAGGCCAAGGCAGGAGGACCACTTGAGCCCAGGAGTTTGAGACCAGCCTGGGCAACATAGTGGGACCCCATCTCTACTGAAAAAAAAAAAAAAAGGAATTGGATATACAAGTTTGGAATTCAAGAAAACTATCTAGGTGGCAGATACAAATTTGGTAATCACCAACAAATACATGGTGTTCATAGCCTTGAGTGAGACTGGATGAGATCACCATTCAGAGAATGAGCAGAGATGGAGCAGAGGTCTGAGTGCTTGGGGCACTCCAAGATGGAGATGAGGGAAGAGCAGAGATGGCAAAAAATGGCTGAGAAGAAAAACCAAAAATGAGGATAGGGGAGGAAGTGTAGGAGGTTTGAAAAGAGGGGAGAGTGGCTGGGTGCGTGACTCATGCCTGTAATCTCAGCACTTTGGGGGGATGAGGCAGGAGGATCGCTGGAGCTGAGGAGTTTGAGACCAGCCTGGGCAACATAATGAGACCGCCTCTTCTAAAAATTTAAAAAATTAGCCAGGCATGGTGGCTGGTGCGTGCTTATAGTCCCAGCTATTCAGGAAGCTAAGGGGGAGGATTGCTTGAGCCTGGGGAATCGAGGCTGCAGTGAGCTATGATTGTGCCACTGTACTGTAGCCTCGGTGACAGTGTCTTAAATAAATAAATAAATAGGATATACAAGATAAAACCACCCAGGAGAATGGCAAAGTAAACAGACTAGAGAAGTCCATTCAGTGCCCATCAGAGGTGAAGAATTTAGCATGAGAGCAGTCATGCAGCTACATGGATGCAGGTATTAATACAAAGAGAGACGTACCCAGGGTTGTGGCTTTGCCAAACAAGTAAAAGATGAGCAGTTAGGGGCAAGGGAATTGACAGTGTATGCAGGGAATAACTATAATGATTAACTATGGGATTGGAGCTTTGCAAGGAAGAAGGGAGTTGAGAGGTAGCGAAAAGGTGGGACAATCAATAGATTAGGATTGTAGCCTGCAGGGAATGGAAAAATTGTTAGGGTTGGGATATTAGAGAGTGGGATTCATGTAGAGATTGTAGAGAGTTGAAATTCTTGGTCTTGAAAAACATCTAAGGAGTGAGTGGCTGAGGTAGCAGAAAGTTCAAGAAACTGAGAAGCCAGGTTGTTGAAAGATCATCTATGTGTGTGTTGAAATTATGATATGAGTAGTGAAAAGAGTGACAGTGAGGGAAGGGGGCTAATATCAAGGAATAAGGGGAGTAACCCAGGGGTCAGTGGAGGACTACAACACTAGGGGAAATAGCAGGTCATAAAATTGTACATATGGAGAAGGTGGTCCCGTTTGTGTACATATATTCTACAATGTGAATATACTATTTATCTGTTAAGAAAAAGGTTATTAGAAAAATTACAGAGCTACCTCAAATCTCCTTTGAAAAGGGCCAAATATAGATAAGTATATGCATGCACACACACACACATTCAAATATGTATATACATATTCCTTTTTTTTTTTTTGAGACCGGGTCTTGCTCTGTCGCCCAGGCTGGAGGGCAGTGGCACAATCTCAACTCACTGTACCCTCTACCTCCCGGGTTCAAGCAATTCTCGTGCCTCAGCCTACCAAGTAGCTGGGATTACAGGCCTGTGCCACAATGCCCAGCTAATTTTTGTATTTTTCTTATAGTAGAGATGGGGTTTCACCATGCTGTCTCGAACTCCTGGCCTCAAGTGATCCACCTGCCTCGGCCTCCCAAAGTGCTGGGATTACAGGTGTGAGCCACTGCACATAGCCCCTATATATATATGCCTAATAAGACTGTTCAGTACGGGTGAAAGGGTTGAAAAACTAACTATTGGGTACTAATAGTTAGCCACTCAGCACTTGGGTGATGGGATCAATCGTACCCCAAACCTCAGCATCATGGAATATACACGGGTAACAAACCTGCACATGTAGACCCTGAATCTAAAATAAAAGTTGAAAAAAAAATAGAAAGTCTCTCCAATACAGATTCTCGAGTTGAGTTACATGCCTCAGAATAAAGATACTAAAAATAGTGAAAACTTTATTTATTTATTTATTTATATTATTATACTTTAAGTTCTAGGGTACATGTGCACAATGTGCAGGTTTGTTACATATGTATACATGTGCCATGTTGGTGTGCTGCACCCGTGAACTCGTCATTTACATTAGGTATATCTCCTAATGCTATCCCTCTCCACTCCCCCAACTCCACGACAGGCTCCTGTGTGTGATGTTCCCCTTCCTGTGTCCAAGTGTTCTCATTGTTCAGTTCCCACCTATGAGTGAGAACATGTGGTGTTTGGTTTTTTGTCCTTGCGATAGTTTACTGAGAATGATGGTTTCCAGCTTCATCCATGTCCCTACAAAAGACATGAACTCATCCTTTTTTATGGCTGCATAGTATTCCTGAAAACTTTATTACAAATAAAAAGCAGCCACTGAAAGATATAAAATGAATATTCTGTGAAAAATTATAAAATTTGAGAATGCTATTCTAGCTTAATGTATAACAATAATACATACTATATCTACCCCAAATTCAAAGTATTCTGAGTTCTGCTATTAAAACAGAATTTTGAATTTTACTGGTGACTAAACAATGTTTATGTTTCCCCTTGTGAATATATATATCTTTGAAATAGAAAATTAGAAAAACACTGAATTTTTCCAGTTTCTAGAGTTTAATCCTTTGTGGGAGGTGGAGAGGAAAGAAGAAAGAAACAGAAAAACTATGTTTTCAGAAGGTTTTATCCATCCTTCCGAGTAAGCCTAATTCTTTTGGTCTTTAAAAACTTTAAGTATTGTGTAACTCCATCCTTGTACGTTTTCTCCTTTCAACACTGGGCCTTTGGCTGATTTTCAGGGACTTGTAAAAGCGAGAAGAGAGGAAGCAGAAAAGAAAATGGCAGAAGAGAGTAAGAAAGACTTTGCATTTGAGATAGCCAGAACAATTTCACACATAGCCTGGTTATCTGGTAGCAAGCCATAAAGGTGCTAGTATAATTTAGAGTTTGTATGCATCCACTGAAGCAAACAGGATAAGATATACCTAATGAACACTTATCATTCTGTTCTGTTTCAAAGCTACAATTTGTAAAGTAGTAGAAAGTTTGGATTTGACATGTGTTCATCCTGCTGAAAATTTTGTGTCCACTTTAGTAATTACAACCCCTTGTACTTAATTCAACCTTCAGCTGCAATACATTTCTCTCAGGTTATCACAATAATATTCTGATGAAGTTATGAAGATTGATACTGTTATTAGCTTATTTATAAATGGGAAATATTAATGCAGAGAGAACTGAGACAAGTACCCAAAGTCCCAAGTAACAAAGTCCAAGTCACAACTCTTATCCCTTGAACAGACCACGTTCCTGCCACTTCCATGCCTTCAACAATGCTGTACTCCTCCCTCGGAATACCTCCTTTGGATTCCATCTACCCAAACCCTGCCCCTCATTCAAGGCGAGGGGCACATGGTAGACTGGAAAGAGGACTAAATTTTGGTGCAGAAGCCCTCAGTAAAAAGTGCTGCTTCACCTACTTAAGTATTAGCAATGTGCCTTTGGACAAGTTATTTAGTCTCTACTCACCTTAGTTTTCTTGCATGTAAAATGGAGTTAATATCTGTTCTATTTCAGAATGCTTAAGAAGGAAGCAACTAAGAGAATATACATGGAAGCCCATAGTAAACCATTAAGAGCCACATAAAAGACATGTATTAGTGAAGGTCCAGTTAAGTTCTACGTAAGCCACGGAGCTTTCCAGCCTTTTAATCCAGCCTCCTTTGGCACTTGAACTCTCCTTTGGCATTTCCAGCTCCACTATTTATCTGAGCACTTGATAAACTCTGTCCTGTATTGTTGCTTAAATACCTCTGGGTCAGGAACATCTTCCTTCCGCAGAGCCTAGTGCAGGGCTGTGAGCTCAGTAGTGCTCTTTATTATCAATGCTACAAATGAACTGGTGGAGCTGAGAGTAGAAGCTGACCCTCCTGGGACCACATGCTCACTTCTTTTCTTTTTTTTTTTAATTAAAAAAAATATTTTTAGAGACAGCATGTCACTCTGTCACCCAGGCTGGGGTACAGTCATATAATCATAGCTCACTGCAGCCTCAAACTCCCAGGCTCAAGGGATCCTCCTGCCCTGGCTTCCCAAGTAGCTATTTTTTTTTTTTTTTTAAAGAGTTGAGGGCTTGTTATATTGCCCGGGCTGATCTACAACACCTGGCCTCAAGTGATCCTCCCACCTCAGCTTCCAGAGTAGTTGGGACCACAGGCATGCACTACTACACCCGGCTATTTTTCTTTATTTTTTGTAGAGATGGGTCATTTCTATAAGAAAAGTTTTTAAAAGCTTCCCTGTGGTATGTAGTTATATTTATGCTCTAATAAGGATACTCCCCGAGAGGCAGGGTTTTCTCTTTAAAAGAAGAGGGTTCACCACATATACTGCTTGAAGAGATAAGAGCATAGCCCAATGACAGATAAGATCCCAGGTGCTCTCCAGGCTAGGGGAATCCCACCAAGAGTTGCCCAAGAGGAAAACATTTCTCCCCATGTACTCCCCTTAGGTTAAGAAGATGTTATAGGGAAAAATCTTACTGGAAACATTTGCAAATCAGGCAGTCCTTGTTTGATTTCTACGGGAAATAAGACATCTTAAAGGTTTTCCATTTCTCCTGGGGGAAGATATACTCTACGTATAAAAATACTTTCCTCAGGGGCTCTTAGTAGCTTTCCCACACAAAGCAATCTGCCAGTAGCGCTTTACCTGATCTTTGTCAACTAGTGTGCTGGGGCTTGGCCGTGGTTTGTCTTTGAATGAGTAAGTAGCCACTTGCTTCTTTAACAGGTCCAGGAAGTCAGGAGGCATATACTGCGGAAGATCATTTAGGACTGGATTGTTTCTTTGCACAAGAGGTGGCTTTTTCCTTCCTTCGTTTTTAAAATTGTAGGTTGCTATCACTGGATTTAATAGGGATTCTTCAATAAAAGTTTTCAAGTGGTAAGTGCCAGGTATAGGAGTATCCTGTGGAAAATTGACATCAGTTTTAAGATTGTGTAAACATGTAACTTCTCCTAAAACACCATTCTTGGATGGGAAGCTCCCAAGTAACATCTCTCTTTGTTTTCAAGTTTAATGAAATTATATCAAATACAGTAAACACTCTTGACAGAAGAGTATTTCAAAATCATGATTATTTCCTTTCTGAAATAATTGCTGAATTAAAGCAAACGGGTTAGAGTTGAAATTTAACTTTTTTTTTTTTTTGAGACAGAGTCCCACTCTGTCACCCAGGCTGGAGTGCAGTGGCACAATCTAGGCTCACTGCAAGCTCCGCCTCCCAGGTTCATGCCATTCTCCTGCCTCAGCCTCCCAAGTAGCTGGGACTACAGGCATCAGCCACTACGCCCGGCTAGTTTTTTGTTTTGTTTTTTTTTTTTTTTTTGTATTTTTAGTAGAGACAGGGTTTCACTGTGTTAGCCAGGATGGTCTAGATCTCCTGACCTTGTGATCCGCCCGCCTTGGCATCCCAAAGTGCTGGGATTACAGGCGTGAGCCACCAGGCCCGGCCGAAATTTAAGTTTTTAAAAGGCAACTTCGGTGATTCAACTTTGGGATTCAAGCTTGACTATGAATTTCAGACCTCTAGTGAGACCACTCAGGATAGTCTCTTGGCTAACTAGAAGCTATCCTACATCTGCTTAGCCAATGTAGGATGTTTCTCTCTAGCCCTCAAGTGGGAAGCTGAAGGATAATGACATGACACCAGGATAAACTGGCAGAGCATATGGCCTAGTTAGTCCAATAAGAGGTTTGGTACTTTCAAATTACAACCAGTGTGGCTGAATGGCCAGAATTGAACGTTTAGTCACTGCTGCTTTTGTGGCCATCTTTCCACTGAGCACTCAGCTCAGTTCTGCCTTTAAAATTACTGCAATTCCAAGAAGGCTTTGACCCATGAAGTCCCTCTATTATTGAAGGGCATTGACAGAAAATATGTCTGTAATATAGAAACTCTCTGGTGAGGGGGATCTTCTGGTCATTTTTCTTCCATATATTACCATTTTGCTTTCATATATTGACCATATTAAGAACCATTTGCAGAAGGTCTTTACCATATAAGATAAAAACTGAAACCAAAACACCTTTCCAGAATGTATGCTTTTTTTGTTTTGCAATCTCACCCAGATCATAAGAGCATAGGTTAGCCTTATCTAGATATTCTGTAAAGCACCTAGATTTCTAGAATTGTTTAACTTTCCCAAGCTTCTATTGCATTCAAAATTAAAAGTTAGTTTCTTATTCATATGCTGACACTAAAATTTTAAGTATGACATGAGGTCCATGCAGATCTGAACAATCACTGTTTTCTTACAATTTAGTGTTAGTCTTAAAAGCTATAATTGATTAAAATATTAATGGAATAGGAATAATGTGAATAGGAAAGACTGAACAATGTACATACTGTTAATGCTATTCTCCACCATCCTTCTCTTTCAAAAGAGGAAGTCTTTTGGGCTGGTTTCTGTTAACAAACACAAAGTATGCTTATTCATTTGAGAGGTGATCCCTTGAAATTAAATATAATTTATAAAACATTTGCTTGAAGAAATTCACACCCATACCCAACTGATATGTCTTCATTAAAATAAAAGCTACATAATAATAAATTTGCCCATATTTCCTTAAATTGTTATTTTATGGTCTTAAGTCCTTTCAAATAACTAAATTCCCTTTGATAAAATTAGAGTAATAAACACCCCCATCTCACAGAGATGTTGTAAGTATCTTAAATGTGACAAAATGTGGTGTCCTTAGGAAGAAAAGAGTTAGGCTTGAAGCCAGACCGACTTAGGCTGGAACTCAGCTCTGCCACTTACCAGCTAGGTGCACTGGGTGAGTTACCCAACCCTCGTGCTTCCTCACAGTAGTATAAAAATAAGGCACTACCAGAGTTGGCATGAGAATAAAGCATTGTATGCCAGATGTGGTGGCTCACGCCTGTAATCTCAGCACTTTGGGAGGCCAAGTTGGGTGGATCTCTTGAGGCCAGGAGTTTAAGACCAGCCTGGCCAACATGTTGAAACCCTATCTGTACTAAAAATACAAAAACATTAGCTGGGCATGGTGGCACATGCCTGTAATCCCTCCTCAGAAGGCTGTAATCCCTACTCATGAGGCTGAGGCACGAGAATCACTTGAACTCCGTAGGCAGAGGTTGCAGTGGGCCGAGATCACATCACTGCAACTCCAGCCTGGGCGACAAAGCAAGAAGCCACCTCAGGGGGAAAAAAAAGACTAAGGCATTGTACTTATAAAGACTTGCATATACAATCAGTGCTTAATAAATGGTAGCTTTAATTTTTAACATCCCATTTGCCAAGTTAAGAAGCTGATTATTTTGGTATTCCTCAGTTTCCAAGGAAGCTTTTGTCTTCATATTTAGTACTCTATACCCATTCATCCATTATTATTTCATATTTATTTCAGCCCATTGTCCACAGAACACAACCGTTTAGTATATTGCTGTTTGTCCTAGATAAAATCATTAAAATGTTGAGTTCTCCTTTCATTTATAATGCCTTTATTACTATAAAATATAGGTCATCAAGCAGGACTGCATTAAAAGTAATAATCAGTAAAACTGATATAATTCATTCTTCCTGTCTAGTAACTTAAATCTACTGTACTTATGAGTACCACTGGGCTTTATTTTATTATGAAATATGTTAATTTCTTTAAAAAACATTTTCTCATGACACTGCTAAAGCTGAGCTTCTTCTTTGATACTTCTTCGCGAGATTTATGTTGAATCTTCTCTGTTGCACTTTTATAGTCACAGAAATACAACTTTCTCAGGCAGGTCAAGACAGGCCTCCCACCCCTACCCCAGAATAAGGAAAATGAGATGGGAAGGAGAGAGAAGTAAACGCGATCAATCTAATGGAAGACAATTGGCAGCTGCTGTTTTGTTTTGCCCAAGACAGGTGATCTAAATTCCATCTATCTACCACTTTAAATTCACTCTAAGGGGAAAGATAAAAGATTAGGTTAAACAACCCTCACCCACATTTATTTTAAAATGTAACAAAGGCCAGCCATGGCGGTGCATGCCTGTAATCCCAGCTACGCGGGAGGCTGAGGCAGGAGAATCCCTTGAACCCGGGAGGCGGAGGTTGCAGTGAGCCGAGATCACACCGCTGCACTCCTGCCTGGGTGACAGAGCGAGACTCTAAAAGAAAAACGTAGCAAAAGTAGCTTCAAATATTTTTATAAATATTAAAGTAGGAGGCGGAGCAAAACGTGTCTAGTAAAACTACAGAAGGAAAAACCCAGTCTTCCGGCAGATGGAGCGGAAAGGGAAAGAAATCCAATCACCATATTAAAGCAGTTGTCCAGTTTAATTAGTAGTGGGAAGAAGGGAAAAATACAGAAAACAAAGGGCGAAGGAGAAGGAAAAGGGAAGAAGCAAGGGGAAAAGAAATAAAACAAAGGAAATGTCCAATAAAGACCAGGAAGGAAGGTCCGCAGGTGGAGACGTGCGTGAGGGCAGGGAGAGAAGGGTAGGAAGAGGGAACGAGAGCGGCACGAAGGCCTGGGATTAGAGAGCGGTGGGAAAAGGGTAGTGGGCCTGGTGAGGGGAGCAGGAGCCAGGCCGGCAAGGGGCAGGCCATCTTACCGAAGCTGTGATGAATGATTCTCCACCCACCAGGTCTTCCCTTATTGAGGTGGAAGCGGTGGCGACGGCTGGCTGGTCCATGGTGGCCTCCTCTCTCTCTAGGCTGAACCTGAGCTCCGGTTGCTAGGAGGCGGGTGTGGCCCGTGGGCTCCCGAGCGCGCGCGCCTGGGACCGCTCCGGGGGACCCGCCAGGTTTGTCTTTAGTGCTGCAGGGAAGGGAAGCGGGCACGCACTTTGAGGTCCCGCGCGAAGAACTGCGCAGAGGAAAACCCTCGAAAAGAGACGGTTATGAAAGCTTGTGAGAAGAAAATCTAGAGGGCTCTGGAGTTGCTAGAGAGCCCTCGGGTAAGGATCTGCGAAAAGGGAGGCTTGTTAAGGGCTTGAGCGTACCCACAATCTCCATTAGTTCCCTTCCAATCCACCACCAATCGCACACCCCAGACAGGGAGGCAGTGTGCTTGGTAGGCATACTTAAGAGAAATCTGCCTTAGCACCCACTTTCTAAGATTGTTTCTAAGCTCCTCCAAATAGAAACTCTGGGGCTGACTTCTCTTGCTTCTGACTTGCAGAGTGGAGTGAGCACCAGACACAGCCGGTTTCACTAGCTGTGAAACCACAGACCACCCCATTCTTCTCAGTATAGACCCTTTTTATTGTCAGCCTCTCTAGGCTGTAGCTTCTTCTTAACCTAGGAACATTCTCACCTTTAAAAACAAACCCTCCACAACCTTAATTTCATTTTATACAGTACCTACTGTATTCCAGGGACTTCACACACATTAGTCTCATTTAATCTTCATACCAACCCTACAAAGTAGGTATTAGTTTCATTTTCTGGATGAGGAAACAAAGGTTTCCTTGGACGTTTAGCACAGTTCACTCAGCATCACACACAAATGGCAGAACCAGAATTAAAATCCAGACCTGACTCTAGAGCTCCACTGCCCTATACCATGAAGTTTCTGCTTCCCTTTACAAACTTTCAAGAGTAATATGGACTCTTTTCTCACTTCCCATACTTTCCTTAAAACATCTTAATCTGGCCTGCACACAGCTTTTAATTAAAATTGCACCTGAACTCACCAGGGATCCAAGTGCCAAATCCAGTGGGGATTTTCAGCTCTTATGAAACTTGGCCTTCAATTTTCATTGCTGCATTGATTATTCCCTCATTCTTGAATCACTCTCCTCCCTTGACTACCAGGACTTGGACGCTGGTTGCATATAATGACTTATTCTGTGCTTATTTCCTTGTCTATAGAGAAGGGGATAATAAAATTGGTACCTATCCACATAGGTTATAAAAAAGATTAACTCGAACTGTTCACAACCATGTCTGGCACAGTGCAGTCAGTAAATGTGAGCTGTCATTACCTTTAGGACAAAAGCAACATTTACAATCCAGTCTCTCGCTTCTCTCTTTTTTTTTGAAACGAAGTCTCACTCTGTTGCCCAGGCTGGAGTGCAGTGGCGCGATCTCACTACAACCTCGGCCGCCCGCCACCATGCCAGCTAATTTTTGTATTTTTAGTAGAGACGGGGTTTCACCATATTTGTCAGGCTGGTCTCGAACTCCTGACCTCATGATCCACCCACCTCGGTCCCCCAAAGTGTTGGGATTACAGGTTGAGCCACCACACCCGGCCACTTCTCTTATTAGGATGGCATGCTCTGCTGTATCATGCTTGCAAAAACCCCAAACATGCCATCTTCACATTTCTATTTGTCTCCACATATGCTAGCTCTTCTGCATGAAATGCTATTCTTTTCTTTGACCACCTGGAAAATCTCAAGGGTCAGCTCCTCTGAGTAGACCTCTAAGCCTAATCCACTAAGTCCCAAAGGACCCTGTGCCTATCATTGTTGGAAGATTCATTTTATGACAAATCGTTTCTCCTCTAATTTTAAACACCCAAAACACGGTTTTTAATTGACCCCTTTGAACACAAGGACTAAAATATTTGTTGAATAAACCACTGACTAGTTTTCCCCTCTAAGTAAATCCAAGACTAGATTACAGCAGTGCTTTTCAAAAATTGATATGCATACAAAATATCTGATGATCTTGTTAAAAAAACAGATTGATTCCAATTCTGGGGCAGGACCTAAGATTCTGCATTTCCAACAAGCTCCTGGGTGATTCTGTAGGTGACTTTTTGAGGAGCAAGAGACTAGAGGACTTCATCTAGTTTCTTAAAATACTGGGATTCTAAATTCATTTAACATAGCCTTGAAAAAAAAAACAGGCACTAGGTTTAAAATGAACAACTGAAATTAGAAAGTGAAGAGGCAATACCAAAGTTCTCACAAATGTTAAGAGATTAATCAAGTCCATTCCCTGTGCCTCATTTCATTTTCTTATTTTGGCTGAGCCTGTAAAACTGGCTCAGCAGACTAGGGACTGGTACCCTCGAGACTAAAAGAATATGAAAGGTACAGAGAAGTCCAGAAACCCATACAAGGTGTGACATTAGAGATGGGAACATCTAGATGAGAAAATAGTTTAAGTATCTCAAAAATAGAAACAGCATGGGTCAATGATTTCAAGGACTATCCACAAAGCAGATTAAGCACGTAGGATAAACATAGTGTTCCTTTAAGAAAACATTATCTTATATAGTATCACTGAGATTTATTTCCAGATTATTGTAAGTTTCAAAAAGGGGGAGAGGCATTTCTCTTGAGAATACATATCTATAATTGAGCTCAACAGTGCCTCTGTTACATATCAGATCTTTAAAATTGTTGCCGTCTTCTAAAAATTTTAGGAAAATACGTTACACCAAGGGTGATATTTAACTGCAATAGTTGTTTATTGGGAGAATCATCTGAGAGCAAACATGCCAGACAGTATTATGGTTGGTACAATTACCAAAATCCTATTAATATAACACTAATAGTATGGTTAAGACTTGAAGGTGGGGCTGGGCGAGGTGGCTCACACCTGTAATCTCAGTACTTTGGGAGGCCGAGGTGGGCGGATCACAAGGTCAGGAGTTTGAGACCAGCCTGGCCAACATAGTAAAACCCTGTCTCTTCTAAAAATACAAAAAATTAACTGGGCGTGGTGGCGGGCGCCTGTAATCCCAGCTACTCGGGAGGCTGACGCAGAATTGCTTGAACCTGGGAGGCAGAAGCTGCAGTGAGCCGAGATTGCGCCACTGCACTCCAGCCCAGACAACAGTGCTAGAGTCCATCTAAAAAAAACAAAAACAAAAACAAAAACACAACTTGAAGGTGATATCACAGTCCTGGGTTCCAATAGGATTATGTTGTAGGAAGCATTGGAACAGATTTGAACCCAGCTCATTATGACCACAGTTAAATTATACAATCATTCTACTCGTTTCCTGTAAAATCAAAATGCCAAGACTTCGTGACTTTTGTAAAGATTTCAACAATAGAAATGACCAATTATGACATAGAAGAGCCCAAAAAATGTTTCTCCTACCTTTGTTGTCCTTGTTAATTATACCTTGATATCAATTTATATAAACCTCATTGTTGACGCTGGAAAAACACAAATTGACTGCCTAAGTCCCTCATTTTTCAGGGTCATAACTGGTTTAATAGCACAATTAATGGAACACTTAATGCAAATGCCAAGGACAATGTTAAGGGCCTTACTTTCATTATTTCACTTAACTTTTAAAAAAGCCCCACTCATAATCCCAACACTTTGGGAGGATGAGGTGAGGGGATCACTTGAGCCCAGGAGTTCAAGACCAACCTGGGCAACATGAGTCCCTGTCTTTACAAAAAACAAACCTTGTTTGGATTTCCTTTCGACAAAATTTACTACATCCAATTAAGGGGAGTAGAGTGCACATCTAAAATCTTCCTATTTAACTGATTACCCGAGTATGTGATACCATTAGAACTATCAATGCCTGTAACTTCCCTTGCTCTAAAACATACTAATAGTAGTATTAAGATAGTCAATGGGGCAGTAACCTGCCAAATAATGAATTACCCCTGGGAAATTAAAGACCTTGTAGCTATAATAACCAGGTAACAATTACACTCAATGTTTTAATCTTGGCTCTGGTTTGCTATGGAATCTTTCATTAAGCATTTAAAAGGTACTTTAAAAAAATAAAAACCCTGATAACCACCTTTGGAGTAGCTCAAATTATAGAGAAAGCAATGATAGAAGCCAGCAAAAACTAAAACAAGGTGTAGTCATTGCCAATTTACTCCTAAAGACATCTTTTTTTGCAAAATGTTGCAGATGGGCAAGCTGAAAATTCTCATCTTATAGAATTAAAAAGCACAATGAATAAAATATTAGTTAATAGAAGTAAAACTATAAGGATGCTCACCCCAACTAGATTTGGTTTTTTTTTGAACATGCAAACATTTAAAACATCACTGCACAGCTTAAGTCAACATGGACAAATGCCAAAGTTGAAAACTATAAAGGTAGGAAACAGTAAATACCTACTTTATGCCAATTCCCATACTAGGTACACTTAAGTTTTTGAGTCTTTCATTGGGGCCTTTTGAAGTTGTCAAATACAATCTGGATAAAGAAACAAAACAAAAAACTTGCCCCTCTTTTCCCATGACTGCCACCATCTTGTTCTGTGGGCAGAGGCAACTCACAGGTATCCTGGATCTAACACAGTAGCACAGTACGACACACATGGTGGTGGAGGAATGTTGTGGGCACGCATGATGGTGGCCCCCAAAAGGTGACTACACTAAGCCAGCCCCCATAGATCCCCATCTTTTCGGCCTTCCTCTTCAATCTCTCCTTAGTTACACCCCTTATTTTGTTCCTCTTATTTTCTGTGCTTCTCTCCCTCTTTTCTCACTTTTCCAATCCTTTTCTCCTTCCTTTCCCACCTTCACTATTTCTGCCACCCATCTCCATATG